>NC_000001.11:47432622-47735653 GCF_000001405.40 Homo sapiens
TGTTCCCCTGGCTTTGCTTCTATGAGGCTTACGCGGCTCTGCATCTGCCCAGAGGACTCAGGGACGCGGCAATATTTCCGCCCCCACGAGGGTACTTACGGCCTCGCCAGTTACCCTGTCTGGGACTCAGAAGGGTTACACGTGAAGGTGAGCGCATGTGCATGTCTATGGTACACACAGGTCGCTATGGCTCTGCACCCTCCCTCCTGCGCTGCCCCAATTCAGGGCCCGGAAGGGCGTCCTGTTCCCGAGGTGCCACTGTGCCAGCAGGCGGCGTGTAATTGGTAGGAGGGAGGCTGCCGCTGGAGTATTCTTGGCTGTCCCTCAGTGCGATCCCTGCATGAACTCCTTTTCCATGCTACAGTCACAGACCCTCAACCCAGGCGCACCCTCACCCATCCTCATTCCCCACTAGGGTCTCGCTGTTGACCCCGAGCAGGTTTGTCGTCCCCGACCAGGTCGCAAGGCTTCAGACTCTGGGGGGAAGTCGCGGGCCTGGATGATAAGCCTTCCAGGCAGTCCTGGGTCCACTCTGTGGACACCAAGCATGAGGTCTGGAGGGGAGGACACAGGACACAGGATGCAAGACAGGCGCCCGTCACTCAGGGTCGCAATCCGCCATACAGAGCCACTGTTGTCCAGAGGACAGACACATGAGGACAGAGAAAGAGAGGCTCGGCCCAGCTGGCCGAGAAACCCACAAGAGCGCACTTAGACATGAAGTTCTCCTTCCCACATACCTGGAAGCGTCCCCCACTGCCCCTGGCCGCCTCTGCTCTCAAGAGCGTGGAGCCTTCCCTACCACTCCGGGAACTCTGTGATCTTCAGGACCGGCGGGTTTCAAGTGGCGCTGTTTTCGGTCTCTCCTGAGGTCGCAACCCTCTTCCCACGAACAACAGCCCACAGGCTCCGCAGCTCGCCTTGGTCTCAACAACCGCGCAGTACTTGGGTGCTTAAGCGAGTCCCCTACCACATAGTCCAGGGTTGGGGGCGGGGGAGATGGGGCTGGGAGGGGACAGTGGCCAGGAGTAGCGGAAAGAGAAGATGTAAATTCACTCTCGAACTTTGCCCGGCAGACGCGTGGTGGTTATCTCCGCGCCAGCGCCTGAAGTGGGCAGGTGGGCTTCAGAGTTGAAGGTGCACACACTGGAGCCCCAGTCATTTCTGTGCATGGGGAACATGTCTGAGGTCTGCCTCCGCGGGTCACAGGATCTGGAGTCTCCCGCCTCCCACCTGGGCTAAGGGAGCTGATCGCTTCTGAGCAGCCGAAGATCCGGGTGGAGAAAGGGGCCGGGAGCTGTACCGGCTGAGGCTAGACAGCTATCTCGCTTTGGAGCTGCAGCTAGGTCCAGAGTGGGAAGGAGGCTCGCGCCGGCTTTGCCGCTTTCCCTGAGGGTGTCCAGTTTTGTGAATAAAATTAGAGAAATCTGCGGGCGTAGTTCCCCAAGCCCAGCTCAGGCTTCCGTTTGCAGCCCGGCGCTGGCCGAGCTCGAACCGCTGAAAAGGGCCGCGTGCAATCGTTCCGCTGTGCCTCAGGACAAACTCCGCTTCAAGCCAGTGCCGCTCTCCGGCAGTTTCCTGATTGACTTAATTAGATCCGCATAATCGCTGGAGGGCTTTTCTTTCCCAGAGCCGAGAACAGCTCATTTATGGGGACCAAAAGGAAGAGAGGGAGAGACGACCCGGACGCCACTGATAGCAACGTACTCTTCGCAAAAAACACTCAGTAACTAGTGGAAAAGCCCAACAGGCATCCCCCTCCGCCCGCCAACGCTTCCTCCCAATTGTTCTGGGCTGCACGAGGGAGATGGCCGGGCCGTGGAACAGATGCAGAAGGAGGCCCGGCACGACCAGAGACGCTGTAACCAAGACCCGCAGAGCCTGTGGCTTCCCGCTCTTTGGCGGCTGCAGCAGGCATGGTGCTGGAGCCCAAGGCTTCTGGGAAAGAGTCCAGGTTTTCGCGGAGGGAGCGACGGACTCACGCGGGATCGCAGGCACTGCTGCAAGACGCCGAACAGGCTGAGCCGGTAGGCGAAAGAAGTAAGGGTCACAGAAGAAGCAAAGAAAACGAAATAAATTCCGAATCCCGCGGTGGCCCTTCTCCCAGTCCCCAGTGCACTTACTCCTGACACTGTTGAAAACAAACTGGCCCAGAACCTTGGAAGGGAGGAGAGGCTACTAGAAATCCCTCTATACAGAGAGGAGCTCGGTTAGAGAAACAGCTATTTGGATAAACAGAGGGGTTCTGGGCTAGGAACCCGGACACGTAGGTCCAACCCAGCTTAGCGCCCCTCAAAAGCCTGACAAGTAACATGATCTCCTGGACCTCAGTTTCCGCTCCTGTAAAAAGTATGTATGTGAAGGGTCTGGATTCTCCCTCCCCAACCCTGCAGAGCAGAAGCTGGGGATTCTGTACTCCCCTTCCCCAGTGTAGGTCTCAGTAGCAGTGAACGTGCAGCAAGGCCAGGCAGAGGCAAGGGCTGGCTGCTGTAGCTGCTTGGTAGAACTTCTCTGAAGCAGGAAATTTGGGCAGCAAGTGCCCTGGCTAGTCTCACCCTGACCAAAGCCTGGGGAGCCAGGGGAGTGCTGGCAAGGAAGGAAGCTACTGGTTCCCATTTGCTGTTTTAGAAACGAGGACATTCAGGCCGGGCAGGGTGGCTCACGCCTGTAGTCCCAGCACTTTGGGAGGCCGAGGCGGGTGGATCACCTGAGGTAGGGAGTTTGAGACCAGCCTGACCAACATGGAGAAACCTCCTCTCTACTAAAAACACAAAATTAGCCGGGCATGTTGGTGCCTGCCTGTAATCCCAGCTATTTGGGAGGCTGAGGCAGGAGAATCATTTGAACCTGGGAGGCTGAGGTTGTGGTGAGCTGCTGAGATCAGGCCATTTTACTCCAGCAGGGGGGCAACAAGAGCGAAACTCAGTCAAAAAAAAAAAAAAAAAAAAAAAAGAAAAGAAAAAAAAGAAATGAGGACATTCAGAAGGTGAAATGGAGTAGGATGACGCCAACACTGTTTTTCTCTCCACTTGTTTAGATACTAGCAGAGTTGAGCTGGGTTGGAGTTGGTGTGTGGTCCATGGTGTGGGGTATCTGTGAGTGGGGTTCTGGGAGTGTGAGACAGATATCCATGTAGTCAAGAGCAAGCTTGAGGTATGTGTAGGGTTGCCAGATAAAATAAATCTGCTAAATCTAGCAACCCTAGGTATGTGAGTTTCCTTGGACTCATGCAAGAAGCTTCTCTCCAAGACCTTTTTCCCCGGACAGTCTGTCACCCAGGAAATTCCAATTCCAGGGCTACTAGTCCCTGTCCAATTTGCTGTCCATGGTTTGAGGACGAGATTTCTCTTTTTTCCAATGACAGTTTATGCTGGAACAGCACATTAAATGGATCCCCTTGGTCAGAGGTCCCAGAGGGGGCCCAGGCGACTTCCTCTCAAAGGACATGAGTAGTCAGACCTGCCTTCCATTTTTTTCTGCCCTTACCTTGGGGGGATGAAGAACTCTATTTTGAGGATTCTGTGAAAAGGGTTGCAACCCAACTCTGTTCTATTTCTTTGCAGGAGCCTGGGTGAGTTCTTTCTCCCTATCCTGGGCCTCTGTAGCTCCATCTGTGGAATGGGAGAGTTGGATTAACACCAGGCTATCCCGTAGATTGGAGGCTGCTGTTAGATGAAACTGCAAAGTGTTCTCAGTACCCTTTCCTAAATGGCCTAGAATATGGCTACACTTATACATCAGTTCTGAGGTAGGTGTTACTAGCCTCATTTTTACAAAGGCAGAAACAAAGCGCAAAGAACCTTGCCCAAGGTGACAGATAGGGTAAGTAGTGAAGGCAGGATTGGAACCCCAGGAGCCTGACTTAAGGTCGCTGCTCTTAACTACTATGCAGACCAGGAAACTGAGGCTCCGAAGCGGGGAAGTCACCTAATGAGGGTCACACAGCCTTGCTACAGCGGAGGCAGCTGGGATTCCGGCCTCGCACGCCCGAGCTTTAGCCACTGTGCGGCGCTGTCGGGGCAGCAGCCCAGGCATCCGCTCAGTTCCTGCTCACGTCCAGCGCCCATCTCCCCTTCCGTGCCCCAGAGGCTGAAATGGGCCCAATCTGTGTTGAAGCTGCTTGTTTCTGGGTCCTGGAGGGAGGCCGGGGGAGAAAGAGGTCTAATAGGATGGGCAGGAACCCGGCTAGCGAGAAACAAGGCACAGGGCCAACCTTAGTTGCACAAGACTTTTGAGAGATGAAGGCAACACTTGGTGGAGGTCAGGGTTCACTGAGGGGGTGTCGGGCAGGGGGCGGAGGAGGTCCTGCCGCCTGTCGGTGGGGCCCAGAACCCTGGGAGCCAGGAAGGTGGGGGGTGTCCAGTCCTCAGGGCAACTGGGGCCAGGGAGAGGGGAGGGAGAAATTAAGCGGATTCCCAGACCCATGAACAGACATCCAGACAAATGCCGTTTCCACAGAGACTCACGGAGAGTGAGATAGTCACAGAGACTGAGACAAACGGATGCCGAGATCCAGAGGGTCGGAGAACAGGCAAACTCGGAGCAGTAGACCGGCCCGCGCCCCGGGAACGCGGCCACAGCGGCCGGCGCTCTGCCCGGCCTCTCCGCGCGGAGAGGGGTGGCGGGCCCGACAGCGGAGGGAGGAGAGGGCGCCGCCGCAATCTCACCTCTCCCAGGCCCAAGGCTGCGGGCGCCAAGTTCGCTCCTGGTGATCACTCGAATGCGTCTCCCCTCGGGCTGGAAGCCGTGCGGGCTCGGGTGGGCGCCGGCGGGCCGCGCTGGGGCGGCGTGGGTCCCGGCGTCTCAGCCTCGCGCTCCCACTGCGCTTCGGCCCGGTGGCCCGGGCGCCGCCTTGGGGAGAGGACGGGTGGGGACCGCCGCCACTTCCCTGGCTGCGGCTGGCGCCCGAGTGAGCCTTAACATCCAGGGGCTGAGCGTTCTGAAGGCGGCGGCTTCAGGGAGCACAGGGTGCAGGAGCGGCGGCGAAGACAAGGGCCCGCCTCCGGCCACTCGAGCCCAGCTCCCGCCGCGGCGGCGGTTTGTTCCCGCCGGGTCCCTCAGCGGAGGCGCTACGCCCGCCCCTGTCGCCTCGCCCCACCCCGCCCAGGGAGCTCCGCCCTAGCCCGCAGCTCTTCCGCCTTAGGCAGCCGCTAGGCGGGAGGGACAATCCCCCACCACCAACCACTGCCACCCCGAGGGGACTAGGGGCTGAGGCCCGCCCAGGTAAGGGAAAGCCTCAGCTCCTTCCGTTGCGCCCCAGCGGCGGGTCCCAGCTCGGATTCCCGGGGTAGTGGCGGGGGCCGCCGGCGGGTCGTGCCCTGGAAGGTGAGCGCGGCCGAGCTGGGCCGCCAGGGGGCGCTGCGGAGCCGGGGGACACCCCTCCCTGCCTGCCTCAGTCCCCCGCCCCCTCCCCGCCCGCGCGCAAAACGCACTCGCCCCAGAGGCAGCGCGGCCGAGCCCGAGCCGCTGCCGGAGCGGAGCCGGAGAGTGGCGGCGGCGGCGGCAGCGGCACCATGACCCTGGGCAGCTGCTGCTGCGAGATCATGTCCTCCGAGAGCTCCCCGGCCGCGCTGTCCGAGGCCGACGCAGACATAGACGTGGTGGGCGGCGGCAGCGGCGGGGGGGAGCTCCCAGCTCGCTCCGGGCCCCGCGCCCCCCGGGACGTGCTCCCCCACGGCCACGAGCCTCCCGCGGAGGAAGCCGAGGCAGACTTAGCCGAGGACGAGGAGGAGTCTGGTGGCTGCTCGGACGGCGAGCCCCGCGCTCTGGCGTCCCGGGGGGCGGCGGCCGCAGCGGGGAGCCCGGGGCCAGGCGCCGCGGCGGCCCGCGGCGCAGCGGGGCCCGGGCCGGGACCGCCGTCGGGGGGCGCGGCGACGCGGAGCCCGCTGGTGAAGCCGCCCTACTCGTACATCGCGCTCATCACCATGGCCATCCTGCAGAGCCCCAAGAAGCGGCTGACGTTGAGCGAGATCTGCGAGTTCATCAGCGGCCGCTTCCCCTACTACCGGGAGAAGTTCCCCGCCTGGCAGAACAGCATCCGCCACAACCTCTCTCTCAACGACTGCTTCGTCAAGATCCCCCGCGAGCCGGGCAACCCGGGCAAGGGCAACTACTGGACGCTGGACCCGGAGTCGGCCGACATGTTCGACAACGGCAGCTTCCTGCGGCGTCGCAAGCGCTTCAAGCGGCAGCCCCTGCCGCCGCCGCACCCACACCCGCACCCTCACCCGGAGCTGCTGCTGCGTGGCGGGGCCGCGGCGGCGGGGGATCCCGGCGCTTTCCTGCCCGGCTTCGCTGCCTACGGCGCCTACGGCTACGGCTACGGGCTGGCTCTCCCGGCCTACGGCGCACCCCCGCCGGGGCCGGCCCCGCATCCGCACCCGCACCCGCACGCCTTCGCTTTCGCCGCGGCAGCCGCCGCCGCTCCTTGCCAGCTGTCGGTACCCCCAGGCCGCGCCGCCGCGCCTCCACCCGGACCTCCGACGGCCTCGGTGTTCGCAGGCGCGGGATCGGCCCCAGCTCCTGCGCCTGCCTCAGGCTCGGGCCCGGGCCCGGGCCCCGCAGGCCTGCCCGCCTTCCTGGGCGCGGAGCTGGGCTGCGCCAAAGCCTTCTACGCGGCGTCCCTGAGTCCTCCCGCAGCCGGCACCGCGGCGGGTCTGCCCACCGCACTTCTGCGCCAGGGCCTCAAGACGGACGCGGGCGGTGGTGCAGGCGGCGGGGGCGCCGGGGCAGGGCAGAGGCCTTCCTTCTCTATAGACCACATCATGGGCCACGGTGGCGGCGGGGCAGCACCCCCGGGCGCCGGCGAGGGCTCTCCGGGACCGCCATTCGCGGCAGCCGCGGGTCCTGGGGGCCAAGCCCAGGTCTTGGCCATGCTGACTGCTCCGGCCCTGGCTCCCGTTGCTGGCCACATTCGCCTCTCGCATCCCGGGGACGCGCTGCTGTCCTCAGGGTCCCGGTTTGCCAGCAAAGTCGCCGGCCTTAGTGGCTGCCACTTCTGACCGCAGCAGGCCCAGGGCCGGTTAGGTCCGCACTCCTCAGCCTCTCCCGGGAGTTCCTGCGGTCCCAGCGGAACTCAGGGAGTCTATTTATGAAGTCTCCAGACCTTGGGCCGGCACGCGTGACACGGCACTTCAGGCTCCACGCACAGAATCTCGCAGATAGTTGGGACTAAGCGGGCTCTATCGCTCAGGGCGACAGGCCCGGGGCTACGCGAAGAAGTCGCAGGCCAAGATTCTTTACAGTTTGAGAAATAAAAGCAGGGGGGTGGGGGCTTCGTTTTTTTCCCTGCCTCTGCGCCTCTCGGGGAACACATTCCGGGAGAGATGCCTGGCCAGGCTCCACGGATCCCGCCAGAAACACCAACAGAGGGTCTCCCTTTCTGCCTTTCCCCTCTCACTTCTTCCCCAACGTTGAGACCCTGCTTGTCCAATATTATAATTTAAAGACATCTATTATCTGCTTTGTGCTTAAAAGAAAAATTCAACCTTTTTTTTTTTTTTTTTTTTTTTGCTGTTCTCCAAGGAAGTTCGTTTCCTCTGAAGCCTAAACCAGTGTCTACGCAGGCGGAGCTGAACGGAGAGGTGAAGCAGGGGGTCTTTATATTCCCTGCAGAAACCCTGGATCCCACTCCACTGAGGAAAATCCTTTCTCTTTTGTGTTTGGGTGCTTTTAAAGGAATTTCTTTCCTTTCCCTTGGCTGGCTGGGTCCAGCCATCTCCGGCCAGCAACCCTGTCAGTGTTCCACCCTGTCCCAGGCCCTGTGATATTTATTGTGGCTAAAGGCAATGAGATTGGGTGGAAGAGAAGGGTCTGGGCCAGGGACTGGAGAGGTGGGGGTGGAGTGGGCAAGGGCACACCCTGTGGCAGGGGGTCCTATAATTTTGTGTAAATATCTGTACAGCGCGCTGCTCTCGGCGTTCTCTGTCCACTGGGTGTGCATTGATTTAAACTTCTCCACTGTGGGGAAGCTCTGTGAAATCGTCTGATGGTCTGTGTGGAAGAAAAGAAAAATCTGTCTGCCGCCTATTTCCCATTGGTGTCGATTGAATAAATGTATGTGAACTTCAGCAGTCACCAGCTCTGTCTGCTTGCCTGCACTCCCTTGCCCCTGATGGGGCTCTCCCAGAAGAGCTTAGCTCCCCAACAGAGGGGGAGTGAGGAAAGGCCCCTGGGCAGCCCAAGCAGGCAGAGAGGGGTTTGAGCTTAGAGGATGCAAGGGGCACTTTGGTCTTGGCCTTCAGCTGTTAATGAGGCCGAATCTCTGGGAAGCCTGTGGCCTCTCCAGCACTTTCATTTTCGTTCTAGTCCTAAGAAGGTTGTTGCCTGGAGTTTTGCCTGGGGTTGTGTTTCCACTGCACCTGAGGATTCTCATGTCCTTCTAGTTTGGATGTTGGCATGGCCTGGGCAGATCTGGGTGCTAAGGGTTCATGAACACTCTACCCACTAAGTACAATTTAAGGTGAATATATCTGGTGATGTGTACTCTGTATGCCTCTGTTTCTGAGTGAAGGGCTTTTATGGAACTTATGATTTGTTTTTGTGTTTGTCTGGGTCGGCACAGCTCCTTGCTTTTTTTTTTGTGTGTGTGTGTGTGTGAATTGTATTTCAGAATATCTGCATTATTATTTCTATGTATGTTGGTGAACATGTCTTTGTGTGTGTTTGTGATTCTCAGTTGCTGTCTTTCTGTCTCTGAGAGGAGACAGGTTTCTCCCTGGCGGCTTTAGGGCCTTGTCTGGAATCCCCTCTCCCCCCCCCGCCACCCCCTAACACATGTAACAGAGTAAAAGGCTTGGACTGGGGACTGTGAAACCTTTCTTTCCTCCAGCCCAAGAGGGTTAGAGGGGCACTATGAGCTGAATGAAAGAGTCAGTGGAGTAACACTCAAGGTAAAACTTCCCATCCCGTGAGCAAGACTCATAGCTGGAAGCTACTGCCTGAGTACAAATCCATTGGTCTGGTTGGAGTCTTCCATAAACCCATTGAGTCTCCCAGCTCTCTGCCTATGCCTGGGACTCCCAGTGGCCAGACTTGCCAGTGTGTTGAGTGAGAGGTGATCTTTGGGTGAAGCAGAGATGATTGCTTAGCTCTTTTCTCTATATATTCCAGTGAGATTATAGGAGAGGAGAAACAGAGGTGCAAGAAGAGGCAGTGTAGACTTCACAGAAAACAGACACATGTTGAGGGCAAGGGTTGGGAGATGAAGTGACAGACAGAGAAGGAAGAAGACACGGTCAGAGACCCAGATGCAGGGAACTTGAGAGAGGTGAGCCACACAGGCCTCTTCAGCTAGGATCCCTGCAGCTGGCAATAGTAGAAAAGAAGGAAGAGGTGGAGGACTGAGACCACTGTAGAAAGGGTGTCAAAATCAGGATTAGGGTGGGAAGAACACACCAGAGCTGGGGAAGGGTTGTTTGGGGTTCCCAAGTCTCTCATCGCCTTCACCAGTGGAGAAGAGATGAGGCTCAAGGTGCAAAGAGTACACGCAGTCCCTCTGCCAGAGGCAAGGCAACCCTCTCCTTGTTGAGAGACTGTGGAAGTGGAGGGAGGTCAAACGGAGTGGGCCACCTTCCCACCATTTTATCAAATGGTCCAGGCAAAGTAAGGTTAGGTTGGATGGTATAAAGGGAGAAACCTCTGCTGATACTGGGATGAAGGTCTCTGGCTGGTTGCTTCGTCTACTTAAATGTCTCTGAGTTTAATTTTGTTTATTTTCACTTGAGGAAGGGTGACTGTGACTGAAGGAACATGCACCCACACAAGTGAGCATGTGTGTGTGTGTGTGTGTGTGTGTGTGTGTGCGCTGTCAGTAAAGCACTTTGTAGCTATGTGATCTCATTTACAATGAATATGTCACTCCCAGATATTAGATCGGAGGTTTACGTAAAAGATTTATTAATTGGTTTTTCCTCTTTAGAGGAGAAAATTAAGTCAGCAAGAATTATGTCTGATGGTGGATAGTTGGATGAGATACTTCCACAACTGCTATTTATAGGAGAAGCAGCAGACCCTTGTGTGTGTGTGTGTGTGTGTGTGTGTGTGTGTGTGTGTGTGTGTGTGAATTTATCTGAGCATATTGCTTGGTGTCTGTGTGTTGGAGGATCCATATCAGGAAAAGGTAGAAAAAAGAGGGCTGGGGAACAAGAGCGAGATGTACCCTTATAGGGGCTTCTAGGGATCTTGGAGCTCCAGACCCATGACTCAGACCCCAGTTTCTCAGTGGGCCAAGAAGGGTAGACCTGAGCCAGAGAAGATTGCGGTCTGAGGACCGGGAGTCAGAGAGAAGCCACTGATGCCCAGCTGGCCTTGAAAAATACCCAGAAAGGGAATTGCTGCGGGAGCTCCCAAGGCTCCAGATGCTGAAGGCAGAGAAGAAGGGAGGGTATTTAGAGTTTGGGGCTCCTTTAGGTTGTCTTTGTGGGGAACCTGTTAGGAGCTGGGAAGGGCCCATTTGGGATCTGGACTTCAAGGCAAAGGATGAGGGAGTTTCAGGATTTGTATGGTAGAATCCTCCTGGATGTTTTTTAATTCCTCCTGACTGGAAGGGCCTAATGGGTGACTCCTCCCAAACTATGGGTGCATAGGGTGGGTGTTCAGTTTAAGGAGGCTCACTAGGCATCCTGGGAGGAGAAACAGGCTATCCCATCTGGAGGGGCTCCTGTAGGTTCCGTCTGTGCTTGGGTGGAGGGAACTGAGGTTCTGCTGCCCTGCAGGCCCCAACAATCAGTGACAATAATAAGAAAATATTCAGGGCATACCTTCATCTCTCTAAGGTGAGAAAAAAAAGAAGGTAGGAAATCGGCCTGGGGTTCAGAGAGTGCTGCTGAGAGCGGGCAGTTTAAAGGGAAAGAAAATTGGCGAATTTCACTGGTCAATTTCACTTCATTTCGTTCAATTTCGTTCAATTTCATTCCTTTTCATCCAGCGCCGGGAGGCCCGAGGCCACAAGGAAGGGGAGGGGGTCTTTCCGGGCGAATTTCCCTCATCTTGTAGATTTACTCTCTAGGGCTGTGAAGAACAGCCTTGATTCTGAAACTTTGACGTACGTTTTTCAGCCGCCGCTAAGAGCAGACATTTTATTTTATTGAAGGGTATTTGGTTTGGGTGATCGAAGCACATCGGTGAGACTCTCCGCACTTCTCTCTTGCAGCCCAATTAAAGCGGTTAATTCTTTTCACCGCTTATTCCTCCCCATCTTTCTTTCTTTCTCCTGGGGCTCCTCGGACCACCCAGGAGCCGGAGTTGAGGTGGGGGCGGACACTTCCCCTCCATATCCAATTTGCTCTTGCCACAGCGGGCGCGTCTTCGTGGTTACAAAGCGCTTTTTCCCTGATGACTTTTTTCCCCTTTTCAAAAACACTTCTTTCTCCCCCCTTCAACTAGCAACCCTCCCCAGGCCCACCCCTCCTCCCTCTCCGCTCCGGTTTATTTAAACTTCGCCTCCTCCAGCGCCGCCGCAGCGCGCACTTAATGAAGTTGAAGGCTCGGTGAGCCCGGGTGAAGAGGGTTTGGAATCTGTTGAAAGGGGCGTTTTGTGACACTGATTGGGGCGGGGGCGGGGGCAGTCGCGGACCAGACAATGACCGACCAGGCGGGTTTTCCTGCGCACAGGGTCAGGCGAATAAAGGCGCCGACGCTGTTTAAACGAAGGACCTTGTAAGAGAAAGGGAGAAAAGATTTTGTGTGTGGAGCGTGCCTCGTAAGGTTTCGTGCTTAGGAGAAGTTGGGAGGAGGCAGCTCGCCTAGAGTCTTTACGGACCGAATTCGGAGTTTATTTCGAACACTATGCATCAAGCCAAAGAAAAGCGGGGCCAGTTTGGGTTTGCGCCTAACTTAATTCCGATACGCGCGTCAAAATGTTGTGTAGGCTGGGGCCTGGGGAGGCGTTCAGGAGGGCCAACCAGGAAGATGACATCCAGCCCACATTTGTCTCTGTGGCTGACGCTCTGAGGTTTGGCGCTCTGGAGAAACGTTGAAAGAAAACTAAAGATGGGCAGTGGTCGGGCAGGATAACTCATCCTCCTAAAGCGTTTGTGAGCAAAACAAATGTTGATTGGGTTTTTTGGAGCGGAATTACTCTGTTCTTTAAGGTCGGCGCAGACACGTACCAGCAGAGAACCTGTAGACAGGACAGAGGTTTCCAGCTCTAGTTTCGGGAACGGATTTTTCCGCGGGCTAGTGGGCGCGGCGCGGCGCAGGGCGGAGCGGGCACCGCCTCCTTCCGTAGCGGAGCGAGAGCTGCCGCTCGAGGCTGAGGCCGCTCCGGAGGCCTGGAGGCTTCGGACTGCTGGACTAGTGGGGAAGGAAGGCGGTTTCCTCCGCAGCGCCCCGGTGCTGCACTCCGCACCGTCACCTTCTGGGTTGTTTCTGGCGCTCCCTCTGCTCTCAGCCTCGAGTCCTGGGTCCCTGCGGAGCGCTGTCTTTTCGCTCCACGCGGACTCTGAGCGGAAGTCGCTCGCTGTCCGCGACTTTGCATTTCTCCTGCAGCAGGGGTCTCTACCCGGTGCCTTCCTCCCGGCACGCTAGCCTCCTCGCCGAAATTTCGTCGTCCCGGAGTCGGTAACCGAGTCCCAGGCTTTACTGCCACTCCACTCCCTGCTGGGTTATTTAAGAGATACGCGGCTTCCGAGGGGTTTTCATCAGACCCCGCAAGTGCGCTCGGCTGGGAAGGATGCGCTCCGATGCCGCTACAGGGGTTCCGCGCGTTTCACCGCGGGAAGCCCGGGCATTGGAGATCTGTGCTCAGTTCTCTAGGTGTTGGAAAGTTGCCTCAGGCTGCTTTCATCTCTGGGGCATTTCTGTCTACGCAGGCAGAAGGATCTTTGGAATTGCAGTTGCATGGATCTTAGTTCTGGAAAGGGCGAATCATTGGGGGAACAAAAAATTCAAATCCGTCCTTTTGATTCCTAAAAATCACTGCAGACCTGAAAAGTGCATTTCGAGTTATCTGTGTAGACACTGCCGGTGTGTGTGTGGTGGCGGAGGGTGGGGTAAGGGCCGAGGGTACAGGAGTGGACTTTATTGTTCACATTAACTCACCGGTGCTTACAGAGGACCCTCGATTCGCGACCCCCTCCCCCAGCAGGTGTCTGTGCAGTTCGGACTCCTGGGCTTAGATGCCCCATCCCGTTCAGATGCAAATGTGCTGGGTTCGGGTTGAGTGTGAGGAATCCACCTCCCCACCCCCACCCCGGCCCACGCCTTCCTTCCCCGACGCCCCTTCTGGGCCTTTTGGGTTCCTGTCTCAACTTTGAGTTGCCTATACATCTTTTTGAGATAGGTCTCGCCTCCTCAACAGTCATCATAGTCAAAGAGGGCAACTAGTGAGGCTATTGCGTGAATTAGCCTTCGACCCAGACTGCAGGAGCTTGGGGGTTCTGAGGACAGCACGGCTCTACTTTCCACTTTGGAGTGGAACCTACCTGGCGGGGGTCACACAGCAGATAGTTTGTGCAGCTGGGAAGATGAGCCCTGGACCCGAACGGTATGAGGATATGTATCCTAAGGCCAGCTTTGGTCCCAGTTCACTGGGTGCCGGCTGCCCCAGCCAGCTATGGTCTGCAGAGCCCGAAGGCAGGCAGGAGGATCGCAGATCGAAGATCTGCAAGGACTGAGGATCGTTCCTAGTGTCTGTTTGGAAGCCCGTGGGTCTTGCAATGCGAGGGCAGACAAACTACGAAGCGGGTTCCGGATTCCGATGAGCCACACGACCTCTCCGGCCCCTGATCTGAGCACCCCTCACCTTGGTCCATCTGCTGACCATCTAAAATGTGTAAGCCCAGCGTCAGGGCTCAGTGTGTGACCAAGAACAGTTTTCCTGTTTGAGGAGTTACCTGATAATGCTCAAACACAGGCGAGTTAATTTGTCCCCAACTCTGGAGATCTTTTTCCTGTCTGGCTCCTTCTTTCCTTCCTTAAATATTTAGTGAGCACCTACTGTGTGCTGGGCATTGTCCTGGAGGTACAAGCAGTGAACTTCTGCCTGGCATCATTACAAGCAATCTAACTTGGTAGTTGAGAAAACAAAGAAAGATATAACGATCGACTATCACCATATTTGAAGTAAAAAAAAAAAAAAAGAACTTTGGTGTTTTAAGGGTTAAGTTTGTAGCTTTTCACTTTATCATGATGGCTGCAGGTATCACAGCCCATAGATGTGTGCCTTCTGGGTGTTTGGGGACTGTGACTGTGTTTATGCTTGTGTGTGAGAGGGTATGGATATGCATCAGTGTGTGCAGGAGAATGTGCTTAGGGGTGAAGATTGATGAATGACTATGTGTGTGCTAAGGTATACTTGTGATGTATCAGTGTGAGTCTGTGAGTACAGTAAGTCTCCCTGGCTGTCTTGGGCAGAGGCTGGAGAAATGTGAGTGAAGAGGATTGGAGTGGAAGGGTTAGGAATGAGTCCCTGCCTGAGTTCCCAGCCTATTCCTCTGTTCCTTAACAAAAATTAGGACGTATCCTTCTTCCAATTTCCTTCCCTACTGCAGACAAGGATGGGAACATGGAGCACAAAGTGAAGGTGCTAATGGAGTGCAGTGAGGGCAGCAGTGGAGCAGTCAGCCCTCCTCCCAAGATTCTTACCTCTTACCTTTCCCGCTATGTCCAGCCCCTGCAGCCTGCCTGGGGGTCAGGATCCAGGTTATTGCAGAGCAGCTGAGAGGCTCCATTGTGTGGCCTTGGACCTGTTCTCTGGCCTGGTGCTGCTAGCCCCCTCCCCTCTAGACCACACAGAGGGTCTTGGCTACTGGTCCTAGGTGACTGTGGAGTCTTCTCTTCCATTGCCAGAAAACTGGCTTACATCAAGGAGGCAGGTGCAGGCTGTAGAGCCTGAAATGCCAGAGCTTGCAGGGTCTCCAAGGCTAACATTGTATGGGAAACTGGTCTAGAGGGGGTGAGCGGTGGCATTTGCCCAGAGTTGCTCAGCAGGATCCTAGATATAAAGTTGGACCCTGCAGCATCTATGCACTAACATAGACAATTAACATAGATAATTAACATAGACAAATAACATAGACTATAGACACTGGTCCAGATCTTTTCCTTTTATTTTTAGTTGATGCATAATAATTGTAGTAAATAATTTACTACAATTATTACAACCCCACAAATATGGGATTTAATTGTATGTAAATCCCATATTTGTGGGATGCAGAATGATATTTGATACATGCATACAATATGTAACAATCAAATAAGGGTAATTAGCATAACTCTCACCTCAAACACTTATCATTTCTTTTTGTTGTGAACGTTAGAAATCCTCTTCTAGGTTTTTGAAGATATATAATAAATTATTGTTAACTATATCTACCCTACAGTGCTATGGAACACTAGAACTTGTTTCTCCTACCTTGCTGCAATTTTGTTTTCATTAAGGTATAGCTATTTTGAGGAAACTAAAAACTTAGCATCTCCTCTTGTCTCTAGGGAAATCTCAAATGTCACCTGGGCTGTCAATGCTTCTGAATGCCCCTTCCTTCCTAAAGGCAGGATAGGAGTAAGGTCAAGATCAAGGTGAAGGATAGCAGACAATTATCCAGATAAATCAGGCATGGAATAGATCACCTTTAGGTGAGAGAGGTGCTCGTGGCTTTAGGGAGAAGTGTAGGTTAGCAAGAGCGTCTGGCACTCCACTTTCCCCAGGGTTCCTGGGCTGGGAGAGGTGGCCGAATTCTCCTCCTAGCCCTAGGCAGAGCAGAAGGTCCAGCGCCAGTGACCCCCTTGGAGGAGAGGAAGGGGTAGGGGAATGGTCAGAGTTTGCCAGTGAATGTCTCTAGTTTTCGGATCTTCCAGTGTGGTGGCTTCCCTGCCTCTTTTGCTTTCGTGAGTCTGTTGGAGAATCTATCTGTCAGTTGGCCCACTGGAGTGCTCCAAGCCTTGCTTCCCTCACCCCACCTGACTCTAGGCCTTTTATAAAGTGAAGAATAAACAAAGAAAATCTGGGCCACTCAGGTCCCAGGCAGCTTTGGTTGGAGCCGTTCCTTCCTTGGTCAGATATGCTGACCAAGCTTCAGGGCTTTGGGGTGTGTGTGTGTGTGTGTGTGTGTGTGTGTGTATGTGTGTGCGTGTGTAGGCTCAAGTGTAGCATTAGGAATTCTGAATTACACTTACCTCTGGAAGCTACCAGGGCTTTTTGGTGCCTCTTTCCACTCCTCCTGGATCTTTACCTTAGCACCTACCCTGAAGATACTTATCTAATATTGGGAGTAGAGAAGGGGAGGAGGTGAGAAGATTCCTGATTCTTGCTGGGGTGCTGACTCTCTGTGTCCTTTGGCAAGTACTCCCCCTATCCCCACTGGGCCTCCATTTCTCTGTCTCAGAAATGGAGCTGGGGAAAGTTAGCCTGGACTCACCTCCTGGGTCTGTGGTCAGTGGCTGCTTCCCAGCTCCTCCCTCTAGTCTACTGAACAGCTCATGCCCCTCCCTCAGCTGTCGCTCTGCAGCAAGGGTGCTGGATGGGACAGTGCTGGACTTTGGAGACATCTCAGGAGCAGCCTCAGGACTTCTACCATAGCTGCCTACTTACTGGGAGCTTGGCTCACTTCCTTTCTGGATCTAAGAGGCTTCCACGTGGGACCCAGGGCTTTTTCCTTCCCTGGCAGGGCCATGGAGGGGTGGCCAAATCTCTGTGTATGTTTTGGTTGCCGGTTTGCATAAATGTACCTCCTTTGGGGAGAAGGGGGAATGTGGATGAGGTTGAAGGTGAGTCGCTGCCTGAAGCTGGCAGAGCTCAGCCCATCCCATTGTGTCTCCCGGGGCACTGAGATAGGGTGGCACAAAATGGAAAAGGGAGCCTCTAACCCAGCTCCTTTTTACTCCTCTCTGTTCACCCTGAGCCACCCAGCCTTCTTTCCGGGAAGCCTTGCCCGGATGAGGGCTGGGTAGTGGGGAGAGGCAGGGCACCCCACAGGAGCTGGAGGGCTGTAACCTATCAATGTGGGGGAGTGGGTCAGAACGTTCCCAAAGCCTGAGTGGGGAGGGGGCTGTGGCTTGGCTCCCTCCCTAAAAGTCCCCGCCCAGGCCAAACTAAAGAACTTGCTTTTGTGGGGTTGTAGCTGGAAGTACTCGAAGACTGGGGGCCGGGACCAGAGCTCTCAGAGACAAGTCCGCCGAGTGAGTGTCTGAGGATGGAGACGCGAAGGGAATGGGGAGGGGCGGGCTCTGTTGCCGCTTACCCTGGAGCTGGGGCTCCAGTTTTCCAGTCGAAGTTCTCCTCTCTGCCTACATCTCGGATTCTGGGTCTCAGATGCAATCGCGCACCCAAATTGCATCCTGTGAACAGAAAAAGTCTCAAACATGCGTACAAAGAATATTCAGAAGCAGAAGCAATTTCTGAAGAGCGAGGCCCGGGACTGAGTTGGCGAGACTCCCAGTTCGAGTGAGCGAAGCCAGGGTGGAGGGCTCCGGACCGAGATTCCTGAAAGCCTCCCTGACACCGGATCCTGAGCGCAGGACGGGCCCAGCCACTTGGGGGCGCCGCTGGCCCCAAAGTACCGGGAGCTTACCCTCCGCTGACCAGGATTCACCCTGGCTGGCAGAGACTACCCTACGCTCCGCTCACCCGGCCACCCCGCCCCGCTCTGCGCTGACCCTCCGTTAGAGGCTGACTCTCCAAACTAGGACGATCTTGCTCCTATGCGGGACGACCCAGCGCTAAAAAGGGATGACCCTATACCACCGGGGGTGACCCTGCTTTGAGTGGGTCTGACCCTGTGCTAACAGAGATGACCTTAAACTGACAGAGGCAGATCCTGTGCTAACCGGGATGTGCTTGCGCTACCAAGATTGGCTTTGTGCGCTCCCTCTTAAGGCTTATCCTGCATAGATTAGGTGCTAAGGCTTGCAGTCCTTGTTATGGTCCCTGTAGCTCTTGCGCCGCAGCAGGGATGCCCTATTCCACCCCCAAACTGGTAGCTGCTTTATTCCTCTCCCCGTAGCCCTTTGGGGGCAGTTCTGGGACACCTGGTTGGAGAGAAGCCTGCCGTGGCTGGGCACACCCTGCACCTCTGGGAGGAGGAGTTCACAACCTCAAGGAGGAGGTGGCTGAGTTGTGGGGAGGGAACTGATTTTATGGAGGCTGGGGCATCTTGGGGGCCAGGACTGTGAGTACTTTTCTGTTGTCTGTGCTCCTGACCCCAGAGCCCGGCCTTGCCACCCCCACACCCTCTCCACATATGTAGGCGGCTTTATTTTTGCACCACTCCATCTTCCTGGGCCTACTCTCCCTCTCTGTAAAATGAAATGAACTTATCACCAGACTGCCCTCATCTGCTGGAATGTCCTTGTCAGTCTCAATTCATTTCACCATTCTTTTATTACTCACTTTGTGCCTGGTCCTCTCCTCTGCACTGGGGATACAGTGGTGAACAAAACCGATGTGGTTCCTGTCCTCAGGATGGTGACAATCTAGTGGAGGACAGAAAGAAACACAAATGCATGTGGAATTAAAGCTGTAATATGGGCGCAGAGGGAAGAATGCCGACGGCCTTGAGAGAGAATAGCTGAAGGATGTCATGGGGTGGGGATTCCTCCCCAGCTCTGGAGCCTGCTGTGGGGAGAACTCATCACCCCATACTTGATCCTGTTTGACTCCGATTTCAGTCAACAGACCTCTGGCCGCTGGACTTGCTGGTCATGGCAGCTATAGGGAGCCAGGAGCCCCTCCCAGTGTGTCATCATCCATCACAGATTTCCATTTGAGCAGCCCTCCTCCAATGTCACCAGAAGGGATTCACCCTTCATTCCAGCACCCAGAGCAACTTCCTCTCCCCAGGTCCTTGGATTTGGAAGAGGCAGTCTGCCCCTCAAGAACACGATGTGGAAGTCAGGCTGGCTTTGGGATATGAGATGGCTTCAGTTCTGAGATCTCTCTCTCTCTCCCCCTCTCTTTCTTTTTCACTGAAGGCCACAGTCACACTGAGATCTCTATCCAGCATGCTGTCTGGTGCAATAAATAGTCATTGATTAAAAGAATAATTCTAGGAGACTACTCTTTAATGAGCCCAACAGCCAGAGTGATTCTGTGGTTCATGGGTCTGATTATCTGATTGTTCCTTCTTCCACTTTCTACCTGGTTCACTCCCTACTCAGGGTCACCTCCCCCACCAAGCCTTCACTAGCATCTCCCCACTCCCACAGAATTTTTTTTTTTTCTTTTTTTGGAGACCGGGTCTTGCTGTGTCACCCAGGCTAGAGTGCAGTGGCATGATTATGGCTCACTACAGCCTTGATTTCTCGGGCTCAAGCGGTCCTCCCATCTCAGCCTCCTGAGTAGCCAGGACTACAGGCTAGCCACCACGCATGGCTAATTATTTATTTGTAGAAATGGGGGTCTCCTTATGTTGCCCAAGATGGTTTCAAACACCTGGGCTCAAGCAATCCTCACACATCAGCCTCCCAATCCTAAGACTTTTCATACTTTTAAAGAACTTACTGTGATGTATTATTTTCTGCTTGCTGTTCCCCCTCCCTCATCTTTTCCAGTACACAGCACAAGGCCTGGAACATGAAAGAATGAATCAACTGCATGTGTAGAAGGGCCCCAAAAATGTGTTGCATTGCCCAAAGACAAGTGGAGTTAATGTGATTCAGAAATATGTCCCTTCATAGAGCAATAATGATCTCTGGTGCCTGGTGTGGTGGGGAAGGGGGAGTGGGGGAACAGTGTCCAGGACAGCAGTGGCTGGGGGCCCCTGAGCCCCAGTGTTGCAAGATAACCCAAAGGGAGAGAGGCAGCCTGTACTCAAGCTCAGGGCACCTCCGTTCTCAAGACAAAAGGAGCTTGGACTGGAGGAGTCATACCTTGAGGGAGGGGGCTAGAGAGCTGTCTCCCCACCATCCCTGCACTCCCATGGTGCAGCAGCTGTCCAGGGAGCAGGCCCCAGCTCTCTAGAGCTGCACAGAGAAGATGAGTGCTCCCAGCCCAAGGACAGAGGCTCCAAGTGCTTGTTGGGGATAGGGCAGAGGCGGGAGAAGAAGGGAGGGGTTGAGCAGAGGGAGTGGCTTTCAAGGGTGTGGGACAAAGAGGCTGACTCTGCCTGGGACCCCTGAGGAGGTATCATTCTCCAGGGTTGGAGAGGACCCATGTTTCTTTTAACCCCTTCATGACTTCTGGCCTTGTCTGGCTACCAAAACTACAAAGACTTGGAGGATGATATACATTGGTTGAAAATCCAGCTTGGGTGGAGGTAGTTTTAGAGAAGGGAGATTGAGGCCCTAATGTGGGAAAACACTAGTACTTCCCCAGCCCCACTTGTATCATACATTCTCCTTAAACACACATAATCTGTGGGGACCTGGGCCAGGCCGTTGGGGGATAGAGCTGAATCAAACCATTTTCTGACTACCCTCTTGCCTCCCATGCAACATTTACTGATCCTACTATGGCTGGGTATCCCTGGAAGAGGCCCACTGTGGGTGTGGGGTGTAGGTTTGGGGACAGGAAGGGAATTTATGCAACTTTCTTCCCTGGGAAAGCTCATAGTCTGAAGTTAATAGCTCTTGGTGCTTCAATTCAGGGGCGATACATTTTGTGAGTGGAGAACAGGCACAGGAGACTTCCTGGAGGAAGTGGCATTTGAATTGGGCCTTGAAAGTTGGGGAGAATTTGGACCATAGAAGGTTGGGTGTGAGGGGAAGACATCTAGGGCATTTCATCCTTTATGAGCGAGGGCATTTGGGAGAGCTGAGTGAGTTCAAAGTTAATTTAAGCTGAGAGGTCTTCCCTGTACTCTTCCTGTAGTCACATAATAGAATCCCTCTGCATTATAAATGGTCCTCAAGTTCTCAGTTGTTGAACAAATAAAGGTTATTTTTCACTCATCTCGTAGTCTAAATATTGGATCACTGGTGGTGGTAGTGAGATGGGGGGAAGCTTTGTTCTACATAGTCACTCAGAGACCAAATGGCCTTCCATCTAGGGGTTCCATCATTCTGTAGGGGAAGCGCTCTTATTATTATTATTATTTTTTGTACCATGGACCCCCTTAGGTAGATTAATGATCAGCTTATGGATACCTAAAAATAAATATTTTTTAATGCATGAAATCAAATTTACAGGACTATGAAATAAGCCAATTATATTGAGATTAAATTATCAAAATCGTTTAAAACTTTTGTGATGGCCAGGCGTGATGGCTCATGCCTATAATCCGAGTACTTTGGGAGGCTGAGGCGGGCAGATCGCCTGAGGTCAGGAGTTCGAGGCCAGCCTGGCCAATATGATGAAACCCTGTCCCTACTAAAAATACAAAAATTAGCCAGGTATGGTGGCATGCACCTGTAATTCCAGCTATTCGGGAGGCTGAGACAGGAGAATTGCTTGAACCTGGGAGGTGGAGGTTTCAGTGAGCTGAGATTGCACCATTGCACTCCAGCCTGGACAACAAGAGTGAAACTCTGTCTCAAAAAAAAAAAAAATTGGTGCAGGTGGCAAGTGTCACTTCTGACCACATTCCTTGGCCAGAACCCAGTCATTTGGCTCCACCTAACTGTAAGGTAGAGTAAGAATTGAAGTCTTGCTGTATGTGCAGGAGGAAAGGGAAATGGGGTTTGATGACTGCACAACGTTGACTGCCATGTAGAGTCTCCTTGAGTCTTCTGTTCCATTCAGTGTTTTTTTTTATTGTTGTTGTTTTTGTTTTGTTTTTTTCTGAGATGGAGTCTTGCTCTGTCACCCAAGTGGGAGTGCAGTGGCGCGATCTCAGCTCACTGGAACCTTCATCTTCCGAGTTCAAGCAATCCTCATGCCTCAGCCTCCTGAGTAGCTGAGGTCACAGGTGCATGTCACCACACCTGGCAAATTTTTGTATTTTTAGTAGAGACAGGGTTTTGCCATGTTGGCCAGGCTGGTCTTGAACTCCTGACCTTAGGTAATCTACCTGCCTTGGCCTCCCAAAGTGCTGAGATTACCGGTGTGAGCCACTGCGCCTGGCCCCATTCAGTGTTTTAAAGATCCAGATAGGCCGGGCATGGTGGCTCACACCTGTAATCCCAGCACTTTGGGAGGCCAAGGTGGGTGGATCACAGTGTCAGGAGTTTGAGGCCAGCCTGGCCAATATAGTGAAACCCCGTCTCTACTAAAAATACAAAAATTAGCCGGGTGTGGTGGCACACTCCTGTAGTCCCAGCTACTTAGGAGGCTGAGGCCGGAGAATCGCTTGAACCCAGGAGGCGGAGGTTGCAGTGAGCCAAGACCACGCCACTACACTCCAGCCTGGGTGACAGAGTGAGACTCCGTCTCAAGAAAAAAAAAAAAAAAGATTAAAAAAAAGATCCAGGTGAGAGACTGATTAGCTTTGTTGACAAACACAGAGGACATCATGATGTCTTGAAAAGGAGAGAGGAAGACAGAGATATTTCAAGTCTAGTAAGTCCAGTTCAAGTGGCACACAGATGTCTGGGCTCTGATTTGTGCTGAGTGGCTCCTAGAGCCAAGAGCCAAGTACACCTCTCCCCTCTCTGGCTCCTACACACCCCATGTACTACCCTATGAAGAGAGGTTACTCAGAACAGCCTTCCCAGCAGGCTGTGGGATCCCCAGATGGAGACCTGCTCCATAGACAACGCTTTTCCATCTCCACCTCATTCTCGTCACCAGATTCCATTAGAAATGATCCTCTTTGAGAATGGTAGCACATGGGTGCATGAAAGAGGTTCACATGAGTGTGTGTGGAAGGTAGAGGAATCAAGTCACATTTGCCATAGCTTTAATCTGGGTAAAGTCACCTGAATTCCCTGATCATAACCAGGACTTAAACAGTACCTGACACATAATAGGTGCTCATTAAATAAATGTTGCATTGAACATCTGAATGAATGATGATCTTTCCCTGGATATCTCTTTCCCTCTTGTTGCCTCTGTCCTCATTCCTCTGTCTATCCATCTGTCCTTCAGAGAGTCTGTCAGTAATCTTTTTTTTTTTTTTGAGACGGAGTCTGGCTCTGTCCCCCAGGCTGGAGTGCAGTGGCGCAATCTCGGCTCACTGTAAGCTCCGCCTCCTGGGTTCATGCCATTCTTCTGCCTCAGGCTCCCAAGTAGCTGGGACTACAGGCACCCACCACCATGTCTAGCTAATTTTTTGTATTTTTTTTAGTAGAGACTGGGTTTCACCATGTTAGCCAGGATGGTCTCGATCTCCTGACCTCATCATCCACCTGCCTTGGCCTCCCAAAGTGCTGGGATTATAGGTGTGATCCATCGCGCCTGGCCAGTCTGTCAATAATCTTTACCTCTCAGCCAACTCAAATCCTTTGTGGAGTACAACATTACGGAAAACAGCATGGAGGTTCCTCAAAAAATTAAAAATCCAGCTATCATATGATACAGCAATCCTACTACTGGGTATACATCCAAAGGAAATGAAATCAATATGCTGAAGAGATATCTGCATCCCCATGTTTATTGCAGCATTATTCACAATAGTCAAGATATGGAATCAATCTAAGTGTCCAACAATGAATGAATGGATAAAGAAAATATGGTATTGGCTGGGCACGGTGGCTCATGCCTGCAATCCCAGCACTTTCGGAGGCCGAGGCAGGCAGATCACCTGAGGTCAGGGATTCGAGATCAGCCTGGCCAACATGGTGAAACCCTTCTCTACTAAAAATACAAAAGTAGCCAGGCATGGTGGCGTGCACCTGTAGTCCAAACTACTTGGGAGACTGAGGCACGAGAATCATTTGAACCTGGGAGGTGGAGGTTGCAGTGAGCCAAGATCACACCACTGCACTCCAGCCTAGGCAACAGAGTAAGACTGTCTCAAAACACACACACACACACACACACACACACGTACACAGAAAATATGGTATAAATACAGAATGGAATACTATTCAGTCATGAAAAAGAGTGAAATCCTGTCATTTGCGACAACATGGATGAATCTGGAGAATACTATGTTAAGGGAAATAAGCTGGACACAGAAAGACAAATACTCAAATACTGCCTGATCACATTTATATCTGGAATGAACTTATTTGTGGAATTAGGCAGGACACATAAGCATACATGAGTATTAATAATAATAGAATCTCCATGTTGATGGAGAGCTACTCACTGTCATTTCCACCCTGTGACTTGTGACTTCTCCCCTCCTGGGTGGCAATCTTTTTTTTCTTGAGACAGGGTCTGTCTTACTCTGTCACCCAGGCTAGAGTGTAGTGGTGCATTCATAGCTCACTGCAGCCTCAACCTCCTCAGGTTCAGGTGATCCTACCACCTCAGCCTCCCGGGTAGCTGAGATCACAGGTATGTACTACCACACCCAGCTAATTTTTGTATTTTTTTGTAGAGATGGGGATTCACCATGTTGCCCAGGCTGGTCTTGAACTCCTGGGCTCATGCAATTGACCCACGTTGGCCCCCAAAGTGCTGGGATTACAGGCATGAGCCACTGCACACGGCCCCTCCTGGCAATCTTGATTAACAAGGAGATTCACAGAAATTGCTAGAAAGCATTTCTACCCTTATTGCCTTATTGAGTCCTCACAGTGCCTTGAGATGGGCACTTGTAGCCACTATTTTCCAGATGAGACTTGGTGAAGTTCTGTGGCTGCTGTGGGTTTGCACCATAAATAGCATCAGAACTTGAACTTCTGAATCCATGGGTCCAGGTGCTCCCCAATCCCCACTCAGAGGTTTGCTTTTTATTCTCTACCCTTGGCTTCCTGCTTGTCCTGGGGAGCCCAGTCAGATCCTTTTGCAGGTCTTCTGGGAGGTATGCTCACTCCTCTCCTGCTCTGCTGCTGTAGGCCCCTGGGATGGTTCCTGTCCCGAACTGCTGAGAGGGTCACAGGGCAGGACCTGCCTTTTTTTTTTTTTGTGACGGAGTCTCGCTGTGTCCCCCAGGTTGGAGTGCAGTGGCGCCATCTCGGCTCACTGCAAGCTCCGCCTCCCAGGTTCACGCCATTCTCCTGCCTCAGCCTCCCGAGTAGCTGGGACTACAGGCGTCTGCCAACATGCCCGGCTAATTTTTTGTATTTTTAGTAGAAATGGGGTTTCACCGTGTTAGCCAAGATGGTCTCGATCTCCTGACCTCGTGATCCGCCCGTCTCGGCCTCCCAAAGTGCTAGGATTACAGGCGTGAGCCACCGCGCCCGGCTGGACCTGCCTTTTATCAGTGGCCTGCTAAAGCTGCAGCAGAGATCCCTCTGCCCTGAGTCCTTTCATCGATGGCTCTTGCAGTGAGAAACAGTTACTGTCGTTTATCTCTGAGCGTAGCTCTGAATCTGCCTTGGGCTTGAGTCTTCCCATCCATCCTATTCAGACATTCTTTTCCCCTCCTTTGCTATTCCTGCTCTTTCTTTCCCCATTTATCTTTCTAGCCTATCTCTGTGCCTAGTCTGAATCTCCTTGTCTTGCACAGTCCCAAACCTCCATAGGAAAGCGGATGTGCAGGGCTTCTTCAGCTGGGGCTCACTCTGTTGCCTGCACCCCATGGAGCCTCCTAGGCACCATTTCCAAAGCACCTCACAGAGCAGGGGATCCAGGAGGGTCCCAGAGGGGCTGGAAACCTGCATCCTCCTCAGACTGTCAGCTGGTCAACTCTGGGCCATTTTTTTTTTTTTTTTTAAGACTGACATGGAGTCTTGCTCTGTTGCCTGGGCTGGAGTGCAGTGGTGCGATCTCGGCTCACTGCAACCTCTGCCTCCTGGGTTCAAGCGATTCTCCTGCCTCAGCCTCCCGAGTAGCTGGGATTACAGGCATCTGCCACCACGCCCAGCTAATATTTGTATTTTTAGTAAAGATGGGGTTTCACCATTTTGGCCAGGCCTGACTTGAACTCCTGATCTCAGGTGATCCGCCCACCTCGGCCTCCCAAAGTGCTGGGGATTACAGCCTCTGGGCCCAGCCTCTGGGCCATCTTCACAGTGACTGCACATGTTCCTGAACTTGTTCTCTCCTGGGTGGATGGACCCCAGTTTCTTCCTCTGCCCACATGGCCCTTACCCCCTCTCATTCTCCTTCCTTATCCTCTGCTTTCTCTCTTCTTTCTGACCCCCCATTGCTATATATGGGGTGGGGGTGTGTGGCTGGAATCTGGTTTAGGGATGTGTTTGCTCTTGGATAGTTATGCAGAGGGCAGTTTTACTCCGCAGAGACTCCCTGGGGAGAGGACCATCAACAAATTGCTGGATCTGCTTTGTGCAAACAGACACACAGAGGCATGTATTGGTGTTTGAGCACATGTACACCACAATCCCCGACCCCCATCCCACAACACGTACAGGCCCTGGCAAATAGATAAGGAGTCAGGGGTTTAGGTAGGTATACCAGGATGGAAGCCACATACAAATGCAATGCATCCAAGTGAAAGCTACATTTAGCACAAGGAAATGAAAAAATATATGTAGTGTTTATCTGGTTACCCTAATGCAGAGTTGAGCGTGTGGGTAATTTTCTGATAGATAATTATGCGGGAAGAGTATACTTCCTGGGACTCTGTTTGGGATGGGCATTACTAGCAATCACTCACTCGTGAATACTGCTCTACACAGAGTATCTACGGCCATTATCTCTGTAGTGTCTCACGTGCTGACGACAAGAGGGGTGTGAACTAGGTGAGTCTGGGAGTCTGTGATACATAGCATGTGTGTTGGTGGCTGTGTCCTCAATAGCAAATTGGGATTGTTGCGTGATGGTGATGGTGTGTGTGAAGATGTCTGTGTGTGATGGTGCATTTGGCATGTGTGCACATGTGTGCATGCCTGGAGCCAGCAGAAGTGTGCAAGCCTTCAGGAGCAGTAGAGAGGCAGCTAGCCTGGCTCTTGGGAGAGACACTCATGTATGAAGAGCTCAGCGCTCGAAAGCGGCTGTTTAACAACTTGAGCATCAAATTATAGCCCACGTGGGCAGAGGTGTCAGCGGTTGCTGGTTGCTGTAAATACTTCAGTGCAATTGACAACAGCTTGTGGAGGGCTAAGTGAGATGGGGAGGGTATAGAGGGAGGGGTAGCGCCTCCTGCAGGGACCCTCTGCCCTATAGTCCTGTCTCTGCTGGATCTAGTGCTGCTGGGGAGGGGGTATGCGATGGGGAGCAGGGAGTCTGTAACAGGGTGGGCTTCAGAGCCAGACGGGTTCTAAATAACCCATCATTTACAGGGGGTAACCTTCGGCAAATGACTTTTCTACTCTGTGCCTCAGTTTCTCGATGTGAAACAACAACAACATTAATCATAATACCCTGTGAGACTTTTGTGAGGAATAACCAGAACTTCTTTCACCTGAAAGCACTTGTTGTGGTTATGCAGACATTAGCTTTTATTGCCTTGTGCAGGATAATGCATGGGAATTAACACAGCACCTCTCACATAGGAAGCCCTCAATAAATGTTAGGTAACGTTGTTAGCCTATTGCTATTGCTATTGTCCTCATAAGCCTGGACCCATAGCTGGAGATACCACAGCCCTTCCAAATATGCATGGAAAAAAGGCTTCCCAGAGGGCAGCCAGTGGGTTTTTGTGGATTTTCAGAGAAAACGTTTTTAGTCTCCAATCTTTCAGAGAATCCTGCTGGACAGGATCTGAGACTGAGAGAGTGTGCCCGGGGAGCTCTTGCTGTAGATCCGCCTGCCTTCATTAGTACTTTGGCTGCGTTCTGAAAAAGTCATGAGAAATGGATGTTTGCAAACTCAATCCCATTTAAAATGCACTGGCAGGGCTGAGGGCTTAAAGGCACCCTGTGGTGAATTCTTTTGTAAAGCAAAGAATCTCCTGAATGTATCCATTTTTTAAAGTACTGATATTTATAAAGTAGTAATAGTCAGGATTTCTTGAGTGCTTATTGTGTGCCGAATATTCAACATCTATTACTTAATTATAGCCTCATAACAAGCCTATGGGGGGCAATATTTTAACTTTCCAGAAGAAATAGATGCACAGAGAGTAGCACACACCTCCACAGCATCACACAGCTAGAGTGTGATGGAGCTGGGATGGGAACCTGTCCAGCTCATATGAAAGCTCATCTCTTTCTGCTGTGCTCCCTCACTTTGTCATGCCCTCTTCCCCTCTCACCTCACCCCCACCTTCTCTTTTCTGCAACCACACAAGAATCTTTATTTTGCATATACCACAAAGAGGGTAGTTTCAAGTCTGGTATAATCAAGAGTCACCTAAATCACAAACAAAAGCTTCAACAGTTTTTAAAAAGTAGGAGCAGTATCTCTGAATTTTTGAGGCCACTTTTTAGAAATTTATTTCTTGACCAGGTGCCCTGGCTCAAGCCTGTACTCCTAGAACTTTGGGAGGCTGAGACAGGAGGATCATTTGAGCCCAGGAGTGGGAGACCAGCCTGGGCAACATAGTGAGACCTCCTCTCTACAAAAATAAAATAAGTTAACTGGGCATGGTGGTGCACACCTATAGTCTCAGCTACTTGGAAGGCTGAAGTGGGAGGATTGCTTGAGCTCAGGAGTTCAAAGATGGAGTGAGCTGTGATCATACTACGCAGTCCAGCCTGGGCGACAGAATGAACGTTTGTTTCCTAGGAACATTTTCAAACCTATGTAGAAGTAGAAAGAGCAGTACAATGAGCCCCGTGTATACCCACCACTTAGATGCAACAGTTATCAAGATTTTGCTTCATCTGTCTTCTACCTTTTTAGAGATCCCGTTTTAATTTCGTAAGATAGGGATAGCTGCATCATTTGCACTGGTATTATGATCATCCAGTGAACTGTATCCATGGAGGTGTTTGTTTTTCTGCAGAAGAACTTGTTATATTATATACTGTAAGCAGATGTCTTTTCTTTTTCTACCTTTCTCCGGTAAGTTATTGCAAGACCCTTCTAGGTCTGGCTAGGTTATGCTAACTCCCTCATGCACCACATTCAGTGTTCCTAATCAGACCCACATGAGGAAGGAGTTTCCTATCAAGCAGAGGTGACCAAGTTCTCCAGTGGCCCCAATCCCTATGGTTTGAGTCATTTAATTGTCACTAGAGTAGTTACTTTCTTTTGTAAAGATGCAGTGAATCTTTCTGCTCCTCCTCAAGTTAATAATGTTGATAATAGTTACTACTAATAATTGTGATCCTCTGCAGCTTTCCATTCTCCACAAGGATCTCTTTCTTAATGCACTAGTGAGTGGTCCTGCTTCTATTCCAATGATTAGCTTTTGGATGTTGAATTCACTCATGTAAAGTCCTGCCTGTAGTGATGGTTCCTTGGACAGGTGTGTGCCTGGAAGCAGCAGGAGGGAGTTCTTCCATCTTAGAGTAAGCTGTGACTTTCAGGTACTTTCTACTCCTTCATGACATCTGAGACAATGGTTTCAGGTCTGTTGGATAAGCCTTGAACATTCTGCATGTAGCTCTAAGCACACCCCAGAGAGGTGTGAGGACCCTCTACAGACAGGTAAGTCCTCACACCATGATGCCTGTCTTTCTGATGTGGGACCAAGTGCTGGGCCACCTGGGACAGTGGCTTCTAAAGCAATTGGCTGAGTGGAGATCATCCTCAGCATGGCAGATGGCTGCCCCTGGAGCTGCCTGTCATGGGATCATCATATGAGAGTGTGGTGAGCTGGAGCAAGATCACATTACGTCTTCTAAACTATACCTCTACTCTGCTCAATAGCAAAGGCTTTCCTACTCCCCATCAGCACTGAGACCTGCCCATCCTATTAGGGCAAGCAGTAACCTCACCGAAGGAGCTAACACCTCAGGAAATTCCAATCATTTGTCCAAGAGTTTTGAGACATGATTGCATCTTTGACTGGCTTCTCATTATCTTTGTGATAATGTGCTTGTTGAAATTACAGAGTTTGATTTAGCTCTCACTTCCTTTTAAACGTACTCTACAAAGAACACCGTCTTACACTGATTTGGCCCCTTTCCACACTGAGTTTCTGTATCTTACCAGATTATTTTTGACCAATAGTCATTAATGAAGACTTTTCATTGTTCCAATTCCTGAACAATTTTTGGGGCAGTAGATGGAGAGATGAATTTTGCTGGTTGAAGCTGTACCTGTTTGCCATGCCATGTTTTGTCTGTCAAGCAACCCATTCAACAACTACTAAAACAATATCAAAAGACCATCCAATATAGTAATTTTGAGCAAAATAAAGTTAAAAATGATCTGGCTCTAACCATAAGAATGACACTGCTCAACACAAACATCTAGATCTGTGCAGTTAACACTGAGACTTTCCAGACCAGTAGCCTTTTACAATGTCAGAAGTACCCTGTACACATCATGGCGGTCCACTGAAGTGCCCCCAGATTTGCTGTGGCATGGCACGTGTCAGACATGATGATCCTTGTATGGCACACTGGGACAAGTGGAAGGAAAATTGCAGGTCAGAGGCCCTGAGGCTGTGGGGTTGGTGATGACACCCACTGTGGAAAGTGAAATAATGAGATTCAGCACAGGGCTGCCCACAGAGAAGCCCACCTAGCCCAATGAGGGGTAGTTTAGAGGACAAGGGGATTATGGAAGGTTCTCTGAAGGAGATGGGCATTGGTTGAAGGACTTAAAGATTTAAGAGAATTTCCCAAGTGGAGACGGTAGTGGAAGGGAGAGATGGATGGTTATTGAGCGCCGCTCTGTGCAGGCATTGTAGGAAGTGATGGAGCAGGCACTCAGGCAGAGGGAAAGTGAGCAAAGGGGTAACAGGGAAGGCTTCGAACTCCTTGCAATTGGGTAATTACTTTTTAATTACTATTTTGAGAGCAGGGACCCTATCCACTCACCCCTGTATCTCCAGAATCTACAACCACATAGTAAGTTCTCAGTCAGGTGCTTGTCTCCAGCAGAGCCTTGAAGGATGGTAGGATTTGGAGAAAGGAAGAGGAGAAGGGAGGGCATTCCTGGAGAAGAAGTCATGTGGGCAAAAGCACAGAGGTAGGAAAGCATGAAACATGTGTTGAGATCAATGAGGAGCCTGGTTTGTCTGGAAAAAAGGGTTTGTGCCAGGGAGTTGTGGGCGATGAGGTTGGAAGGTGGGCAGGAATGCAACATTTTCCAGGTTGGAGTTGAGGCCACAACAGTAATTCACTGCAGAAAGGAAAGGGAAAGGATTGGGCCACAGAGGATTTGCTGTGTGGCCCATGGTGGGATGGGGGTAAGTGGGCAGGAGTCTGTGGCCACCTCCTGGAGTTTCTGTCCAGCTCCTTGTCTCTTCTGGTGTTATGAAACTGGGAGTTGGGGGAGGGGCCTCAAATGTCATTTTTTTTCTATGAATAGGGACACACACACACACGCACACCAATCCTAAGAATGATTTTTTTTCCACTTGTCAAGAGCCAGAAAAAAGCTGAAGGTATAAAGTTCAGAACTGGCAGGGCTGGAGGGCAGACAGGGAAGGGTTGAGGATCTTTGAGTTTTCTAAGCTGTGGCAACCATTAGAAGCTGGGGAAAAAAAGAAAGAAGAATTTCCACGAAGCATCTGCTATGGCCTGTGGAAGGCTCTATGGAGTTTCTGGAGGAGGGTGTGTGCTTTCTTTCTGCAGAGTCTTGGCTACTCTGGGGGTAGGGATCTGTGCCCACTAGACTCCTCTTCAGGGTTGGAAGATGAGGCCCTGGATGCCAGAGCTAGAAGCACCTGGTCCCACTGCCAGAGCTGCACAGCCTGGGTTCAAGTCCTGGCTCCACAGCCTGCCAGCTCTGTGATCTTGAGCAAGCCATTTAACCTCTCAGTGCCTCCCTTGCTTTGTCTACAAAGCCAGAGTAACAACATCTACCTGCCAGGGGTTAGGACAGTTACATGAGCTAATGCTTGCTTGGAACAATGCACGTGGTAACTGTGTAATAAAAGTTATTATTATTATTAATTATTATTATTGAGAAAATGGAAGTAATACTTGCTTAGAACAACGCATGTGGTAACTGCACAATAAAAGGTATTATTATTAATTATTATTATTGAGAAAATGGAAGTTTGAGAAAGAAGGGATATGATGAGGCTGCGTGCACTCAGGCTGAGCTGGGACTAGAATGGGTGCCCCTAGGCATTAAGAAATGGGTAAACTGCTTTCTCTATATCCTGATTAAAAAGTTAGAGAAAGAGCATCATATTTTTAAAGAACAATTTCTAAGAATGATTAAATTTTTTTTTTTTTTTTTGACGGAGTCTCGCTCTGTCGCCCAGGCTGGAGTGCAGCGGCTCGATCTCGGCTCACTGCAAGCTCCACCTCCCAGGTTCATGCCATTCTCCTGCCTCAGCCTCCTGAGTAGCTAGGACTACAGGCGCCCACCACCACGCCCGGCTAATTTTTTGTATTTTTTAGTAGAGACGGGGGTTTCACCGTGTTAGCCAGGATGGTCTCGATCTCCTGACCTCGTGATCCACCTGCCTCGGCCTCCCAAAGTGCTGAGATTACAGGCGTGAGCCACCGTGCCCAGCCAAGAATGATTAAAATTGATACTTAAGTCTGTAGTCATCTAAAAGCTTAGGTATTTGGAATATTACATTAATCAAACATTCTAGATAGCTGAAGTTTTACTGTATATATATTTAGATCTGTGACAATTGGACACATATGATAATTAAAAAATTAAATGGAAGCACAGTCAACATTGGGAAGATTTCACACAAAAGCAGGTTTGTCCTATAATGTAAAGGCCACTAGAGTTGGAGACAAAAGATTTAAGTGCTGACAGCATCAGTTACTGGGTACACCTGTTTGGGCAAGTTACTTAGTATTCCTGAGCCTCAATTTCCTCATCTGTAAGATGAGACTAATAATCCATAATTAGTGATGATAACAATACCTATAGTTAAGAATCCTCACAAGAAATAACAATACAGGAAATGTCCCTTATAATTTTAAAATGCTAACTTTTCTCAATCCCTAAGTATAATTTATATTTTCAAATTTTTGCTTTCTCACCTTATTAAATAAGTAATTCTTATTCATTGTAAAAACATTAAAAGTGACTATGAGCAAAAAGAAGGGCATAAAAAATCAGCTTAATGTCATGGTGTTGGTTTACCTTTAATGAATGTACAACAGGTGACAGTTTGCATTTTATTTCATTCTCATTAAAACCTCTGGGATTATTAAATTTGTTTTATAGGCAAAGGAATTGAATACCGGAGAAGTTTCTGACTTGACTAAGGTCACACAGCTAACTTTGTTTATTCTGGATAGAGGAGGCAGAAATCCTTTCCAGTTATGACAGCTGGGGAACGCGGAAAGAGGGGAGGGGGAAGGTGGCTGAGCTGGCCCAGGACAGGCAGAAAGATATTTGAGCTCTAGCAGGAGACATGTGGGTGGAGCTGTGGGCTTGTTTTTCCAGAGTTGCCCCTTAAAACTCCAAGGATGGGGAGGTTTTTAGAGAGATGGAGTAATAAATGAAAAGAAGGGGGCTAACTGAATCCACTATTTCCCAACTCTGTGTCCCTTTGGCCTCTTCTACTTCTCCCATCCACCAAACCACTCCTCCTCTGGTATCTCTGTCTTAGCAAAGACACTATCCTTCACCTAAGCCTAGTTCTCATCTCCTCCAGGAAGCTTCCCTGATTCTCTCTGCCAAGCTCTGGTCATGTCAAGCTTTCCTGGATTGGCACCTCTGTGTGGCCTTGGTGTAGTGTGCATGTGTGCCCACACTTTTCCTTTCATATACCCTTACCACTCACCACACTCCTTCCTCTCCCTGCTTACCTCCTGACCCAGTGGGTGCCTGTGGATTAGACCTCTGCCATCATTGTTGGTGGTGACTGGAGTCATGCTGACAGCCACCACAGCTCCCAGGTTCTTCAGGACAATACCTCTGTCATATGCTCCACTCTGCTGTCACTCTATTCCCCAGAGCGGGAGTTAGCAGGTGTGCTGAATGTCAGGTAGGAAAATCTTGTCACTACATATGTACGATTTCCAACTCAGGTGGGTATAGAGTGTCAAACCTGAGTTTCACATCTTTAAAAATTTTCACTGAAATGGCTGGGTGTGGTGGCTCACGCCTGTAATCCCAGCACTTTGGGAGGCCGAGGCAGGCGGATCACCTGAGGTCAGGAGTTAGAGACCAGCCTGGCCAACATGGTGAAACCCCATCTCTACTAAAAATACAAAAATTAGCCAGGTGTGGTGGTGGGTGCCTGTAATCTCAGCTACTTGGAAGGCTGAGTCAGGAGAATTGCTTCAACCTGGGAGGTGGAGGTTGCAGTGAGCTGAGACAGTGCCATTACACTCCAGCCTGGGCAACAGGAGTGAAACTCCGTCTCAAAAAAAACCAAAACAATAACAATAACAATTTTCACTGAAATAAAACAAGTATATAGTCATTTTTTTGTACATTTAAGAGTTATCTTCAAAAGTAAATGTTCATCATTACTATTACTACTATTAATAGCATCTCCATATCTCCCTCAAGGTGAGAAATTGTCTTCTTTTCAATCTGGAGGTCTTTTCCTGGATCTCCTTATAGATGAGCAGGTTCCTCTCCCACACCAAGGTCATCATTCATGTACATTCAGCTTCTCAGTCAGTGTACCTGCCTTCCTGCCTGCTTGCCTCCTTTCCTCCCTCCCTTTCTTCCTTTCTTCCATTGCATATGCTAATCCACCCACCAGCAATCACCCACTCACCGATTCAATTCACCCAATATTTATAACAATGATAAACCAGATAATGAACCTAATTTTTCATCCATCCATCCATCCATCCATCCATCCATCCTTCATGATTTCCTTTTCATCGCATTTCTTTTTTTTTTCTTTTTCCCCAATATCAGACAAGGAATCATTCATGGCATTTCTTTATCTCAGCTACCCAATTTCTCTGAGTGGCCTTCCCAATCTCCTTACCTTCCAATTTATAACCATCCGTTTGACACTGTAGGTACCTTCGACAAAGCATCTATAACCACTTAATTTTTTTTTTTTTTTAAAGCTCAGAGGGTTTTCCAGACTCTGCAATTGTCCTTCTACTAGAGTCTCCCTTGGCTTGGTTTGCTTTAGTCTTATTGTCTCAGTCTTGAGTTCTCCCTTTCTGCCTGGCCCTTTTGTATTTCACCCATACCTCTATGCCTCGTCTCAGACCATTTCCTCTATCTGGAGCGCTCTTCCTTGTACTTTCTCCTGTTCACCAACCTTCTTTTTATTCTTCAGGACACTCAGTTCACATGCCACTCTCGTGACACTGTCTCTTTCACATCTTTCTGTGTCCCCTTTCCCAGCTGAATTAATAGTTCCCTCCTCTGGGCTCCCACAACAATATGTACCTCTCTCTTGCATAGCACTCGCCACGCTGAATTTTAATTAATTGCTGCTCGTCCATCTTATTGGCTGAAGGGAGCACACTTAACCCATCACTGCATCTCTGGCACCCAGCACAGAGCTGGGCTAGCAGTAGCATCTATCCATCTCTCTCTCTCTCTCTCAATTATTTATCATCTGTCATCTATCTATCTATGTAATCTATGTATCTATTATCTATCAATTATTTATCATCTGTCAGTGTAACCTATGTATCTATTATCTATCAATCACTTATTATCTGTCTCTATCTTTTAAATTTTTTATTTATTTTATTTTATTTTTTTGTAGAAATGGGGTCTCGCTGTGTTGCCTAGGTTGGTCTTGAACTCCTGACCTGAATTGATCCTCCCACCTCAGGCTCCCAAAGTGTTGGGATTACAGGTGTGAGCCATGACACCTGGCATCTATCTATCTATCTATCTATCTATCTATCTATCTATCTATCTATCAATCATCTATCTACCTACCTACCTAATTTATTGAATAAATAGTTAAATCATGCTGTGGATGAATGACCTCTTTCTCAACACTGTGGTCCCCATTTACCTATTCACATCCCATTCCTTCTTGAAAACTTTGCTCAAGTACTTGCTTCATAAAATCTTCCTTGCTTTCTCCACCTCAGTCAGAGTTTCCCGCTTCCTGTTCTAATTGTTCCTGTGCTTTGCTGAAGGGCAGATGGTGAGGGAGAGTGGGAACAGGTAGCATGTAGAGACTGACAGGTACCTCTCTTCTGCTCCCATCTCTTCCTGGGCTGTCTCCATAGCTGTGTGTCCTGCAGGACCTGGCCAGCCTGGCATGCTTGCTGTTTGGGAATCCAGCCCCCACCCCATGCCCTCGATGACCTAGGCAGGCTAAGAGAGGAGCCTTGAGAAGTGCTGAGACAAGGCTGGTGCTTTCTGGGACAGGAGGTACATGTTTACCTAGAGAACTGCCCAAGAAGATGGGCCTTGGCTAGCGACATATGTAAATCAGAAGCAAATTGAATGCAAATGTTATGCAAATATGCATGTGGTTCTCCTGATTGCTTCTTTCAGTGGGAAGGGGCCCTTGGCAAGCCTCTTGCCTGGGTCATTCGGAACACAATGAGCAGGGGCCCTCCCCCACCCATCTCACCCTCCCTCCTCCTGCAAGGCCCATCATCTCTATTTGTGACTGCAGCTACAGCCCTTGCTTCTGCAGTGAGTGGGAGGGACTGGGGTTTCCTACCACCCCCTTCTTAGGGGTGGGGCTGGCTTGTGTCTCTCCTGTCAGAATGGGGGCTCCCTGTGGGAAAGTGGGCCAGGAAAGCTGAGATAGGCTCATTGCTACCCTAACTGAGTCCCATGAGGATATCTACAGGAAGAGATGGCAGCCAATCCTTCTTCATGGCCCTCCCAGCAAGTACAGGAATCCAGCTGTGTGGAGCAGGGAGGTGAGAGAGCAGGCAGCTGGACAGGGAGGAATGTCCCGTCCCCGGAAAGAACAAGATGAATTGAGCATCCAAGAGGGCAGGAGGGATTCTGGTTACACAGAAAGGCTATGTTTCATGTCAAGAGAATAAATTATAGTCAAGAAGAATGGTGGGTGGTGGAGTTTCCAATCATGACTTTTTAATAAAGAAATTAAAAATTGGCCACTCTTAGATGGTTAGCGGTTCATCGGGGTAAAGGCAGCTGGAGTTTACCTCTAGTACTCCACTTATTAATTCATTCAGGTTGTTTTTGAATACTTAGTCTGTTTCTGGCACTTTGCCAGGTACTAGGTCATTTCATCACTCTTGCTTCTACTCCATAATTCTGTAGAAGTGACTGATTTCTATATTCATGGTGCAGAGCCTGGCACACAGAGCTTACTGGGCATTTCTTGACTCAACATATAAACCTACCAACTCCTTCAGCTTTTCCTTATTTTTCCCTGAAAATGTTCAGCTTGGTTAAACCCATCTTTTCTGAGTACCCACTATGTGCCAGGCTCTTACTAAGCTCTGGGGAGACCCTGAGGGATCAGACACATGGCAAGATACATAGTGAGATGAGGGCAAGATGAGGGCCCCAACAGAGTCACCCTGGGCTGTGCTGGAACACGTTGGGCAAGGTCTGCCCCAATCTGGGCATCAGGATGTTCTCCTGAAGGAGGCAATGTCCTGAGTTGAATCTTGAAAGGCAGTTGGGGCAAGGCATTCCTGGCTGAGGGAATAACATATGGAGAGGCACAAAGCCGGGGATCGGCAGAGAATGGGGTAGACACAGAGCAGAAGGCGTTATCAGGGGACACATGGTGTGTATCGGAGATGTGGACTGCCCCCAGCGGCCAGTCCAGCCACAGAGCCAACTTCCTCTCCTTTCTGTGGGCTGTGGGGAGGAGGCACGGGTGACTAAAGAAGGGAGAGATGGTCAGACTTGGGCTTGGATCCTGGCTGCCCTGTGAAGGGCGGATTGTAGTGACCAGGCAAGGCAGTGCTACAGAGGTGAGGGCATGGATGGACTTGGCAGCTCATTGGAATTTGCACTGACAGGATTGGTGGACCAATTGGTGCGGGGCGTAAGAGAGAGGAAGGAGTTGGGTTTCTGGCTGGGGTGATGGATAGGGCAGTAAGGAAGCCTGAAGAGGTCCATGATTGTGGAACAATAGGTGGCAGGGGAGGTGGGGACAGGGGTGCATCCTGGGAGGCTGGAGTTTGAAGCTATCTCTGAGCCTCTCTAGACTAGAGATGGAGATTTGGCAGGGAGCAGGACACCATGTAGCTGAAGCAGTGGGGGGTGTCTGAGTCAGGTGGACCTTAAGAAGGGGTGGCTCTGGGCCGGGCCCGGTGGCTCATGCCTGTAATCCCAGCACTTTGGGAGGCCGAGGCGAGCAGATCACGAGGTCAGGAGTTCGAGACCAGCCTGGCCAACATAGTGAAACCCCGTCTCTACTAAAAATACAAAAAAATTAGCCAGGCGTGTTGGCGGGCAACTGTAATCCCAGCTACTTGGGAGGCTGAGGCAGGAGAACTGCTTGAATGTTGGAGGCAGAGGTTGCAGTGAGCAGAGATTGCGCCATCACACTCCAGCCCGGGTGACAGTGCGAGACTCGGTCTCAAAAACCAAACAAAACAAAACCTAACAAAAACAAACAAACAAACAAAAAACAAGAAGGGGTGGTTCCTATCCATCTGGACCCACCATTTTCTGGAGCATCTCATGGACTTTAGGTTTTGGGAGCTACAGTCTTACCTGAGCAATTCTGTTCCTTTATGTCCCGTTGTCCCATAGCCAATATCCCCACAGAGGAGGGAAACCCCCAGGGAAGGTTCCTGAAATGAGACTTGGACTTCTTGGTTTGGAGTTTATGGCAGAACCTCTATCTTGGCTGAGATATTTTATTTACTCCAAGAAAAAAAAAAGATTGTTTTTCCTGAAAGAGGAAAATCTCAAGTCATTTCCATAAAAAGGTCCACCTCCTCCTCTGAGCCACAGAGCAGACTCCTTAGCACAGCCTGGCTCATGGTCCAAGTGTAAATGAGTCAGTCCCCACTGGCTCTCTCCATAGTCCGGGGTATGTCTTTAATTAAGGGGACAATTGCTTGGCTCAAGGGCTGGGGCTTCCAGCCAAGAGGTCCGCCCTCTGGCAGATCCAAGATGTCCTGCGAATCTTCTCTAAGCGTATCCCAGCGTCAGGCCTCTTTGTTTTCTCTTACCAAAAGGCACAAGGTGTGGGCAAACTGGAATAAGGCAAGGGGGGGTGAGTGGAAACACCTTCTGTGATCGTATCTGGTCATTAGTGAGTGTTTTACCAAGAATCTGGAGTTGATAAGAGCAGAATCGTGCTGGACCAGAGCCCTTGAAATCAATATCATTCAGTTCTAGGAGGGTGCAGAGGCCAAAGCCTCATTTTATAGGGGCTCAGGGAAAGAAGTCTTCTCTTAAGGTCATGTAGAAAGCCAGTGACAGAATGCCTACACCAAGATTCTGGTCTCGTGTTGAGTTTAGTTCATTGGCTTCTTTGTCCAGTAGGCATTGACCCAGGGAACAAATTAGATGATGGAGGCCTGGGCCAATGTGCTCGGCACTCAGTAGGTTCTTTTCCTGGCAGGCGGTTGTGTTCACACCAGCAGACTCATTCCCTTTCCTCCAAAATTGAGCTGCTTGTGTAGATATAGCCTTTGTCTATAGGTCAGTCGGTTGTTTGTTTCTGTCAGTCAAGCCACTGGGAGTAGAGTCTTTGAAAGGCTTTGTTATCTGCAAAGGCCTCTGTTGTTGCTGTTCCCAGGTGATCCCCAGAGTTGGGGACGAGTTGGATCCTGGGATGCTGAGGATGGGAGTGAATGCCTCTGAGGTTTGGACGCTTGATGATTAAAGTGCTGGGCATTTCCTGGGCCTGCTGGGTCACCAGGAGGGTTGGCAGCATCTCCCCCAGGTTATCTCTAGAAGAGAAGCAGGGCCTAGACACCCAGGAACCATGGGGGAAACAAGGATGTGGAGAGGGCTGGAGTGCTTCTCTCTCCTCGAAGCCCACTGAGAAGCTGGGGATGCAAGATTGCTGGGTGGCAGAGAGGGTTATGCTCATATACACGGAGCCACTTCCCCAGCCCCTCAGCCAGGACCACTGAGCCCCTGCTAAAGGTAACCTGTGGATCATGGTGAGGGCCCAGGGAAACAGTTGCAAGTCCTCATATTGTGAGCACAATCAGAGGCCTGTGACATTAAAATGACAGCAAGGTCTGGTAGGGAAGTGGGGCCTGAGGCTGCTGACCTCCTATGCATCGCGGGGTGGCTCACTCCAAAGTGGGTGCCTTGGAACCTGGTGCATGGGAACCTGGGCATGTAGGGCATGTACCTTTCCCCCAGGTACTCTATCCAGGGACATCACGGATACACTATAGTAGAAGGTGGGGCTGGGCCAGAACAGGTACAGTGGGGACACTGAGGTTGTGGGGTGTGTGTGTGTGTGTGTGTGTGTATGTGTGTGTGAGTATGTTAGGGGCACGTCTCGCCTCTCAGCATCTCCAGTATTGTGTGTAGATGTTAAGGTTAAGGGCATAAGGTCCAGAACCAGACTACTCAGGTTCAAATCCTGCCTCTGCCATTTACTAGTTGTAGGACCTTAAGCAAGTCACTCTACTTCTCTGTGCCTCCGTTTTCTCATCCATAAAATGGGGATAACCTACCTTATAGGGTTGTTGTGAGGATTAAATTCATGAGAATGCTGACATCTAGTATTAGTAGAAGAAATGCTGGCTCTTATTTGTGTTATTTTGCACAAGAATACTTCCTGCCAGTCTGTCTTCTGAGTCTTATGACTGGGGTCAGTGGCAGCTCCACAAGGGCACACGGCTTTTGCCTCATTTCAGAGGTGGCCTGGTGGGTGCGGGGAGCATGGTCCAGCAGAGTGAGCCCAGGCTTGTGCAGCCAAGTAGACCTGGGTTCAAAGCCACTTACAAGGTAGATGACCTTGGTCAGCTGACCTCACATCACCACGCTTCAGTTTTCTCATCTGTAAGATGGGGACAATTCTTACCTCATAGAGAAGTTGAGAGAATTAGATGACAGAGCATCATGAAATGTCATGAAAGCTCCTCCCTCACTGCCTGCCAGGAGTTAATGATTCTTGATGTGGGTTTGTTCCTTTTTGCTGTTCAGAATGTCTGTGACAGACCCAGCAATCTAACTTTTGGGTCTAAGGTTGAAGAAACCTTTGCACGTCCATGTTCACGGCAGCATTGTTCACAATAGCCAAGATGTGGAAATAATCCAAGTGTCTGTGAACAGATTAATGGATCAAGAAGATGTGTATACACACACGCGTACACACAAACGTGCACATACAACAAAATACTATTCAGCCTTTAAAAAGGAAATCTTGCCGTTCTGACAATGAGGATGAACCTGGAGGACATTATGCTAAATGAAATAAACCAGGCACAGAAAGGCAGACACTGTATGATCTCACTCATACATAGAATCTAAAAAAGTTGAACTCATAGAAGCAGAGAGTAGAATGGTGGTTACCAGCGCCTAGGGTGGGCGGGAGGGGATGTTGGGGAGATGTTGATCAAAGGGCACAACATTTCAGTTTGATAGGAAGAATAAGTTCAAGAGATTTATTGTACAACATGATAACTATAGTTAATAATGCTGTATTGGCTACTTGAAGTTTGCTAAGAGAGTAGATCTTAAAGTGCTCAGCACACACAACAAAAACATGGTAACTATGTGAGGGATAGATATGTTAGTTAGCTGGATTGTGATAATCATTTTACAATGTACAATGTACATCAAAACACCATGTCATAAACCCTAAATATACGTACTTCTATTTGTCAAAAAAGCGTTATTAATTTCTTTAAAAAAGAGAATGGTTATGACAGAATTGGATGTTCAGTTTACCTGTCTTTCTTTAACTAAGATGATCGGATGGCAGTAATAACTTCAATAATAGTTATAACCCCTATGTATAGTACTACATTGAATACACATTGCTTATGCTTATCATACAGGTATCCATCGCAACAGCCTGTGAAGTATGTGATATCATTATCCTCATTTTATAGATAAAGAAACTGAGGCACCTAGAGAAGACAAGTGGCTGCTGAGAAGGTATTTGGGCAGATTATGCCAGGGGAACTCCTTTCTAGCCAAGGAGAGGCCGTGGCTCGCTTGGGTCTGGGGGGCCTCTGTGCTTATGTAAATGGATGAGTGCTAATCGCTTTGCTAATGGGAAACACACAGGGAGATAGGATCTGCAGCAAAGCGGAAGGGCTTTCAGAAAATTAGAGCTGGGAAAAACCCCAAAGAAATCTGGGAAGATGATAAGGCAATGCCCAAGAACTCACAGCAGCGCTGTGGGAGGGTGGGCTCTGGGGCAGAGGGGAGCTCCTGAAGCATCAGCCAGTCCTGGAGACTCAAGTCCAAGGGAGGCAGGGCTGTGAGTAGTCATCCAGCTGCCTTGGGCCCAGAGCAGCTTGAAGAGCAGATTCCATCTCCTTGAGCCAGGCCCACTTGCTGGGCAGCCTCGCCCAGAATTCCTGGACAATTCCTCTTTGCTTTGCCCTATGCTGGGTTCTGGTATCACACAGCCACATCTAAACCCTGCGTCCCAGGAGAAGAGTTCAGCCAGAGTGAGTACCTCAGATCTAGAGCCAGATGATCTGGGTTCAAAATCTCATTTCTGTCACTTACTAGCTGTGTGATGTTGGGCAAGTTACTCAACCTCTCTGTGCTGCAGTTTTCTCGTCTGTAAACTGAAGATGTTATATGATAGCAATGATGCTGTAGTGATGATTAAGTTAATTAATCCATGTAGGTTGCTTAGAAGAGTAGCTGAGACATAACAAGAACTGGATACATGATAGATATTGGTGTTATTATTTTAAGAAGATTGTACAATTTGACCAAGCCCTTCTCTTGCTTAAATCCTTTCTGTAGCATCCTGTTGCCCTCAGGCTCAAATGCATCCTCAGTACTGTGGTCTACATATGGCCCTGCTCATGCTCCAGCTTCATTCCTCTCTGACCTCTACCTTTCAGCCACCCTCAGTGATCTGTGCTTTCCTGAGTGTCCCACTTTCTTTCCTCTGGGCCTTTGCATATGATGTTCCCTTGGCTTGGAATTCCTTCTTTCAAAGGGTACCCCTTGCCATGTGTTTGGCTATTCCTGAGGGAGCTTTATTTCTGAAGCCCAACAGATATCGATGCCTTCCTCTGGTCTTCCATGGCCTCATATGTCCCACTATTTCAGGATGTAGCACTGCGCTGCAATTGTTCAGGGCCTGTCCCTCTGCTTGGGTCACCTCTCCGAATCCAATGCCCAGAGCAGATCCTGACCCAGACGAGGCTTGATAAATGTTTGCTGAATGACTTTAGAGGGGGCAAAAATAAATATACCAAGCTGTCTGTCCTGAGGTCCCATCCAGCTTCTATAGAAGGTACAACACAAATCTAAGGACATGACAGCTTGACAGGCAGTGGAGGGTGGTGGTGATAAGAACAGGCTCTTGAGGCAAGCAGCATGGGGATTTGCAAGCTGTGTGATTTTGGACAAATTGCATAACCTATCTAAGCTTCAGTTTCTTCCCTGGTAAATGGGAAGAATAACAGACACTTGAGCATGAAATGAAAAAATGATGTAAAGCACTTTACACTACACAAGGCACATATCTGGCACATAGTAAAGGCCACTGGATGCTGACCATCTACTTCCTCATCACTGTGATGCATGCCCAAATCTGCTGACCACATGTGCTGCCTTCCCAGGCACTACCTCTGACCTGGAGGCAGCAGCCACTTGTGGGAACCTGGGTCCAGAGGTTGTCAACCATCTCTCTGGGTACGACCCTCAGCTTCTCGAGTCAGGCGCTGTGGCTCACGCCCGTAATCCCAGAAATTTGAGAGGCCAAGGTGGGTGGATTGCTTGAGCTCAGGAATTTGAGATCAGCCTGGGCAACATGGTGAAACCCTGTCGCTACAAAAAATACAAAAATTAGCCAGGCGTGGTGTTGTGCGCCTGTGGTCCCAGCTACTCAGGAGGCTGGGGTGAGAAGATGGCTTGAGCCTGGGAGGCAGAGGTTGCAGTGAGCCAAGATTGCGCCACTGCACTCCAGCTAGTGTGACAGAGCCAGATCCTGTCTCAGAAAAAAGAAACCTCAGCTTCTTGCAGTGTCGCAAGGAGAAGCTACTTGGAAATTCCGAGACAAACCTAGGTGGGTGATTGGTATCCTCCATCCACCTGTCCGCCCTTCAGGACCCAACTATTTCCAGAGATCGCTTCTGGGGTTTGGATTCTAAAGCTTGGTCCCATGGTTGTCGAATTTGTATGATTAAAGCCACATTGTGCATGGACAAATGCCAGCATTCATTCATTCATTCATTCACTTATTCATTCAACATTTTTTGAGCATTTGCTAAGTGCCTGGTATTGACGATACCAAGACTAATATAACACTGTGTGCCTGCCCTTAAATTGCTCACTATCTGGAGAAGCAGGCAGAGATGCACACAGACATTAAAGACCAAGTTGGAAGGGATTGTGAAGAGGCCGGGATGTAGACGTGGTAGCACCAACAGGGATACTCAACAGCCCCTGAGCCCTTTCTCTCTATCAGGTACAATGCTAAGGGGTCTTCATACCTACCTCCAGGGTTCTTGTAAGTGTATATATATATATATATATGTATATATACAGTCACTTTTAAATATATATAAACTATATAGATATAGTATATATATGTACTATAACTTTATATATAAAGTTATTTAGTTCTTACTTACAAGAACCTTGGCGGTAGGTATGAATGTGGTACTTAGCTGAATTAGTTTCCTATTGCTGTAACAAATTACTGTAAACTTAGCGGCTTTAAACAACCTAAATTTATCATCTTACAGTTTGGAGTTCAGAAGTCCAAAACAAGTTTCACTGGACTAAGGTCAAGGTGTTAGCTGGGCTGTTGCTTCTAGAGACTCTGAGGAATAATCTATTTTCTTACCTTGTTTAACTTCTAGGGGCCACCTGCATTCCTTGGCTTGTGGCCCCTGCATCTCTCCAATCTCTGCTTCTATCATCACATCTCCTGGTCTCACTGTGACCTTCCTGCCTCCCTCTTATAGGGACCCTTGTGATTACACTGGGCCCACCCTGATAATCCATGATAATCTCTCCATCTGAGATCCTTCATTTAATCACATCTGCAAAGTCCCTTTCACCATGTAAGGTAACATATTCACAGACTCTGAGGATGAGGATGTGGACATCTTGAGGGTGGGGAGCATTATTCGGCCTCCCACACCATCTTGCAGATGAGAAAACTAAGACTTACAAAGGTCAAGGAACTTGCCTAAAGTTCTACAGCCAGTAACTGGCAAGTCCCGCCCTCTTTGGATTTGAGCCTCCAGCTCTTAACCTCAAACAAGAAGACTGCTGGTGCAGGTGAACCTTGAACTAGGTTTTGAAGAATGAATCAGAGTTAAAAAAAGGTGTGTCCAGTGGAGGAATGGTGTATGCAAAAGCAAGCTGAGCACTGGGTGTGCTTTGGTACCATAAAATGCTCAGATTCGCTGGGGGTGCAGGGAGGTGAGACAAGACAGGTAGGCAGGGTCTGGATGGTGGAAAGCCGCCTAGAGCAGGCTACAATGTTTGCAGTTGAATTGAAAGATGTGAAAAACCATTGGAGGATTTCACCTGTATGTCCTGGGTAATCCCTTCCCCTTTCTGACCCTCAGTTTCCAGCTCCTCTGCCCTGATCTGCTTTTTCCCTCCCCACTGTCCCTTTGTCCCCTCCCTTCTCACCCCCTTGCTGCCAGGCCTGGTCCCATCCATCCCTGGGCAGGAATGAGGGCTGGGTGAACTGCCCCCTTCCCCCATCCCCAGGACAGCGACGGTTTCCAAATATCTGTCTGTTGAAATAATGTTCTCTGGGCACTGGGCCTCCCTCCCTCCCTCACATTCCTGGGCGAGCCGGCCTGTTTGGCTTGCTCGGACAAATATTGACTTTCTCTGTCCTTCTCACTCTGGGTCTGTTTAAAAGGCATCAATCTTTGCCGGGGTGTGAGCTCCCTCTCCGTAACCTGTGGCCTCTGCGGTCCTATTCGGGCAGGGAGTGGTAGGGGAGGGGCTCACAGGCTCTGGGGATACCCCTTTCTTGCTTGGCTGCACTATAGAGGCTTTTGGTGCAATGCTGTTCCTTGTCAGCTGCTTTCCACGCGGTCCTGCGTGGGGCCTAACAGCCCACTTATGGAGCCTCTACTTGAGGGTCAGGTCTATGCCCGTGGCATGTGCACTGAGACCTTCATACACATTTCTCTAGACTCCTCAATAACCAGGCAGGAAACCCTGCTGATTCTACCCTCAAACAATTATTCATCATCCAACCACTTCTCAGCCTCCACCGCTACCCTCCAGGTCCCAGACACCATCATCTCCTGGATCTGACTCCTGGATTATTAAGTTAACTTCCTAAATTCTGCCCCACTTCCCTTCAGTCTGTTGTCAATTTTGGAGCCAGAGGGATGGGTGAACATGTTGGTTAGCCTGGCTTAGACCCCCCAGCTCCCCTCCCCTCCTCTTGCTCCTCCTCTCTCCCTTTGGGCCTCAGGGTTTTTCCTCCCACCTGAAAAACTTTGCACGAAACTGTTCTCTCTGCCTGGAACGGTCTTCCCAGATCTGGTAGATTCCCTCCCTTACCTCTTAGTAAAATGTTTCTCTGGCCGGGCGTGGTGGCTCACGCGTGTAATCCCAGCACTTTGGGAGGCCGAGGCGGGTGAATCACGAGGTCAGGAGATCGAGACCATCCTGGCTAACATGGTGAAACCCCATCTCTACTAAAAAAAAACCAAAAAAAATTAGCCGGACGTGGTGGCAGGCGCCTGTAGTCCCAGCTACTCGGGAGGCTGAGGCAGGAGAATGGCGTGCACCTGGGAGGTGGAGCTTGCAGTGAGCCGAGATCGTGCCACTGCACTCCAGCCTGGGCAACTAAGCAAGACTCCGTCTCAAAAAAAAAAAAAAGTTTCTGCCAAAATGTCACCTTTTCAGTGAACCTTTCTTGGACAGCAGTTTTTGCATGGAACCCGCCTTGCCTGGTCCCATCACCTGGGTACCCCCTCTCCCCCGCTGCCTTGTCCTTCTCCTCAGCACTTCCTGCCATCTCACACTGTATCTTTTAATTGTGTGTTTTGTTTACTGTCTGTTTCTCTGGAGGGCAGGGCTTTTTGTCTGCTTCATTCACGGCTGCGTCCACACCTAGAGCAGCAGATGTGTGAATCCCCATTTCGTGGGTGAGAGTTAGTAGGGGTTATGGTGTAACAGCTTTTATTTATTACTCACTTTTTGAGTTTCTTCTATTTATCATTCACTTCACAGACTCTAGCTTGCCAGTGCTCGCAACAACCAATCCATAAGGTGGGCCTGGCTATGGTCACCCTTACATGGGCAAAGAAAACCAAGGCAGTGATGATGGTGTAGGGATTGGTCCTGGCTGGACTGCCACCCAAAGTCCCTCTTCCTGCCTCGCCAGCTGCACCCAAACTGGGTGCGCGTGTGCCACAAAAATGCCAGGATAGGGTGAGCTGGTGTCCAAGCCTGTGAACCTTCACCACCCCTCACCTCTTGGCCTCTCCATCTGTTGCCAGGACTTGCTGATGCATGAGCTCAGACTCATCTTGGCCGATCTTGTCCCAGAGCTTTTGGCCGGGCCTCTTCTCTTTCAGCTTCTCCTTGCTTCAAGTCTCTCTCTCTGCCTCTATCTCTATTCATTGCTCTCTGTCTGCTTCTGTCTCTCTGTCTCACTCTATCTCTTTCTCTCTCTCTGTCTCGGGATCATCCCACCCACACTGCTGCCCCATGCATTGCCCTAAGACCTCCCCTCCATCCTCTTTTGCCCTTTGCTCCGTGGGACCAGAGCTGATCTTCCTCCTGGATTTGAAAGCACTGTGTGATCTGGCTTCAGGAGACTCCCCATCCCCATCCTTCTCTCTCAATGCAGGCTGGCTCCACTGTTTCCCCCATCCACCCTATAGTCATTCCTACCTCTGACTTTGGGATGCCATCTCCTATTTTCTCAATCTAGCTAAATAACCCTCCCCTACCTTTCATGTTGAACAAATCAGAAGAACAGAACAATAAGAATCATACAACAAATACTCCTATGCACTTCATCTAGATCCACCAATCATTAACATATTTCCTCTCTCTCTTCTTTCCTTCCCTGCATCCCTCCTTCCTCCTCACCTCTCTCTCTTCATTTGTGAGTAACAGACCTCACCCCTCAAATTTCAGCATGCATCTCTTTAAAAAAGGACATTCTCCTCTATAACCACAATATAATTGTTGCCCTAAAATTTTAACTTTCATGCTATATACTATTATATAATACATGGCCTGTTTCCAAGTTTTCCCAATTTTGTAAATAATGTCCTCTAGAACATTTTGTTTTAGTTGTCATGTCTCTTTAGCTGCCATTAATCTCAAACAATTTCTCAGCCTCTTTTTGGGGTCATCTTTCATGATATGGACATTTTTGAAGAGTCTAGATTGGTTATTTAGCAAAATGTCCCTTGATTTAGACTTTTTGAGTGTTTCTTCATTACTAGTTTCAGGTTAAGCATTTTTGGCGGAAATACTCTCCTCCCTGTCTCCAGCCTCTCTCTCCCTGGGATGATCCCACCCACAGGCTGCCCCATGCTTCCTAAATCCTTCCGGGGCTTCTCCACCGAGGCCCAGCCCCACCTGCTGGGTCGGCAAGAAGTCCTGCTCTGGCACCCAGGGACTGGAATGGGAGGAGCTGGGGAGGCTGCCCTGTCCTGCTCATTGGGAAGATAAGAGGGGGTCCTTCATCTGGAGAGACTCTGGAAGCAATGGTTTGCTCTTCAGATGGTTTTTGGCAGCAGAAACTTCTGTTCAGACACATCTTACATGGAAAAGCAATGAAGACTGGCCCTTCTCTTATTGAAGGATGTGTGTGTGGATGCATATGTGTGTTCATGTTTGTGTTCACCGGCAAGTTTGTTCTTGAGCTTGAGTTCTGAAACTCTGGGTTCTCAGGTTCCCTCTCTGTTTCATCATGTCCTTTGGGTATTTTCATAGAACTCTTGGGCGGGGCGCGGTGGCTCATGCCTGTAATCCCAGCACTTTGCGAGGCTGAGGCAGGTGGATCATGAGGTCAGGAGTTCAAGACCAGCCTGACTAACATGGTGAAACCCCGTCTCTACTAAAAATACAAAAATTAGCCGGGTATGGTGATGCATGTCTGTAATCCCAGCTACTAGAAGCCTGAGGCAGGAGAATTGCTTGAACCCAGGAGGTGGATGTTGCAGTGAGCCGAGATCAAGTCACTGCACTCCAGCCTGGGCGACAGAGCAAGAAGAAAAAAAAGAACTCTTAGGGCCCCACTGATCCAAAGAAGCTGAACCCTACCAACATCCACGGGACTTACTGCATGCTGGCCTGGTGCTAGGACTGGGAAGGGATTGAGGGTGGGTAGTGCAGTGGCAAAGCACACTGGTTTTGTAGTCAGATAGATCTTACCCTGTTTATTTCTGCTGTATAGTTCTGAGTAAGTACTTCACCTCTCTAAGCCTCAGTTTTGTACTCTGTAAAATAGGGATAATAATAGTATCTACTTCTTTTGAAGTAGAAATGTGAAGATGAAATGTAATAATGCGCTTGAAGGCCTGGCACATAATAGACAGATGCCTCCATGTGGAGTGAGGAGAGGCGGGAGAGGCTTCCAAAGGATGGGATGCTGGACTGCCCCAGCTGGCAGGTGGAGGCTCAGGAGCAAATTGTCAGAACAGTTGTTTCTGACACACAGAGGCTTGTTAGTTTCTATCCAAGCCTGTCATTCTGCGGTAGGTAATCAAGTGGGGCTTTGATGGTGGATGTAGTGGATTAGGGCTGGGAGGAGTTTCCAGGCCCAGCCCTTGGCAGTGACTTGGGGGAGGAGAGACTTTCAGAGCCCAGTGTGGGAGCAGGAAGGCAAGGAGCCCTAATTCACACCAGCCTCTGCCTTGGTGCTTACCTCACTCTGTGCCTGGAGGCCACAGGAGCTTGTCCAGATGTGGGAGACGAAGTGGTCCCATAACTCGGTCACTGGGGGGTTTGAATTCTAGTCTTGGCTCAACCAGTGACTGTGTGTGTGAACCATAGTGCCACTCCCTGCTTCCCAGCCTACTTTCTCATCTGTAAATTGTATGTGTGATTGTGTTTGGATTCATTTATTCATTTATCAATATTAGTTGAGCACCTACTATGTACTAGATTCTGGGATATAGTGATGAACTGTGGAGACAAGGTCCCAACCCTTATAGAACTTACATTTCAATGGGAGATTTACACAATTAGTAATCAGAACTGTGATGAATGCTGCAAAGGAGAGGTGCAGAATGCCCTGAGATTGACTGGTGATGGTAGGGGGCTGTCAGGGAAGGCATTCTTGAGAATGTGACACCTGAGCGAGGCCTGAAGGGCATGTGGGAGTTGGTTATGCCAAGGGAAGGAAGGGATGTATATGGAAGGGCAGGAGAGAGCTCTAGGCAGAGGAAATGTATGTATAAGTGTCCTGGGGCAGAGAGATTCCAAATGATTTACAAGGCTCTGCCATGTGAGGGTCCTTGACATACCCTCCCTGGCTCATTTGACTCACGGTAAGATGGGAAGCTCTCATTTGACTCACAGCAGATGGGAAGCTCAGACTCAGCCTTCATTTCCTCTGTTCTCTGTGGCCCCAGAGAGTGGGAGGAACAGACAGGAAGCTGCAGAGGGAAGTTCTATTCCCTTCTAAAGCCCCATTAGTATATTCCTTGTATTTTGGGTCCTCTCTCCCATTCCCCTACTCTCATAATGACACATGTATTGCCATAGTTGGGTTTTTCTTATTTATTCTCCTCTCCTGCTGGCTCTTCCTCCCTTCTTCTTAGCAATGTTGGGAAAAATTTAGTTTAAAAAATTGTTCAAAAAGACTTTTTTTGCCTGTAATCTGTGTCAAACTACCTTATTTCAGTGTAGGTGACCCCCCCCCACCCAAACCCTTGGAAAGCAAAAATGAAGTGTGTGTGTATATGGAGGCTGTCTTCCATGAAGTCACGGCCTCCATAAGGCCCCAAGGAAATCTTACTTAGTTCTGAGCGTTGATAGGGAGACATGGCAAAGGCTGGGGTGGGTGAAGGCAGTGACAAGAAGGGGTGGTGACGGTTACAATCAGAAGGCTGCAGGTTGGAGAACCTAGCCCTCAGCTCTGCTCTGGCTTTGCAGGTAGCATGTAGATGGCAGGAGAAAAGGCTTTGGAGAGGCCCTCCTGACCTTAAGTCCTCCTTGGCCAGTCCTGGCTATGATTTCCCTCAGGGCTCATCTGGAAGGGGAGTAGGGAATTGTCTTAAGCTGGCTGGTTACAAGGCACTGCTTGTACCCTGGAGTTGGACGCTGAGAGAAAACTACTCTTGTAGGCCCCTAATGGCACCCGAGGGACTGGGGGCTGTTGACCGAAGCCTCACTATGCTGTTCCACATGACCAAGCAGGCTGAGGATGGCCCATGCAGCTGAGTGGCCCTACAGTGCCAGGTTGGAAGCAGACAACTGCCAGGGATGGATCTCATCCAGGAGGCTGAAGGGGAGAGAGGAAGCTGTGGGGTGTCTAAGTCCAGGAAGAGGGAGGATCCCGGGAGGAGGTAGTCCACGAATCTGGGTGTGAGGACCTCCAGGGGACTTGTCTGAAATGGATGTATGAAAAAATTGTCAGAATGATCTGAGGCTAAGGAGCAGGAAGACTTAGGCTCCACCAGCCTGGCGGGAAGGCAGATGGTTCTCCAAAGGCTGTGGCCAGTCCCAGAGCACACCGTGTGGAAAGAACGGCGACTCTTCCTCCAAGCTGCTTGAGTCTGTGCCATACGGATGGCTGCATTATTTCAGGTCCTTATAGTTCAGGCAGCCTAGCTCAGCACAGATTCTTTCAACTCAATAGATCAGCTCCACTCAGCCTGGCTACATGCACCTTCTCGCATCTGACCTCTACCCAGCTCTACTCAAGGAAGCTTGACTCAATATGACCCAACTCGACACAGATCAGAAACTCTGCACAGACTCTCTCCCTTCAATCCAATTCCATGAAGCCCTGTTTAACTCAACCTTACTCTGGACAATCCATCCCAACCCACCAAACTCAATCCAATTGACTCAATCTCACCCACATCTGTTCAACTCATTCAGAAGAAAACACTTTTTACAGTGCACGGGACATTTTCAACTCAACTCACCCTGAATTAAATCAGTATAACCCAACCAATTTCAGCCCAACAGAACTCAACTACCTTAGCTCAGTTTATCCCAGTTTTATCTAGCCTGGTCCAAGTCATCTGTGACTAGTCCTGTACTGCCCTGTTTATTCCAGCCCAGTTCAAAACAACTCAGTCCAACTCGAATCAGCCCAGTTTGACTCAATTCAGCTCAGGTAAATTTTTCTGGACTTGATTTAATTTAGCTTAACCCTTCAGTAACTCTCCTTAGAATATGAAATCTATGAGGGCCAAGAGTTTTGTTTTAGTCACCTGTGTACCCCAAATGTATCAAACAGGGCCTGATGCATAGTAGAAACTCAATAAATGTTTCTTAATGGAATTGTTGAATGAACCCTTCCTGACCCAACATAACCCAACTCTACTTAACTCAACTTATAGATCTTAATTTGATTGAATTCTACAGTTTCTTATATCAACCATCCAACTTGTAAAAATGTCATGTATTTATTCAACTCTGTGCCAGGAATTCTGGGGCTGGGGTATTTCAGTAAAAAGTTGACAAAATCTCTACTGTCCTTGAGCTTACATAAGAGGGAGAGACAGAAATAAAATAATAAAAATAAACCAATATACATGTGTGCATGTGTCTGTGTGTGTGTGTGTGCTATAATGTTAGATGGTGATAACTGCAGTGAAGACAAATCCAGCAGGATAAAGGGGAAGAGAACAATGAGGGGGGTGAAGTAGTGGTGCTGGTGGCTATTAAGAAATATGGTGGTGGCCTGGTGTGGTGGTGACTGCCTGTAATCTCAACACTTTGTGGGGCCGAGACGGAAGGATCATTTGAGCCCAGGAGTTTGAGACCAGCCTGGGCAACATAGTGAGACCCCATCTCTACAAAAAACAAAGAAAATTAGCTGGGTGTGGTGGCAAGTGCCTGTAGTCCCAGCTACCTGGGAGGCTGAAGTGGGAGGATTGCTTGAGCCCCCGAGGTAGAGGTTGCAGTGAGGTGAGATTGTGCCATTGTACTCTAGTAATAGAAAATCTCTCTGAGTAGGCCATGCATGGTGGCTTATGCCTGTAATCTCAGTACTTTGGGAGGCTGAGGCAGAAGGATCAATTGAGGCCAGCCTGGGCAACATAGCAAGACCTCATCTCTACAAAATATACAAAAATTAGCCAGGCATTGTGGCATGTGGCTGTAGTCCTAGCTATTCAGGAGGCTGAGGTGGGAGAATTGCTTGAGCCCAGGAGTTCGAGGTTGCAGTGAACTATGCTTGTACCATTGCACTCCAATCTGGGCAACAGAGCAAGACCCATCTTATCCCCCAAAATAAACAAAACAAAACAAAAAAACAAATCTCCCTGAGGAGACGATGTTTCAGCAGAGACCTGAACAAACTGGAGGAGCCAGCCCTCAGTTATCAGGAGCAAGTGCTTTCCAGGAACAGGACGCAGCAAGTGCAAAGGCCCTGAGGCATGACACAGATGTGTCCAAGGCCAGTGTGGCAAGGACAGTGTGAGAACCAAAAGACTTATTTAAAGGTGATCTCTCCTACTGTTGTGTTAGCTTTGAGAGGGTCGGGACTGTCTAGTACACAGCTGTATTCCTTGCATCTAGCACATGTTGACATACAGTAGGCACTTAAAAACTGTTTTTTGAATGAAGGGGTGGATTCAGCTCAGCATCATGCAAACTAATTAAACCTAATTAGGTTAATTAAACTCAATACATTTGAATTCAGCTCAACTCTGACAAGACTTTTTTGGATCTTGCAGCCTCTGGAAAAAAAGGCTGCAATCCTACACTCTGAAGACTACAAGGTTTTCTTTACTTTCCTTAGCCTCAGTGAGCTTGTCTATAAAATGGGAATAGTAACACCTGCTTTGCCTCTTTTGTGGGTGTCGTGGGGATCGAGTTAGACTGTGAGTGTGAAAGCGCTGTGTATACAATCAAGTTCTGGGGTGACCTACTTGTCCTTGGTGCTGTGTGAGTGAGGAGGAGGGAGGGCAGACTGTGTGACTGCCATGGTCACTTCTGTTTATGACATTCCAAAAATCTGTGATTCTCTGAGAATATCTAAGACCCGGGCCTGAGAATGCTCTTAAACCTTTCCAGGGATGCTCAGTGGATCTAAGACAAAGTCTAAAGCCCTCACCATGGCACACAAGGTCCTTATGGGTCTAGCCTCCCCATGCACTGCAGCCTCCTCTCTCCCCACTTGCTCCCTGGATCTCTGTGCCCAGCTCTGGCTGGACCACCTGTAGTCCTGTGTTCCCTCCTACCTTCTACCTTATTTCCTTCTCTGCTGCCTCTGGGTCTCTGCACCTTTGGTTTTTTCTGTCTAAACTCCAATTCCTTCCTGCTTTTTCTTTTCCTTTTTAAAATCTCAAGTAGGTGCCACAAGTTTACTTAATTGCCCTCCTTCTTATGACAAGCCATTATTATCCTCATCTTTTCTGCAAGGCCCAGTCTTTCTTTGTTGTATTCTATGATTTTCCTGTCCCTTCATTTCCCATCCCCCCTTCTCTTTCCCTCTTCCTTATAGGCCCTCACTCTAAGATATTTGTTGTATGACCTTGGAAATGCACGTTTCTTTGAAAAATATATGGTGTTCTTTCCTTTATGCATGTTTTTCATTTACATAAATGGTATTTTGCTTTAGAGCACCTTCTGTTTCTAATTTTTTTCCACTTTACACATGTTTTTAAGATCAGTCCATATCATCATATGTCCCTGTGGAGTCTGGTTCATCACCTCTAACTGCATGTGTGCCGTGGGCATCCACTGCATTTCCTCAGCCACTCCCTGGTGCCGCCCAACTCCACATCACAAAGAGTATCCGAATGAACATTCTTGTATCTTTCTCCTCAGGGATCAGGGCATGAGTGTCTTTGTTGTGAGTGCGCACAGAGGGCTCATAGACATACCTGGATTTAATCTCCCTTAGTCCTGCCTGACTCTACCCCAGCAGTGCACAAGGGTTCAGGTTTCCCTAAGTCTTTGCCAGCATTTAGTATTATTCAACTCTTACGTTTATAGTCTGATGGGTGTAAAATGGTATCTCATTGTTTTAATTTGCATATCTGATTGCCAGGGAGGTTGAGTGTCACTTACATGCTTGTTTGCCCTTTTGGCTTCCTCTGTCCCTTTTTATGTGAGTTCAGGCCTGCTGGTCCTACAGGTCTTAGCACAGGTGCACCTCCCCTGGGAAGCCTTCCTTGAATGCCCTTTCTTGACTGTGTGTCCTGCTTCCTCTTTGTTCTGCTGATCCCCTGCACTCCCCATTGTGACAGAACACATCCTATCATGTTATAAAAATTGTCTGTCTTCCCCTCTAGACTATGAGGTTCTGAGAGGGGAGGTCACTGCCAGGTGTAATTCCTCTCCATGTCTCTGGAGTATGGGACAGGGCCTGGCCCAGTGAAAGTGGCCAGGGAATGTTTGAGGAGTGACTGACTGAGAATGAACATGAGGTGAGATAAATGAGGATAGATGATGACTCAGAATGAGTGTTGTGATTTTGAAGGGCCGAGGGGTCATGCTGGCATGGGGCAGGGTGAGCCAGGCAGAGGGCTGGGAGATTTATGACTGAAGAGAGCAAGGGAGAAAGCAGAGCATGAGACAGGAAAGCTAGATTCAGAGTCTATGGCTGAGCCACAGGCTTGAGTGAGACCTAGAGAGAGAGATTCCCCGCGACGTTGGGGCTTTCGTCTGCTATCTCTCGTTGGAGGAGCCAACCGTGAGGTGCCCAGCCTCGGCTGGGTGTGTAGATGTAACTCAGAGTGGAGAGAAGTGTGGCTGCCTCTGACACTCTGTGTTAGTGTTTTGATCACCAGTCCTGAGCTGTTGCCAATCTCTACTACTTCATTTAATCATGGTTCTTGCTTCCTCTTGCCCCCTGCCCTAAACCTGAGTCCAAGATACATCTCCCTAACTCACTCGTAGCCTTTATATTGGAGCCAAAAGCTGATGGGGCTGCTGGCATGGCCTTGAGCTTCAGACCAGTCTAGCATCAAAAGCCCTTGCAGTCACTAGCAGCTGCCTCTGCGGTTGCCTCAGCTGGAGGATTCTCTCCATGGCAGCCCACTACCCCAGCCTGTGGCTGAGGTCATTCTCCACCAGAGTCGGCTCCTTTCTCTTCAGCTCCCTTCTTTTCCTTCTACGTGGTTTGGCAGAGGCTGAAAGGCAGAAGATTATAGGCATGCAGTACAACCCCACAAGCCAGCGTGAAACCCCAGGGTTGTCTTTTTCCACCCTCTGCCTCTACTTAGTTTTTCCTTTCTCTGAGGAACTGGGTTCCCAACATCTCCTTCTTCCCCAGGATCAATCAGTTGGCAGGGTGTTGTGGGAAAGAAATTTGCATTCAATCATGCCCACGGCAACCATCCTAAGCAGGGCTTGTGTTTCTGTCCTCAAGCCCAGACGCCATTCTGTTTAAAAGGCTTGGGGTTTACAGAGCTAAGTGGACTAGAACATAACTTTTAATAGCACATTTGAACAGAATTTAATGAGGTTTTAAAACAGAACTATAAAGTAGTTTTTCTGCAAGGACTATTATTAATCATAAGAATAATCATAGCAATCTGTCTCATCTGCCCAGCATGTTCCAGTATTTAAAACATTTTCACATTGGTCATCTCATTTGACACTCATAACTCTCCTGGGAGGTCAAGAGGGCTGGCGTTACCATCTTCATTACACAGTTTAGAACTGTGTTTCTCAAGTGTTCATGGGCGTATCAATCACCTGGGGATCTTGTTAGGCTGAAGATCCTGATTCAGTGGGTCTGGGGTTGACCTGAAATTCTGCATTTCTAAGGAGATCCCAGATGAAGCTGATGTTGTAGATCCATGGATGACACTTAACAAGAATGAGTAGCTCAGAATACTCAAGCTCAGAAAGGTTAAGTGACATCTAAGTATTCATAGAAAAATGGTGTTGGTGCCAGAATTTCTTCCTTTTTTTTCTTTCCCTTTTTTCCTCTCTTATCTTTTTTCCTTTGACAAATACCAACCAAGTGCTTACTATGTGCTAGATGTGGTTCTAGGTAGAGGAATGAATGATATTAAAAATAATTAACAACAGGGTTAGGCACAAGTGCTAACTATGGCATTAACTGGGGCATTAATAGTTTAGAGATGGATGGGGGATGGTCTAGAGGTCTCAGGGAGAGGGTAGGTGGCCAAGCAGTTGGGAGATATCCAGTGGGGCCTCAGTAGCAAAGCCTCTCAATATTCCGTACCGTTTATATAATATCCATGGGCACATGGGGTGTGGAGAAGGATTGAGCAGAGCTCCTGGCCTTGACCAGTTCACAGTGCAGTGGGAGAAACAGACGTGGACTGAAGAGGCTGGCGGATCATTCTGGTAGTGTTTGTCAGCTCTGTAAGAGCCAGCAATTGCATTCATCTGTCTCCTTTGCTGCTGTATCTCCAGTGCTTGGGCAGTGCCTGGTGCATGGTGGACACTCCATACATGTTTTTTTCAAGGAATCAATCACTGAACAGGGCACAAGGGGCCCAAAAAACGGAGTCATTGGCAGGTCAGTTCTGTCTGGGGTGCAATGAGGTAGGGTGGGGAGGAGCTGTCAAGGAAGGCTTTCCAAGGGAGATGATGCTGGAGGCGAGTCTTAAAGATCAGTGGGTGTTTGCCAGGCAGATGACCGGGGGAGTGGGCAGGTCTGAAGCAGGGGTCCTGCTTTATCCCACAGCTGCCTTAGTACAGGGAGCTGGCAATTGTCTCATGTATTTAGAATGCTGGGCCACTCCTCTCATGCTCTGCTCTTCTCTAAGGTGCTTGGGGCCATTTGGATGTGGCATCTGGGTTCTTCCAGCTCCCTAAGAAGTCTTCCCTTCAGGGAAAGAAGGGGCCTCTCCAGAGGATGACCCAGGCCTGCTTGCACACACTATGTTCAGAGTGGGCTCAGGCCCAGGAAGGGACCTCTCCAGTGTTGAATGTGAGGGCCTCAGAAATGAATCAGACAGAGCCTCCAGGAACTCCTTGTCAAGCCCTCCCAGATTTAGCCTCACAGGCCAATTGACTCTCCTGGCTGACAATGCCAGACACCTGTCTCCTCCATCCCCATCCCCACACTCTGACCCCACAATCTCTGCCCCCAGCTACTACTGCCTTCTCTTTCTCTCGGTTCCTACTTCAGTAGTTTGCTATGGCTTTTGAATTCCCATCTTACAGATGTGGAGACATAGGCTTTGAGAGAGGCAGTGTTTTGACAAAGGACATGGAGAGAACTAGAACTCGAACCCTGGACTCTGATTCTGGGTCCAGTGACCTGAGACACCAGGCATACTTTCACTCAATCAATTGATGAACAAGTATTTATTGACTGTCTACTGTGTGCCAGGATCTATTCTAGCCTTTGGGGATCCAGCAGTGAGCAACAGAGCCAGAATCTCTGTCCTTGTAGCGCTTTCTCTTTAATTGGGGGTTGGGGGTTAGGGGAGATGAACAACTAAAAATAAAAAGTAAAATATAGGATGGCAGACTATGAACACATTATGGAGGAAAATAAAGCTGGGAAGGGGTAGGAAGCACTGAGGGGTTGTGCTTGTAATTTTAGGGACTGCCTCCTTGGGAAGATGACTTTTGGATAAAGACTAGAAGCAGATGATGGAGCAAGCTTTACAGATATCTGCAGGAAGAATGTTCCAGGCAGAAAAAAAGAGCAAGTTCAAAAACCTAAGGTGGGAAATACAGAAGCCACCATATTTCCCAAGGGCTACGGCACTCCTTTTAATGCGATTTTGGTCATCAAAGCCACACAGGGACAAGATTCTTTTCTCATCTGTTCTCTGAATCTCCCACAGGACACCCAGCATGTGGCTTTGCTAAGCCAGGGCACTGGGAGTCCCTGCAGCTGCTGGAGTGGGTGGTGACAGCCAGAGAGGCCTGTGAGAGCCCACAGTGCTGGGATGCCCACTCTCCCATGGCCTCTCTGGGCCAGTGCCCAGCCAGCTGTCTGCAGCCCTGGGACATGTCTCTCGAGTCGCATAGTATTGAAAGGTTGATCTCCCCATTAGAAGGGATTTGTCAGCACGAGCTGGGGCTTAGCAGCCTAAGCCGTGGGTCTGAAGGCTCAGACAGGTTCAGGGCCCAGAGGAGCTGACTCAGGCCTGACTCCCCCGGGAATCAGGGAAAGGCCACCAGCTAAGACCGCCAGGGGTCAGAGTCAGGATGAATTGCTCGATGTCCCCAGGGGCACTGCCAAAGCCACTGTCATTCCCACTATTCTTCCTGGGGTCTAGGAGCAAGCTCCAGTGCCCTAGCCTGGCATGCAAAGCCGGGCAAAGCCCCATGGCTCATCTGGGAGCTCACCCTGCATGCTCTCTCTGGGACATTTCCTCTTTTCCTGTGGTGTTGGATACCATCTGTACACCAGCAGTCCCCAAACTTCCTCCAGACCGCCCTCCTGAGTCCACCTGACAGTTTACCTGATGTCTCCACTGGGATGACCCATAATCTTCTCCAACTGAATGCATCCAAAATGGGACTCCCATCCTCTCCACAAAGCCACCTGAGTCAGCCAAACATAGCTAACTTTCACCATTTCACTCTTCCTTGTGTGTCAACTCACTTCAGTACTTTCAACAGCCTTGTGGGTAAGGACCTGCTCCGCCCATTTACAGATGAGGAAACTGAGGAAGGGGAAATTACATCACGTAACACTTGCACTGTCCTGGCTCACTGAGTCAGTAAACTTGGAATCCGCCTGAAACAACTGCACCTCCATCCTTCCTCCCTGCCATGACTCCACCCCGGCTGCTGTCACTGTTCCTTCAAATGACTCTGACAGTTGCCTAGTAGGTCTCCACTTTTGTTCCCTCTAGCCCATTCTCTCCCAGAGCAAATCAAGTGACTGTTAAAAAAAAGTACAGAGCTGATTTTGTCACTTCTCTTGGTTCTTAGGCTAAAACCCAAACTCCTTAACATGCTCTGCCAGTCCCCGTGCAGCATGGCTCCTGGGTCTGCCTTCCTGGCTTGTCTTCTGTGTCCTCTGTGTCCCTGGTCCTGTGTCACTCAGCACACGCCAACCCCACTGTCTTTCTTTCAGTTCCTCGACTGTGACAAGCTCTTCCCAACCTCAGGGCCCTGTTATGCGCTGCGTCTTCTCCTTGGGATACTCCTCCATTGCCTAGTTTATCATCATTCTTCAGGTTTCAGTTTAAATGCCACTTCCTCAGGGGAGCCTTCTTTGACTTCTTTTCAGGTGTCACCCTCTCTCATGGCTCTCCTACTGCTCCCGAACTTAATGTTGACAAAAAATAGCCAAACTGCAATTAATGAGTTCTTTGCCCCTTACTTGTTAGACCCATGGCTTCCCTGCTGGGTCATAAGGCCCATGAGGGCAGAGACTAAGTCTGTGTGGCCCAGAGCTGTATCCCTAGCATAGCATCTGACACATAGTGGGTGCCCCGTAAGGGCTGGTGAATGAGCAAATCACCTTCTCAGCCTTTCTTTTCATCTGGTCCCTATTGTTCTCCTAAACTGCTTTCCTTATTTCCCTTGACACAGCTGTGCCCATTCCAGTCTCCTTGCCTTTGCTCGTGCTGTTCCTACTGCCTGATGTCCTGCCACCTCTCTCCACTCACCCACAACCTACCAGTCCTTCAAGATAACTCTATGGCCTCTACTCCTCCAGGAGGCCTTCCCTCTGCACACTAACAGGTTAAGTGTCTCTCATTCTTCTCGTGGTCCTGTGCTATTTCTCCTCCAATATGGCCCCTGCAAGAATCCTTGACCTAAGCTCCATGCAGGCAGGGACCAAGCCTTCTTTTCAGTGCCCTCCCCAAAAGGGGTGAGCTCCGAGCTTGGGCACAAGAAGCAGCAAGTAAAGATGGTAATCTGCTGTTTCCACTTCTCTTGGTCTTTTAGGTTCCACTGGAAGGTGAACCTCTCCCTGCCTCACCTCCCCAACTAAGACCACCTGAGTGCACTTCTCATGCACTAGATTCCATGAACAGGCCTGACTGTGAGAAAGCAGAGGCAGTGGAAAAGCAAGGGTTTGGGAGTCACATAAATCTATACTAAACTCCTATTTCTATGAGGTTCAACCATAATGAAGTTGCCATTTCCATTAGGTTGAACTGTATGAAGTAGGCCAAAGATGATTGAATATCAAGTTTCATGTGGCTCAATTTAATATGTAATCTCAGGCAGTTGGTCTGATGTCTTTTAGACTTAGTTTCTTCATCTGTGAAATGGGAGGAGTAGAGCCTCATTTACGGAGTTGCAGAGAGGAGAAAATAAAGCTGTGTATCATTATGGGTCAAAGTTTGAGTTCTGGAGGCAAGGCTCAGTTTGAACCGTGGATCCCCCATCTTATCGGGGTTCCTAATTGCAAACAACAGAGTCCATTATGGCTAGTTTAAGCAGAACAAGGATTTATTACAGGATGTTGGGCAGCTTACAGAAATCCCTGGAGGGTCCTGGGAAAAAGGCCTGACCAAACCATGAGGACATTTTTAGTGAAAACACCACTGCCTGGTCACTCAGTCCCTATAGCATTTAGGGCTGGATACCAGAAGTTCCACCACTGCTGTTCCAAAGAACTGGATGCCTTTGCAACTGCCCTGGTCATAAGATCATTTGCCCCACCTGGCTGCCTCCTTCTTCTGAATCTAGGTTTCACCCAGGTGTGTCTGATTCATGGCACCTGGGTCATATGTCTGATCCTGAGCCACAAAGAGGTCTGGGGATGAGAATTTTCTGGCTTCTACCTGGAGAATGTTGGACTCAGAATGGAGAAAGGAAGGGCATTGAATGGCCACAACTATGTGCTATTTCTTTTTACTAGCTGTGTGATCATGGGTAAGTAACTTATCCTTTCTGAGCCTGAGTTTTCTAATAGGTAGTATCTATGTCACAGGATTTTGAGGATTAAATGCACGGATTTGTGAAACGCCTTTAGAAGAGAGCCTGGCATATAGCAAACCCTCAATAGATGCTAACTCTATTTTTATATTATTATTTAATATGGATTTGAGACCTCTTGGCACAAAGCCTAGCACGGAGAAGATGCTCTTTAAGTGTTTGTTGAATGAAAACCCTTGGCTGAGATATTAGTGTTCAGAATTCCTCTAGCTGGCCGAGAGCATCACAGACAGCTAGAACCAGTGGTGTGCTGCACCAGTGCGAGCCCATTGGTAACTTTTCAGAAATTTCACGAGCTAGTTAATATCATATTGGTAGCTTGAAATCTGCCTCTCTGGGGGAATTTACACTAGGGAAATTGGCAAACACTATAAATTGGGGCTCTCCTCTCCCTACAAATGGCAACTTTATCTGGTTAAACCTTTACCTGCACATCACAGGCTGATACAGGGTATGAAGTATATAAAGTGCCTAGCACCATGCCATCTCTTTTGGGCCCTTCAAATATGGTCCTTCTCTCTAGTTAGCAAATTCTTAGGATCAACTTTATTTTTCAGGTGTCAGGGAAAATAGATGAACCCCTGGATTCATGGACTTTTCATGGTTTCCTTGGTGGATACCTCTTTTGTATTGATGAATTTCCACCAGACAGGGAGTTCTTTTCAGAATAGGCACCAACACTGGGCACAAGGTCTAGCTAGCACTCAATAGTCCAGGAGGCATGGGTGGAATGGCTCCGTGGATGAGATTTCTGCAGCTGGAACCCTTTCCCTTCCCACACTGGTTGGCAACACTCTCTCCTTTCCTGGTGCCTCCTAGAGGGGCATCACCACTCCTGTTTTCCTTTTGCCATGTGGATCATATAAGAAGGGAGTGTGGTGGAGGCTGGGGAGTGAGAGGGGACGCTTGAATGTTGGGGGTTGGGGGGCTGCCTCCTGCATTAGAAACATTCCTTTGATTGCTCTGTGCAGCTCAGCAGGCTGCCTGGCTTAAGACGAAAAGAAGGGAGAGGCAAACACCCTTCATTTTAATTAAAGCCAACTTTACATTGTTATTCCATTTGCCTGTGTTGTTGCACGAGCTTACAATAAAGTTATATGGCACCCCCAGGGCAGCTTGAGCTGCGTGATAGAATGTGTCTAAGTTCAGCACTCCCCGACTATACTCAGCTTCTTTGCAGGGAGAACCACAGCCAGTCTCATGTCCTTTCTGGGGCTCTAAGCGATCACTCAGGCTCAGACCTGTGAGCAACACTTTTATTTATATTTCACGTTTCAAAAACGTTTATTTAGTACTTTCTATGTGCCCAGCAGTGAGCTAGGTGCTGAGTCTACCCCTGACACATTGCTGTGCTTCCAGGGTACACATGCTCCAGTCTCCAGGATCTGTCCCTGACCAATCTCCTGAGATGTGGAGCTCCATGTGATCACCCCCAACTCTCTCCTCAAATGCTTATTTTGGTCTTTCTTCTTTTGCTCTGTGGTGGCATCAGCGATTCAGCTAAGCAATCCATTATATTTAGCAATTCTCTAAGTTCTTTCACATCTGACATCTCTGATTCTCACCACACTCCCATCCAGATCCTGCCTGCTCTTCAAGCCTCAGTGCAAATACTGCCTCCTCACTGTAGCCTTTTCCGGCCACACCTTTCTCTAGTCCTCTTTGCTGCCTTTTTGTGGATTTCATCACAAATTTTAAAACTGATTTTATTTTATGTTTTAGAAACAGGGTGTCACTCTGTTGCCCCAGGCTGGAGTCCAGTGGTGCACTTATAGTTCACTGCAGTCTCGAACTCCTGGGCTCAAGCAGCCCTCCTGCCTCAGCCTCCTAAAGTGCTGAGATTATAGGTGTGAGCCACTGCGCCTGGCACCCCCTCCTTTTTTTTTTAAATTAAGGTATATTTTACATACCGTGAAATGTAGGGATCTTAAGTGTGGTTTGATGAACTTTGACAAATGTACACACCTATGTAACCATGACCTCAATCAAGCCAGGACATTTTCATCACCCAGTAAGTGCCCTCATTACCTTTCCCAATCAATTCTACCCTCCAGATGCAAACACTGTTCTGACTTCTAACACTAGAGATTAGTTTTTTTTTTTTTTTTAAGATGGAGTCTCACTCTGTCAGCCAGGCTGGAGTGCAGTGGTGCGATCTCAGCTCACTGCAACCCCCACCTCTGGGGTTCAAGCGATTCTCCTGCCTCAGCCTCCCCAGTAGCTGGGATTACAGGCACCCACCATCACCCCCGGCTAATTTCTGTATTTTTAGTAGGGACGTGGTTTCACTATGTTGGCCAGGCTGGTCTCAAACTCCTGACCTCAGGTGATCTGCCCACCTTGGCCTCCCAAAGTGCTGAGATTACATGGATGAGCCACCACGCCCGGCTGAGATTAGTTTTTGCTTGTCAAACTCTTGTGTCTGGCTTCTTTTGCTTAATGTTTTTGAGCTTCATCCATGTTATTGGTAGATTAGTGGGTAGTTCTTTGTGACAGCTGAATTGTATCGCATTTAATGGATATACCACATTTTGTTTATTCATTTATTTGGGTTATGCACAGTTTTGGACTATTATGAATAAGGCTGCTATAAACATTTCTTATACAAGAGAAATGGACATATGTCTTTATTTCTTGGGTAAATACTCAGCAGTGGAATTGCTGGGTTGAGTAGATGTATTTTTAACTTTATATAAAATTACCAAAGAGGTTGTATCATTTTACACTCCCACCAGCAATATATGAGCATTTTTTTCCTTCCTTCCTTCCCTCCCTCCCTCCTTTCCTCCTTCCTTCCTTCCTTCCTTCTTCCCTTCCTTTTTTTTTTTTTTTTTTTTTGACAGTTTCACTCTGCTGTCCAGGCTGTAGTGCAGTGGCACAATCACAGCTCACTGAAGTCTCAAACTCCTGACTTTAGGTGATCCTCTCACCTCAGCCTCCCAAGTAGTTGGAATTACAGGAGTGCATCACCATGCTTGGCTGGTTTAAATTTTGTTTGTTTGTTTGTTTTTGGAGAGATGGGGTCCCACCATGTTACCCAGGTTAGTCTTCAACTCCTGGGCACAAGCGATCCTCCTGCCTTAGCCTCCCAGAGTGTTGAGATTATAGGCATGAGCCACTGTTCCTGGCCTATATGAGCATTATGAGCATTTTGATTGCTTCACATCCTTGCCAACATTTGCTGTTGTCAGCCTTTTATCATTTCAGCTATTCTAGTGGGTGTGTAGTTACATCTCTTTGTCATTTTAACTTGAATTTACAGATGATTAATGACGTTGAGTACTTTTTAATGCACTCACTGGCTATTTGTATATCTTTTGTGAAGTGATTATTCAAGTGTTTGCCCAGTTTTTATTGGATTGTCATTTTATTATGAATTCCTTACATATTCTAAATATAATATGTAATATAAGGTGGCCATATTGATTTTCTTTTATCTTTTTTTTCTTTTTTTACAGTCCAGAGGTCTCTTATTTTTAACACCTGTTATGCCATACATTCATAGGGAAGAGGTTCCAGCAGCTCCGGTTCCTTTTCATTGGTTCTCACAAAGTGTGCTTCCCTGGGTGGAGCAGGCTGGTGCTTCTGCTAAACCCAGGTACCTTTCTCTTTGGTTCCTTCTTTTCCTGATCATTTTCCTTCACACATTTCAGGAAGCTATTTTGGCTCTTAGAGTGCTCAATATGCACATTAATTCTCTTGGCAAGAATCTTGCCCAATAAGTTAACTAACTAATGCTGAGTGACACTGTAGACTCTTCCAGTTTGCCATGGTTAACATTTGTGAGGTATTGCTTTTTGAACAGTGCCCATTTCCTTGATGTCTACAATATTGCCTTTCTTACAGATTCACGTGTATTCAAAGGAACAACTCCATGTTTCCTAAAAGGCCTAGAGAATATGTATCAGGTGCCTCTCCTCTTTCCCTTTATGTTGTTTTGGTGAATTACTGGAAGATGGAGGTTAAGGCCGAGAGGCTTAATCATATTTTTTGATGAATAAAAGTTTAAAATTTGATCAGGTCTGATTTAATAATTTCTTATCTTATGGCTAGTGATTTTCTTGTGTCCTAAGAAATTTTTGCCTAGTCCAAAATCACAAATATATTCCCCCATGTTTTCTTCTAGAAGTTTTATAGTTTTCACTTTTAAGTTTAGGTCTAGAATCAATTTTGAATAATTAATTTTTGGTATGGGGTTGAGGTAGTAGTTGAGGTTCAGTTTCCCCCATATAGTTATCTAGTTGTTCTAGTACTATTTTTTGAAGGGACTTTCTTTTCCCTATTAAATTGACTTGGTCAAAAATCAGTTGATATGTGTGGATCTATTTTGGACTCTGTTCTGTTGACCTGTTTGTCTACGCTTATGCCGGTTCCAACTTTTTGATTATTGTAGCTTTATGGTAACTCTTGAAATCAAGCAGTCTTAAGTTCCTGATCTTAGGGAAAAAAGAGCTTAATATTTCGTTATTGTCATGTTAGTTGTATGTTTTTCACATTAAAAAATCAGATTGAGAAAGTCCTCTTCTATTTTTAGATTGCTGAGAATTTGGATTGTAGAGGGGTATTGAACTTCATCAAATTATTTTTCAGCCCATATTGAGATGATCATTTGATTTTTCTCCTTCATTGTATTAATTTGGAAAATTGTACAAGCCACCTGTATTCTTGAGATAAGCCCCACTTGGTCATTCTATCTGTCTGTCTATCTATCTATCTATCTATCTATCTATCTATCTATCTATCTATCTATGTATTGATCTATTATATATCATATATAAATATATGTAACCAAATTTGATTTGACAGTACTTTTAAAAAGATTTTTGTGTTTATGTTTTTGAGGGGTATTGGTGTATAATTTTCTTTCTTATAATAATTAGGCCTGGTTTTGGTTATTAGAATTACACTAATCTCATATAATAAATTGGAAAGTGCCCCCTCCGCCTATATTTTCTGAAAGAGTTTATGTAAGTTTTGTATTATTTATTCATTAAATGTTTGAAAGAATTCACTATTGCAAACACCTGGAGTTTTATTTGTGGGAATTAAAAAAATTATGAATGCAATTTCTTTAAAGACATAGGGCTAATTCAGATTTTCTATTTCTTCTTGTGTCAGTATTGGCAATTTGTGTCTTTCAAAAAATGTGTTCATTGCACCTAAGTTGTTGAATTAACTAGCATAAAATTGTACGTAATATTCTATCACTTTAATGTCTGTAGTGATGTCTTTTCTTTTATTTCTGATGTTGGCAATTTGTGTCTTCTCTTTTTTTTTCCTTGATCAGTCTAGCTAGAGGCATATCAATTTTATTAATCTCATCAGAGAATCAGTTTTGGTTTAATTGGTTTTCTTTATTATTTATTTTCTATTTCAGTAAGTTTTACTCATCGTCAACATTTGTTTCCCCTTCTTTACTCCTCTTTTTTTATATTCTTAAAATGGCAATTTAGATCATGGATTTTAAATTATTCTTATCTTTTAATATAAACATTTAAAGTTTAAAAATTTCCTATACAAATAACTTTAGCTACATTCCACAAATTTTTGTTGTTTTTTTTTCATTATAATTCAATGCTCATGTCCTTACTCCATTCATGTCTGTGGTCAACCATCAGTTTCTTAGAGTCTTTCCCTTATCAGTTCATATAGAATAGCCCCTTTACCCTTACCAGCCTTACTTACTTTACTCTGTCTTATTTTTTATTCTGCCTTATTTTTTATAGCACCTAATACTTATTTATTATAATAAATACCTAATATTTATTATATTTGTATAACAACTTTACTCTGCTTTTTTATAACACCTTATATCACTATAATGTATTTATATATCACATTATACATATATAATATATATGATATGAGATTATGGCATGTAATAATTTATTTGTTCTTCTTTTTATTATCTGTCTTCTCCACTAAGCTCCTTGAAGGCAGGGACTATTTATTTTGTTTGGTGATGTATCTCAGTACTTTAGAAGAGCCCCATAAATATTTGTCGAATGAAGAAATAGAAAAATTATTTGACACCTTGTGCGAATAATCCCTTCTCAGAAACCTTACCTGGCAGTTTCCTTTAATTCTCAGAGAAGTTCACCTCACTTGTTTATACTCTTTTTGTACTTGCTTATACTTTATCATTGACTACAACTGGATCATTATTGTCTGTTTCTGTCTCCCCCAATGACCACCTGCCCAAGGACAAGGACTATGTCTTTATTCACCAGTGCTCAATACAGAGCCTGGCACAGAAGAGACTAGCAAATGTGTGACAAATGAATAAATGAAGTGTCATCAATCACTCCTGCCTTGCAAATCATCTGTGAACTAGACTTGGCTGTTAGACCAGAAGGCCTTCCCGTAAATCTGGAAGACATGAACTAGCAAAAGCTTTTAAGTTTATAAGATAGTGTTGTTTGTCTGTGATTTGGGCAATGAAACAAGTCTGCACCATGCTTTTCAGTTTATAAAGCTCTTTCCTATACATTATCACATTGGACCTTCACAACATACATGGGAAGAAGGCATTATTATCCTCATTTTTTGGATGAGGAAGCACAAGCTTAGAAAGGTGAAACCATGTAGCCAGGAACTGGAGAATTTGAGACTGGATCCAAGGTTTCTGAAATCTCCAGTCTCTTCCCAGCCAATGGAAGGAAGCATGTGCTTGACCTGGGGGCAAGATGAGTTCCAAGGCCTCATGGCCAGGTGTTATAAGGTTTGGCATCCAGTAAGCTGATGGGCCCATCAGGGGTGAAGGTGCTTGCGTAGCTGAAGTACACACTGAACTTGGGTTTCGTTGCTTTGATCCATAGACACAGCCTTATGTAGGGAAAAGAGCTCTTGGATTTTATTATTTATTTATTTATGTATTTATTTATTTATTTATTTATTTATTTTTGAGACAAGGCCTGGCTCTGTCACCCTGGCTGGAGTGCAGTGGTGCGATCTCAGCTGCTGCAACCTCCACCTCCTGGGCTCAGGCCATCCTCCCATGCCAGCCTCCCGAGTAGCTGGGACTACAGGCATGCACCACTTATTGGATTTTAAAACTGACGTCTCTCTATTATTAGTTAAGAACCTTGGACAAATGACTTCTCTCTGAGCCTTGGTTTTCACATCTCTAGAATGGAGCTTAAATACCCACCACCTAGAGTTGCTGTGAGAGTGACAGGAGAGATTCACGTAAGTGGATTTTGTAGGGACTCTTATAAAGTAGCTCCTCTGCCTTAGATAATTTTCACTGGTCCCTAAAATGCCCTTGTATTCATAGTATTCTCCCTGGCGGTTTATTTCTCATTGATATTGGACACCAGAACAAGGGAAGGGTGGCACAGCTCGATGGCGAATCTGTAAACTGTCATTGTTCCATCATATCTGAGCTCCCAGCAGTTAAGCAATGGCTCTGGCCCCATGCTGACTGCCTGGGGATGAGGTCAGTGGGTAACAAACCACAGCACTTACTGACCACTGATCATAATGACAGCTATCATTTACCGACTGCTATTTATTATTTATTCTGCTCAGAGAAAGGATCTGAGCCCAAATTCCCTGGCTAGGTCCTAAAGGTCCTTCTTCCAGATCATCTCAGTTGTCTTTCCTCTAATCTTTGGGAAGCTAGATCCTGCTCCCTGTACTTCATCTCTGGCTGTGGTCCTATTTCAGCTCAAACCCTCCTCTGGGTCCCTTCCTCTAATATCAGTAGCAGCATAGATGGAATATGGCATGATTTGATTCCAACTAACCTTACCATCTGCCTTTCCTGCCACTTCGAGTCTACAGCCTACACATTGGTCTGTTACTGCCTTTCCTGGAACTTGGCCAACACCATCCTTCCTCTAGGTTTCTGCCTATGCTGTTCCTTTTGCCTGGAACATCCTTCACCAAATCTCTACTGGCTCTTGACGACAGGTCTCTGCCCAGCTTGATGATTTTGCCAAGACCACTTAAACCTGTTAAAATCTGACCTATTTTGCTTAGATGGACCATGAGTCCTGTAAACTCCAGTGCATCTAGGATAAGGATGCCAAATTCAGCAAAAAAAAAAAAAAAAATAATAATAATAATAATAATTAATAAATACATACAGGGCTTCCAGTCAAATTTGAATTTCAGATAAATAACAAATTGTTTTAATATAAGTATGTCTGTACAATATTTGGGGCATACTTATGCTGAAAATGATTTGTAATTTATCTAAAATTCAAATTTAACTAGGCATCCTGTGTTTTATGTGGCAACCCTAATCCATGGGTGTGTAAGTGTATCATAGCTCTGCAGCCTCCTGAGAGGGGTGATGCTTTTGTTATGATTTAGACTGGGAGAGGGCATTGGGGGTCTGGAAATGGAGTTGGCCTGAGAGCCTGTCTAGTCTAGGGCCCCCATTTCACAGACCAGAGAATGAAAGAATGTGCCCAAGTTCACACAGCAGTGGGAGCAGCAAAGGGGAGGCTGGAACTCGGGGCCCCAGATTCCCAGGCCCCCTCCTGTGCCAGCAACTCTCTGCTCTGGGCTGATGGAACAGCTCAGGTTCCCACTCCCCTGCCCCTGACCTGCCCTTCGCTGGCTTCAGAGGGGGGGTCTGATGACGAAATGTGATCCTGCCATAAAATCTATACCAAACCAACTCTTCTCACAGCCCACCCGCCCGCCTCAAAGGGGGGCGCCTAATCCCCATTTATGGAGCCAAGCAGCTGGGCCCGGCCTGAGTCTTTGAACGTGAGCTTGGGGTACCCTGGGTCAGCCCAGTCTTGGCAAGAGGAACCTGAGAGTGAGGGTATTTAGGGAAGCTGAGCAAGCTGAGGGGCCAGCCGGTCCCACGCCACCCAGCCCAAAGAGCACCAGTTAGGGTGAGAGCATAAATCAGAGTGGCTGAAGGCAGAGTGTCCCCGTGGACACATCTTTCAGGGTGTGTTCCTGAAGACTGGACTTTATTCCAGCAGCCGAGGAGAGACACTGGAGGTTTAAAACAGAGGGGAACATGGTCCTATTAGAAAGATGGATTGGAGACCCCTTAGTGAGATAACTCTGGAAGTTATTTGGGCAGAATGATTAAGTTCTGACTCAGAATGGTGGTGGGATGGAGAGAAGTGGAGAGAGAGCGGAGAGGTGTCAGGAGGTAGTGTCTGGACAGCTCGGGCTCTAAGGAGTCATAGGGATGCCTGCTGTCTGGTTGGGGTGTTGTGGTGGGCAGAGGTGCTGCTACAGACAAGGAACATTAGGGAAGGTGCAGGAAGACGCTGACTGGCCTTTGAAGATGCTGAGAAGGAGGAGCCTGTGGGGCAGCCAGCAGGGATGCAGAGGAAGGTGAGAGCCTGGGGTCAAGGAAGAGAGTTGGGATGGAGATGCCGAGTTGGGCATTATCAGCCTATGGACCTTGAGACTACGATTACTGAGGGGAAAAGAGAAGAGAAGAGGGTCGAGGAGTGAGCCCTGGGGAACACCAACACTAAGAGCTAGGCAGAAACGGGAGGGCCCACAGAGGAGATTAAGAAGGCAGGCCATAGAGGAAGGAGGAAAACCAGGAGAAGATGAGGATGTGAGAGTCAAGGAACAGTGAGGGCTCTGAGAGCCCCGCAAGCCAAGCCAGGGAAACTCTTGCTGGGTTTAGCAGCAGGTAGGTGGCAGCCTTGCCACAGCGGGGTAGTGGGTCTCAGGGACAGTGCTGATGTGCAGAGGAATGGGAGGTGAAGATGTGTAGATACTCGGTGTAGATAACTCTTTTTTTTTTTTTTTTTTTTGAGACAGAGTCTCACTCTTGTTGCCCAGGCTGAAGCACAATGTCACAGTCTCGGCTCACTGCAACCTCCGCTTCCCGGGTTCAAGCAAGTCTCCTGTCTTAGCCTCCCAAGTAGCTGAGATTACAGGCATGCACCACCATGCCTGGCTAATTTTGTATTTTTAGTAGAGATGGGGTTTCACCATATTGGTCAGGTTGGTATCGAACTCCTGACCTCAAGTGATCCACCCGCCTTGGCCTCCCAAAGTGCTGGGATTACAGGAGTGAGCCACCACACCCAGCCTGAGTGTAGATGACTCTTTAAAGAAGACTGGTTGGGAGGAGATTTGGGGGGTGCAGTAGCTGAAAGAGAACTGGGCTTGAAGAACCGGTTGAGATTCTTTTTTTTATTTTTTATTTTTTTTACAATAAGGATTTGTCATTTATTTATTAGCTACAAGGAATTGCAAGATATTTAGCTTCTCTGAACTCAGCTTTCTGTTCTTTTTTTGTTGTTGTTGTTGCTTGCCTTTTCTTTTTATTATTATTATTATTATACTTTAAGTTTTAGGGTACATGTGCACAACGTGCAGGTTAGTTACATATGTATACATGAGCCATGTTGGTGTGCTGCACCCATTAACTCGTCATTTAGCATTAGGTATCTCTCCTAATGCTATCCCTCCCCCCTCCCCCCACCCCACAACAGTCCCCGGTGTGTGATGTTCCCCTTCCTGTGTCCATGTGTTCTCATTGTTCAATTCCCACCTATGAGTGAGAACATGCGGTGTTTGGTTTTTTGTCCTTGCGATAGTTTGCTGATAATGATGGTTTCCAGCTTCATCCATGTCCCTACAAAGGACATGAACTCATCATTTTTTATGGCTGCATAGTATTCCATGGTGTATATGTGCCACATTTTCTTAATCCAGTCTATCATTGTTGGACATTTGGGTTGAGAACCGGTTGAGATTCTTAAGGAGTTTACCCACTGATGGGAAGGAGGCAGTAGAAAAAGGGAGGTAGAACAACATCTTTCACACTTTCTTGACACAACCCACAGTTAGACAGACATGTCCTTCCAGACCTGAGACACTTACACACACTGACACAACTTAAACAAAAGTTTTGTGACATATACTCATCTTTACTGTGTGTGATGTGCTCTGATATTTTCTTTCCTATTTTACTTAAAAAAATTTTTTTTAAGAGATAGGATCTTGCTCTGTTGCCCAGGCTAGAGTGCAGTGGCATGATCATAGCTCACTGCAGCCTCGAACTCCTGGGCTCAAGTGTTCCTCTTGCCTCAGCCTCCCAAGTAGCTGTGACTACAGGTGCATGCCACTACCCCTGGCTAATTTTAAAATTTGTTTTGGAGAGACAGGATCTTGCTATATTGCCCAGTCTGGTCTCAAGCTCTTGGGCTCAAGTGATCCTCCTGCCTCGGGCTCCCAAAGTGTTGGAATTATAGACATGAGCCACCATGCCCCATCCTATTTTATTGTTAAATACTGCTGGTCACAGTACCCTGAACTGAATTTGTGAACCTAAAATGGTTCAAAATGGGCAGCTTGAGAAATTCCGAGGTAGAAGATATGGACAAAGAGGAGGTGAGTCAATGGGGTGAACTCTCCTGGGTGGATCCAGAGGGGAAGAGCTGGCTTCTTATGGGAGGAGAGATGCTTTCATTACAATAAAAGGGAAGGAGATGAGGTTTGGAGGAAGCACAGGTGAATGTGTAGGTTTGTGGCTGAAAGTTGATGGCTTTTGTTTTGTCCATGAAGGTCACCTGTTGAAAGGGCAGGGGAAGGAAGGGAAAGGTTGGAGGATCTGAAGAGAGAGAGGAAAATTTGAACCACCACTGTGGGAAGCATAAAGAGCTGGGAAACAGTTGCATTTCCTGGCAGTTTTGAGGCTCGAAGGAGGTGGGAAGCCATGAATTTAAAGTGATATGCATTTACCTGGGATATTAGTGAAGCTTAAGCAAGAGGGTCCCTTCTTTTTGGGTGGGGGACAGTTAAGGCCTGGTACAAAACAATGGCACAGGGATTATATGATAAGTGAATGAACGAGCAAATAGCTCAATGAACAAATTTATCAATTCAACCAATATTTATTGAGCACCTACTATATGCCAGGTTCTGTTTTAGGAGGGGAATACAGGGGTGACAATGGCAAAATTCTTGCCCCTTTGGAGGCAACATGTGCAATGGAGCTTTTGAACTTCATGAGGCTTTTCTGAGGATTATTTTTGTTTTGTTCTTATTTTTAAAGGTAGCCAACCCAGTCTAATGGAAAATTTGGAAGGATGTTCATCATCTTGCCGCGTCTCTGTTTGTGTTCTATTTCAGCCTAACATGAAGGGAGCATCATCTTCGTTTTCACCAGCTCAGAGGGCAAAGCATCTTGTCCTGGGTCACACAGCACATCTGCAGAGAAACTGGTAGGGGTTGGGACAGCAGTTTCCCACTTTCTGTGCTGAGCTATTCCTGCTCGCCATGTAACCAGTGTCTCCACAACTTCTGACTGTGGTAGGATAATGGGGTGGGAGGTATGGGTGCCTGGATTTCAGCTTTCTGGAGGGAAATCTTGACATGCTTTTATTTTCTTGTTTCTTTGGGGTGGAGCAAATAAAAGGCAGTCAGGGGGTCCATCAGGCCCATGGGTACTGGTTCCAGGCATAGCCTGTCAGTGGGAATATCTGGCCTCAATGAAAGGTAAGGGTGCATGCAGGACCTAGCTGCCCACTCTTATACCATGGACACCAGAGAAGGTGTGGGGAGTGGGGAGTCAGCATTTGTTAAAGTGTGTGTGAGCACAAGTGCATACACACAGACACACATCAACAGTGCAGATACTTGTGCAAACACAAATGTACAAGTCCTTATTCGGATTCACAAGTATGGATATATAGCCACATATACAGGTGCGCACACACACACACAAATACACTCATGTTCGTGCATAAATACCCAGGCACATGTGCACACGTCCAAACAGACATACACATTTTAAACATGCATAGGTGTAGGTTCATGTCTTTGGCCATATTCAAATGCACATACATTAAGTGTATACTCACATACAACAAAGAATCAATCTAAAAGTGCTCATTGAGAGGTGCACACCGTGTAGGCACTCACGTTTCCCCAGCCTCATTTCTGTCTCAGTGCCTTTGCCCACGATCACATCCTCTGTTGCCTATGATCACATCCTCTTTTGCCTCAGGGCCTTTGCATAGGCTGTTCTGCTCTTGAAATATCTTCCCCTGCTGCCTCATCTTTTAGTCACAGTGTATCTAGTCTTTCATCTGAGACCCTCTACTTCCCCTTTCATAACACTCAGCCTCTATTGTTTTACTTGTCTGTTTCTCTCTAGACTGTTAGCTGTCTGTGGGTCCACATAAAAGAGCCTTAATAAATAAGTATAGGTTGACTGAGTGAATGACTACCATGTATGGAGTACTTACTGTATGCCAGGATCTGGAGTAGGTGGGCTTAGCTGTTTTCTTTCTCTTATTGTCCCCTAAATTTTATGGAGGAGGAAACGGAAATATCGTCAGTGCCAGAGCTGGGATTTGAACCCAGGGTGGACTCTTTCTACTCCCAAATGTTTCTCTGATTTCCCTCTTGCCCTGGAGTCTACTGCAAGTCAAGTTCATCCCCTTCTTCAGAGTAGCTTTGCTCTGTCCCCCACCGGGGCCCCTCCCGCTCAGCGGGGCTGAGGGGCTGGGGGCCTCGAGTCTCAGCTGGACTGTGGCATCAGGCCGGGGCTGAGCTGGGCCTTCCCCTGTGGGAGCAGAAATGGACTCCTGGGAACAAGTTTGCAAGGGATGCGGCCGGGCGGGGTTGTTCAGAGGACTCTGAAGGGGACTGTCGCCAGGAGAAAGCTCTCTCTGAGCTCAGTGGAAGCGCCGCGGGCGTCCTTCGCCTGGCCGGTTCCGGCGCTCTTATCTGGCGGGAAAGCCAGCTCCTCTACCGTGTCCCCTGTGCGCCCGCGGTCCTCTGAGGACGCCCGCCCCGTACCAACCCGTCCTGGCTTCCACTCGGCCCCGGAGACAGGGCGGGCGGGTGGCACCTTCGGGCCCCGCGGGGCGCCCGCCGCGGCGTGGGGCGTGGAGAGGGTGGCGACAGAGCGCGGGCGGGGACAGCGCGTGGGCCGCGGGGGGCGGGGCGCGGTGGCGAAATGGCTTTTCCAGATTAGGGGCCCAGCCCGCACTGTTGACACAGTCATAAGTTTTAATGAGAAATTTTGAGTATTTGTGTGGGAGACGCAGCCTCTGTGCACAGATGCTGCGGGCGGGCGGCGCGGGGGGCCGTCCCTCCCTGGGGCCGCCGCGGCCGCAGGCCCGGCACGGATTCCTTTCAGGCAGAGGGGAAACATTTAAACTCGCTCACCTTTGAACTGCCAGGGACGCTGTTTACCTTGGCTGCCCGAGTGGCAGTTTTACAGATATTAAATACCGACCCGAGGCTGAGCCGGGGCTCCTTCGCTCCCCGCCCCCGCCGGGGGGCTGCGCTGGGCACGCCGAGGCCCGGGATGCCCGTTCCACCGGGGGTCATCTCAGTGAGGGTCCCGAGCCCCTTTCTGCAGATGGTTTCTGTAATCTGTGCTGGGGAGACGCCCTGGGGCTCTCCGTTCTCGTCCACTCCTCAGCCTATTCATCTCCTAATTCGATTTTCTATGTCAGGGCGGAGCAGTGTGGAGGCTGAGAGCTGTCTGGGCCCTGCTCACCCATTTTTTTTTTTTTTTTTGGCATTTCTGCATCTAGAAAGGGGATGTCATAAGCGAGGCACCTCCTAAGTAGGGGCTCCGGTGGCCTGGCTCTGTCTTTTCAAGGAACAGAGGAGACCTCTCTCTCCGAAGATGTCTATGGGACAGAGGAGGGCTCTGCCTGAGCCGCAGTCTTCAGCGGGCAGGCAGAGGGCTCCCTGCAGAGGCACAAGCCATGTTGATTTTACGGAGCAGGCTGCTATGCACATTTCACTCCTGATTTATTGGTTTTTAACTAGATCCTTATGCTGGGCTAAAAAAGCCATCTTGCACTTTGCAAGGCTCTGCTGACTGCTGCCGAAAATGACACACGGGGGCTCCTTCTGCCCTCCCCGCCCTCCCACCTCACCCCACCCAAAGGGCCATGGCGGAGGTGTGGGCAGGGAGCGTTGTTCTGAGGAGGAAGCCTCAGCCTGCAGCTTCCCTGCCCGCTGACCACCTGTGGTGTGTGCTGGGGTGACTGTGTTTGTGTGTATAAGAATTTATGGACCTGAAGGGAGGAGCTGGGAGAGGGGCAGGGCCTCTATTGAGCCTGGGCACATACTGCCCTCCTTTTCTCCCTCAGGCCCCACAGAGCACTTGTCATGTATTTTAATGAACTTTGGGGTCAGACAAATCTAGACTGACCCCCTGGTCACTCTCCTACTGTGTAATTCAGGAAAGTTAGGTAACCTCTCTGATCCCTGAATTGTCATCTTCGGAATGGGCATAATCTTATATATGATGTGGGGATCACATGAAATACTGTGTGAGTGTCATACACTAACCCAGTGCCCAGCACACAGACGGGGCTTACTGATGAGATTTGCTCCCAAATTCTTCCTCCCACCCTGGCTGGTCACTCCTGGTAAAGGAGAAACCCCTGAACACAGGCAGTGGCTGACTTCACACTGTCTCCTGGTTCTACATACAGTGCTTCATAATTCAAATAGAAAATTATATGCTAATATTACCATAAACTAAGTTATAAAGCACTTTTAACCCATTAGCTCATCAAATTCTCACAAAAGTTCTATGAGAGAAGAGACGGTAAAGAGAAGTAGCAAGGTCATTTTACCCAGAGAGATAAAGGGGTGTTATCACAGAACTGTGGTGGAAGCCAGGCTGGACAATTTCTAGTTTAGAGAACTTTTCTTGATGTCACAAATGCCTCTCATATTATTCAACATTGTTCCCTTTCTCAGGGAGGATGGTTTCATGAAGAGGAGGATCTTACGTAGAGGGATCTTAGGTACACAAATGGTGTACTTTCAGGCATGGGAGCAAAGCGGAGCTATTTTAGGGGATGGGGTACCAGGTGGACACCCACCTGTAGAAGAGGCTTCTTTGGCCAGCCCTGGAAGAACAACTAGGTCTGATTGAGACCCCCAGAACTCAAGGAGCCCAAGGAAGACGCTGGCTGCATCTGCAGAATTCATCAGGCGGCTTGATGGGTCGCCGTTAAACAAAGATGGGATAAGGTTACATGTGTTTTCCGTGGGAGTCGGCTCCGATTTCAGCCTGATGATTTAGTCAGGTGTAAGCATGAAGTTTCCAATTTAGAGAAATAAATCTCCAGTGATTTTATTATCCCCTGTTTTACCCTGACACCCAACTTCACCCCGGCCCCCTGTCAAAGCCCTCATGATGTGTTTATATAGGGCACACTGTAATTGATTGGCATGCAATAGAACATTACACAGAAAATGTGGCCTTCCCCACCAGGCCCAACTCTGGGAGCTTCCATATTTCATCATCCCCCGGGCCCAATCCAAGGCTTCCACTCCTGTGGCCACAAATTCTTGGGATTCTGGGTTGTCTGAGAACAGGAGCACAGGGCCAAAGGGTCCAGTCAGGGCCCCCAGAGCGGCCTCACAGGATGTTCTGGCCTGGAGATGGAGGGTGAAGGACATTGGGCAGAGGCATCTGCCATGGGTAGAGAGGCCGCTTGGGGTGGTTAGACTCATTACTTCCAAGGTCTTGTCTACTCAGAGTAGTTCAACCATCCATGATGGCTCTAAGTTTGGTTCTAATTCAAAAGTTCTAAATTTCTGAGGTGGTCAGTTTAGAAAATCTGTTATCAAGCATATATGAATCTGTGGCCCTAGATTTATGATTCTATGACAATGCCATGTAATACATGTAATACCATTGTATACTATTGTAATACTTCTAATAAATATGAATATAAACATGGCTTTGAATGCTGATATCAATGCTAAAACCAATGCCAGTTCCAATATTATCATTTATTGAGGGCTTTCAATGTGTTCAGCACTGCACTATGCATGTTACATAATTCTTTCATTTAATTCTGCCAACAACCCTATGAGGCATTATCTCCATTTTACACAAGATACCATTGAAGATCAGAGAGGGTAATAACTTGTTCAAGGCTACACAGTCGCTGTTTAAGAGTCGAGATTTTTAAATTCTTGCCTATAAAGCAGTGGAAAAAGTAGACAGATATGGGTGAGAAGCAGTCCTGACCTCATGGGTTGTGGTCGGAGTACACCCAATGATTTCTCACAGTATTAGCCCAGTTGTCATTGCCTCTATCCTCAGCCCCAGGAGGGGTATCAAGGTAGAGCGTCTCCAAGATTCTGGGTAGAGAACAAGGGCCCAGATTTCACCAAACCCAATTAATGGCGGGGGGGGGGGGGTTGCTTCTGATTCTTTTAGAATCCTACAGTTTCTGTGTCTGAAGGCAAAAGTCGTATACTTCAACCTCTCAACCAGGATCTGAATTCTTGCCTTCCCCAGTACCCTGATTGGGCAGGGGCTGATGGCTGGGCGGGGAGGCGGGCACTTTCTATTTCCACATCTCTAGTGACAGGGAGTTTCTACCTTATAATAAGCTGAAATCTGTCTCCCTGTCACTCTGACTTAATGATCCTAACTCTCTCCTGTAGGTCCACGAGCAAATCTACTTCCTCTGTTCTGTGACTTTGGAGATTTAGACACAGTAAATCAAATCTATCTACTCACTTATTCTGGCCCACCCTAACCCTTTCCCTCCCAACCATACCCCTCCCACCCATACTTTTATCCATCTATTCATCCTTCCCATCCATCCATCAATCCCTTCATCCATCTACTCTTCTATCATCCACTAATCATGTAACGATCCATCTCTCCATCACGCATCTAGTCATTCACTCACTATCCACTCATCAACCATCCATCCATCAATATATCCACCCTTCCCTCCTTTTTTCTATCCATCCATCCATCATCCATCCATGTAATTATTCAGTCACCCACTGTTTATCCATTCATTCATCCATTTACTCTTTCACCCACTTATTCACTTATTTATTAATTCATTGAGGTACAACCATTCAAATAGTACTTGTTAGGCACTCTGGGGAAGGAAACAAAGGTGAATATGCCCTCAGTAAACTTGGGAGAGAGAAATAAACCAGGCTCACACCTACAGAGCTTACTTATTCCTAAATGTCAACAATCTAGGAACTTTCTCAGTAATTTGTAAATCAGTGTCCAGTGAAAGGTTTAGGCTCTAAGTGCAATCAGGAGAGGGGGCCAGTGTGAGGTGGGCTGCTCAGGTTAGGCTTCCTTTGCATTATAGTCCTCATGGAACCAGCTGGTATCTTAAGACACAATCCTGTCTGGACCAGCATTGAAGTTTTGCACTGTGCTTAGTCTTGATTCCATTCATTCATTTGTTCAATGAGTACTTTTTGAGCACTATTACCTGTCAAATTCTTGGGTGGTGAATAACAGACAGATCCTTGTCCTTGCTAATCTTATCATCTAGTGTGGGAAATTAATACTAAACAAGTGCCTAATATAATTTCAGACACTGATAAGTGCTATTAAAAAAGAGCAGGAGAAGACAGCAGGAAGGAAGATGATATTTTAGACAAGAAGATCAGGAAGGTTTTTCTTAGGAGTTGACATTTGGTCAAGAATAAGAATTCCTGGGAATTCCTCGGACTGGGAATTCCTGGGAATTTCCACTGGAGAAAGGGAAGGAGATGAACAAGGGGACTGAAATGGTGGGAGGCTTGGGTCCTTAATTGGAGAGAGAGGGACGATACATCAGTAAGCAGGAGCTAAAGTTTTCTTTTGAAGAACTCTGCTCAAGGAATCAGCCCTTTGTGGTCTACAAAGGGCATTCACTTGGTTTATCTCACCTGTTAGGGCATTTTCCTCATTTTTGGTGAGGAATGGAAAAGAGACAGGGTGTAATTTAACTAAGGTCCCAGAGTGGGTCAGGGATTCAGGTCTCACATCTGCACCAGGGTGGACTCCAGCTCCTAGTGCACACCTGTCCACAAAACCTCCAGGTCTTGGGTAGGCTGTGTGTGGGAGGTTTCTCCACCCTGTCAGTCCTTTTCTGGAGGTGAAGGTGTATTGGGGTCTAGTTCTTGGAGACTCCTGATTTCTCTTTTTAACGTGTCAGACCCAGGGAGTAAAAAGTGAGCCTCAGAATCCCCAAAAAACCAGGATAGGGTGGAGCTCAGGAGAGGCAGAAGGCCAAGACAAAATGAGTGCCTTGCCTTTGGGGACAGAGGAGACAGATTTTATTCACTCAACCTAAAAACAAGAGCCGAATGGAAGTCGTCGTAGGCTGAGAGTCCAGACACCTGGCCTCCAGCCCTGGTCTCTGGATTGCTGTGTGCCATGGTTTGGATATGGTTTGTCCTTTCCAAAACTCACATTGAAATTTGATCCCAAATGTGGTGGTGTTGGGAGATGACTCCTAGGCAGGGAGGTGTTTGGGTCATGGGGGTGGATCTCTCATGAATGGCTTGGTGCTGTTCTCCCAATAGTGAGACCTAGGTTCTCTGCTCAGGGCCTCACCAGGCTGAAATCCAGGTGTTGGCTGGGGCTGCAATCTCATCTGAGGCTCATAAGTCCTCTTCCAAGCTTGTTTAGGTTGCTGGCAGGATTCCATTCTTTGTGGCTATAGGACTGAAGCCCTCATTTTCTTGCTGGCTGTTAACTGGGCAATTTCTCTCAGCTCCTGGAAGCTGACCTAAGGTCCTAGCAGCATGGTTCTCTCTCAACATGGCACTTACTTCTTCAAAGCCAGCAGGAGAATTTCTCTCCAGTCTATTATAATGGAGTCTTACATGGTGTAATGTAATCTATGCCATCACTTTACCATATAATGTAACCTAATCAAAGGAGTGTCTTTTCCATCATATTTTTAGATTTTGTACATGTTTTCAGGTGTGTACACTGTGGGTGGGATTCTTGGGGGAGAACTTAGAATTCTGCTTATCACAAAGGCCCAAACTTTAAGACACAGCAATTTCTCTTTTTGCCTTTTTGAGAGTCCTGAGCTACGATATAATAAGTCCTGCTACTCTGTTGGAGAAACCATATGGAGAGGCTAGGGGAGGGATGGAGGGAGGGAGATACTTGGGGAGGGAGAGACCTAGATGCCCTAGTATCCCAGCTGAGTCAAGCCTTCCAGCCATCCCCAACAAGGTGCCAGACATATGAGTGAGTCATCTTGGGTATTCCAGCACAATTGAGTCCCCTGAAGACTGCAGCCTCAGCTTACATGTAGGGCAGAAGAACCACCTAGCTGAGCCCAGTCAGCCCACTGAGAGAGTGCACTAAATTGTGCAAGAGGCTTTCACTGACTCCATCTGCCAAAAGTTTTTTGTTCTGGGAGGAAACATGGTTCTGCCCATTGTATTTCTCAGTGATGGGAAACCTGTCTCCTGCATGGACATTTCCAAAGCAGGGTCTCCACTGGGCCATGATTGAAAATCTATCTGGTCCCTAGGTTGGTCCTTTCCTAATGATCTTGAGAGGTGGCATGGCTGAATGGCAGAAAAATTCTGGACAGGGAAGCCAGGGACCTGGACTGTAGCACAAACTCTGCTGTTACCCTGCTGTGTGATCTTAGAACTACAGCTGTCACGTCTCTGGTGCTTTCCATGTGCCAGGCAGTGTTGTAAGTGCTTTATACATATTCACTCGTTCAAACCACATAATAACTCTAGGAAGTAGGTACAATTATTACCCAATTTTACAGATGAGAAAATGGAAGCATAGAGATATTGAATCACTTACCTAAAGTTACATAGCTAGGAAGCCATGGAATCCATCTCTTTCCTGGACACAATGGTCTGATCCTAAGATTCTAGAATTTCATGGTTCTAGGAGTCTAAGATTCAACAATTTTTAAGGTTCTGGCAGCCTAAGATTCCATCAGTTTGAAGATCCTTGAATCCACAGATCATAAGCTTCTAGAATTCTCAGATTGCAGTTTGAAAAAGCAAATTCCTGCCATCTGCGAGGGTGGGGGTCAGGGGACATGATGGGGAATGACTCAGCTTGAGCCCTCGGCCTTGCTCAGCCCTCTGCTCCAGGAGTTAAAGATGTTGCCTACCCCTTTAGGCATTTGCTTCATTTATCTGAAACCCAAAACCTCTCTTGGAACTGGGAGCCCTGGGTGGTATGAAAGCAGGAGGGAGACCTCCTTGCCTGATAGGCCTGCAGCATCCACGGAGAGGGGCCAGAATAAGCAGTGAAACCAGGACTTGGAGTTCCCTGAGAATGATAACATTCTCTGTATCCCGCAGACCCCAAATAAACCCACGTTTTCCGCAGGCTCTGCTGAGGCCTGAGGAGAAAAGGGAAGGATGGTGGGAAATGGCTGATGTTTCCATAGGACCCACCACCCTGGGTGTTGTGTTTCTGTTGGAGAGGGGGCCACCTGGCTGGTGGCCCTAGAATAGCGGTACACTCCAGGACCACAGGGAGGCCATCCAAGCGGAAGCAGGGCTGGCCGGCTGTGTTGTATAGGCAAAGATAAGGAGCCAGGTCAGGGTTGACATGTGGAAGTGTTTAGGAGCCTGGGAGATTGGGCACTGCAGAATGACATATTCTGGAGGGACTAGGGGGCCCAGGGGTTACTGACTCCAGTGGCCTCATTCTATAGATGGTGAAACTGAGGGGAAGAGAGTTGTTGCCATGGTACATTTAACATGGGGTTCAATAAAATCTCTGGAATTGACCCCAATACAGTCAAACCCCTGTACTTCAGCTACACCAACTAGTGACCTTAACCCAAACTCTGGGCCTTTGCTTATGTTTTGCATGCTACCTGGAATGCAGTTCCACCCTGTTCTTTGCCTGTAGAAACACTTCTCTTGGAAGGTACAGCCCCAATACTACCTCCTCCAGGAAGCCTTCCTTCATCCCTTCCCCGTTTCTGATGTCCTCTCACCTGCTTCTAGGAGCACTGAGGGCATTTCATCTGCCCCTTCCTTTTGCTCTATGTCATATTCTCCTTCAGAGTAATTGATATGATTTGGCTCTGTGTCTCCATCCAGATCTCACCTTGAATTGTAATAATCCCCATGTGTCAAGGGCAGGACCAGGTGGAGATAAGCGAATTATGGGGGCGGTTTCCCCCATACTGTTCTCATGATAGTGAATTCTCATGAGATCTGATGGTTTTATAAGGGGCTTCCCCCTTTGCTTGGCACTCATTCCTTCTCCTGCCACCCTGTGAAGAGGTGCCTTCCACCATGATTGTAAGTTTCCTGAGGCCTCCCCAGCCATGCAGAACTGTGAGTCAATTAAAACCTCTTTTTTTTTTTTTTGAGATGGAGTCTCACTCTGTCACCTAGGCTGGAGTGCAGTGGTGCGATCTTGGCTCACTGCAACCTCCACCTCCTGGGTTCAAGCAGTTCTCCCACCTCAGCTTCCTGAGTAGCTGGGACTACAGGTGCCCTCCACCATGCCAAGCTAATTTTTGTACTTTTAGTAGAGATGGCGTTTCACCGTGTTGGCCAGGCTGGTCTCGAACTCCTGACCTCAAGTGATCCTCCCACCTCAGCCTCCCAAAGTGTTGGGATTATAGGCGTGAGCCACCATTTCTGGCCGCCTTTTTATTTTTCATCTACACATCAGTCCCCAAGCCCTCTACCATCAACCTTTTAATGGCAGGGCTGCTGTTTTCCTCATTGAGCTGTCCCAGAGTCTGGCTCAAAAGTGCTTAGTGAGAGCTGGATTAATGATGGCCTCTGAGGCTGTGTAAGGTGGAGTATTTTGAAGAATCCAGATAGTGAGTGTCCAGGGTGTTTCTGGTCCCTGTTCTATCTGAAGACTGCTTCCTGGAAGATGGGAGCTGAGCTAGCCCCTGGAAGATGGGATGAGAGGCTTGTTCAGCTGGAGTGGAGCACCAGAATGCTAAAGATTAGGAGCCATAAGCCACATGAGCCACAGCTGGAAAGGCACGAGAGGCAAGGGCAATCCACAGTGCAGTCTTGGTGGCAGAGTGAGGGAGATTCCCAGGGTAGCTCCGGAAGGAACTTCACTAGACCTCTCTCCTGGCCTCTCCCAGGGCTCTTGCCTCTGCTTTCAGTGACAAAGAGCTTACCACCTCACTAGAGGGTGATCCTGTGGTGTTTCCTGGAAGAGTACCTTGGGTAGAGGCATCTGGAGATGACAGAGGGGTAGGCGTGGGCTGGGGGGTCAGGGAAACTATTCTGGATGTGGAGGGGGATAATTAGCTCCTCAGTGCTGACTGGCTGGGTACCACGTGATAAGCACAGTGCTGGACAAAGAGTCACAGATTACCTTGTCTTCTGACCAATAGTGGGAGTCCTGGGTTACAGTTCTGAAGCTCACTTAAATGTGTAACATGTACACATAAAAGCCTAAGCTTTGGGATGAGACAGGTAGAGCACAAACCCCAGCCTCACCACCTACCACCAGGTTCCTTTACACAAATAATCTCTCCAAATTCAGTTTTCTTATGTGTAAAATGGGGATAAAGACCCCTATTTCTTGGGGGTGGGGTAGAATACGTGGGCCACAGGAGAGTTTGGAAAATGATGGCCATTCCCACAGTGGTATCTCACCTTTATCATCCTTACACATGTCGTCTCTCCAGCTGGGGATCTCAGGTTCTCTTATGGTTCCAACCACAGTCCATGTATCAACAACACAAACCTCAATCTGTCTCTAGATCTTTCTAGAGCTGTAGACTGGCTGTCCATCTGCCTCCTGGTCCGTCTCCTGGATTTGGGACCAGAAACCTGGGTTAGCTCCCATAGTTCCTTGATTCTTTGATTACAAGATTTGCAGGCCCATGCTTTCCTCTCTAGCCTTTCTGTCAACAGCTTCTCTCCCTTTTACCCCCTCCCATCTTACTCTGGCAACACAGAGCATTTCTCAGTCCCCTCAGTGTTGCTCCACTGGCCCTGCTACCTCTTAGCTTCTGCTCACACTCATGTATCTGCTTGGAACACCCTCCCCTCACTCTCTACCCAGCTACCTCTTACTTCTCCTTTCGGTTTAGATGTCACCTCCTGAGACTCAGATTGCCGTGGTCTAAATGTATGCATCCCTCCCACCCTCAAATTCATATGTTGAAACCTAACCTCCAAGGTGATGGCATTAAGTATTAAGAGGTGGGGCCTTTGGGAGGTAACTAGGTCATGAGGGCAGAGCCCTCATGAATGGGATTAGTGCCCTTATAAAAGAGGGTCCAGGGAACTTCTGCCATGTGAGGGTGCAATAGCAAGGCACCATCTTTGAAGCGGAGAGCTAGCCTTTACCAGATACTGAATCTGCCAGTGTCTTGATCTTGGACTTCCCAGTCTCCAGAACCATAAGGAATAAATTTCTGTTGTTTATAAATTACCCGGTCTAAGGCATTTGTTATAGCAGCCTGTGCAAGCTAAGACACGGGTGGTCTGGGTGCTATGGCTGCAGTATCCTAGTAGTGGTGGGGCAGCTATGCATTCATTCATTTGTTCACTCATTCACTCAGCAAGCACTCATGGAGCTCATATTCAGGCACTGTGGTACTAGAACACTGAAGGGAGATGTACAGCACATGCTTAAGAGTAGTGACTTAGCTGCTCACCTGGCCAAAGTATGACTCCTGACCCTGCCACTTTCCAACTGTGTAACCTTGAAAACCTGTCTAACCTCTCTGAGCTTTAGATTCCACAAGGTAAAATGGGGGAAAACATGGGCCTTTTCTCTGAGGATTGCTGTGAAGATGAATAGGGATAACCCACATTATGTGGTTAGCCAAGCTTGGCCTGTAGCCACTCAGTGCTTAGTGATTGCTACTGCAAAGCCTCAGCTTAAGGGCCACAGGGCATTATTATCATTATTATGAATAAGACTCAGTGCCTGTATCCTTCAGAGTCCCTGGATCTGGTGGCAGAAACTGGCCTATAAATAGGAAATGATAATAAGGGCATGGGGGTAGCCAGAGAGGGCTATATAAGAGTGGAGTCAGGGCCAGGAGTGATGTCTCATACCTGTAATCCCAGCACTTTGGAAGGTCGAGGTGGGCAGATTACCTGAGGTCAGGAGTTCAAGACCAGCCTGGCCAACATGGTGAGACCCCCATCTCTAATAAAAATACAAAAATTAGCCTGGCATGGTGGCACACACCTGGAATCCAAGCTACTCCAGAGGCTGAGGGAGGAGAATCGCTTGAACCCAGGAGGCTGAGGTTGCAGTGAGCCGAGACGGCACCATTGCACTCCAGCTTGGGTGATAGAGCGAGAATTCGTCAAAAAAAAAAACAAAAACCAAACAAACAAAAAACCAAAAAACTAATCTCTAGTGTGTTAGAAGTCAGAACAGTGTTTGCCTCTGGAGGGTGGAATTGACTGGGGAAGGTTTTGAGACTCCGTCTCTAAAAAAAATAGAAAAACGGGTGGAGTCAGGACCGGGGCCCAGGTCTCTGACTACAGCATCGTGCTACTCAGAGTTGTGATTTCAAAGTGTGTTTTACTGGACTGTGAGCTCCCTGAAGGCCAGAGCCTTATCTGATCCAACTCAGTGGGCCAAGGACAGGTTGATGCACCCAAGAATGTCTGATGGATGACTGAATACATCATGTTATGAATCAGTGATGGTGTGGGCAGGGAGGGAGGGTGGATGAAGACATGATGGATCAGGAGGAGGTATAGCCTTGACTCTGCCCAAGGCAGTTAATCCTTTTAAAACTAAGTTTCTTTAGCTATAGAATGGGCATCAGCCATACAGACCACACAGTGGCTTTGAAGATTCGATGTGAGAAAAGCCCTGGACACTGGCCGGTGAGTGCAGCTTTTGGGCAGCAAAGCAGGATAAGCACCTGGAGTGGGGCTGGGGCTGCTGATGACTGTGGAACTCTGGCTGAAGGGCACACTATCCTCTGAGAGGAGAAGGTGAGCACTGGAGTGACATGAGACTCTCTGTCCATCTGTGCAGGGAGCTACATGAGCAAACAGAGCCGTCCACTGGTGAACAAGGCCATCCCTGGCTGGCCTGTCTGTCACTCACAATAAGCCAGGACTTATCTCTTTAGGTCAGCGTGGGCCTTTGGGGAAGAGCTGTCACTGTCCTTGCCTGCTGAGGAGGGCCCTGTCTCCAGGAAGAGCTGTGCTTGCTGAAGAGCTATCACTGACTCAGGAGGCATCTTTAACCTAGCTCCAACTGCATGGCCCAGGATTTGAAGCCGGCATTAATTGACCTGAGAGTTGTTCATGTAGGAAGAAGTTTGCTGGCACCTGGGAAGTCAATACTAATAATAATAGTCTTTCCATAGGCCCAGCACCCTACAGTTTGCAAATTCTCTTCCTCCTCTCCTCCCACTTAACAAATTTCCTTCTTTGGCTTTCTTACAAGCCTTGGAAGATAAAATAGTATTTTCACGATCATTTATCAGAAAATAAAGCTGAAGCCCAAGGACGACGAGTGCCTTGTCCAGGTTTCTAGGCAAGTCCAGGGCAGAGCTGGGACCAAGACGCCCGTGTCCTGATTCCTAGCCATGCCTCTTTGCTCTGTAGTCCTAGGAGGTGACTTCTTGGCCAAGCACGCATGACCACCTCCAGCTTCTTGGACAGCCACAAAGCATCAGGTTTACTGGACTCAGGGGCCTTTAGGTGAATCCTTCACACTTTGGTTGGCCATCTTCCATTTTTGTGGGTTTTCTCTGCGCCTTACCTCAGCAGAGGCTCAGAAAGGGGCTTGAAGGTAAGGTGTTGTGTACAGGACAGCCGGGCTAAGTGGGGGCTTCCATGTCTACTACTCACAGGGTATAAATGATAAATGGAATTGGGGGCTGAGGGATGCTGGGATTCCCTTTGTACAGAGGCCATGAAGGCACCAAAGGGGGTGGTGATTGGGAATCTGGAGTGAAGGCAGGAGAAAGGCCCTGCCCCACCCTCATCTAGGAGGCATCATAACCCAGTTAAGGCCACTCTGGAGCCAAACACATGAGGTTCCAATCCCTACCCGTCCACTTCTCAGGGAGCACTTTACAATCTCTATGCCTTAGCTTGCTCAGACTTAAAATGGCACAGTCATACTAGCATAGGGCTCATTGGGTTGTCAGGAGGATTGAATGAGGTGATACGTGTACAGTTCCTGGAACAATGCCTTAAACACACGGGAAACATTCGACATGACCTTGATTTGCTCTCCCCTGGCCAGAAGGGAGGGAGATAGACCTTTTACAGTTGGATATTTCCTCTCCTTTGGGAAGTCACAGCTCAGGGATTACCTGGGAGGGTGAGGGTGACCATGCCCATCTACCCCCTTGCCAGAGCTGAAGAGGGAAGGGGCGGGGCTGTGAGATCTGTGGTGTGGTGCTGAAGGAGCTGCTGCCTCACAGCCTCATGCCCAGCCCGTCCCCGGTGATAAATCACAAACATATTTTTAATGATTATTTAAAGCTCTTGGCTGCATGCCTGTTCTGGAAGGGCCATCTTAGCCCTTGTCAGGCCGTGGCAGATTGAAGGGAAGCTTGCACATCACTTATTGAGGGTGACTTCTTTTATTCCATTATTTTTATAATAGACTCACTGACAAAATATTGTTCTTGGCCCCAGCCTGGCCCCTTTGCTTGTGTTCGGAGGTAACAGGCTGCCCCGGCCAGGGAACTGCAAGTTTCCCATCAAGAGGGAGGCAGACAAGGGCTCGGCAATTCCTCATCCACCAGAGTATTATTTGCAGGGTGAGGAGGGAGTGAGTCTTGCAGGGTGAGGAGGGAGTGAGTAGTTAGCAGCCTTGTTTAGTGAACTGTAGGCCTGGGCCCAAGTCCCCTCCGCTCAGTTCCGAGGGGTGAGAAATGAGGCAGAGAGGAGAGATCAGGGGGTTGTGTGTGCTTCCCGGTTCTGTTTTCATTCACTGGCAAACATTTATACTGAGCACACATGCTCAGCACTGTCCCCACCACACCCTGCCAAACAGGGCCATCTAGGAAAGTGATCATCAAACTGTGCCTCATGGAACCCTAGGGTTCAGAAATTACAACACTGGTATTTTCTGGAAATTACCAGGATGGGGTATGTAGGAAAGAAGTGGAGCTCTGGGCCTGCCACCCCATCCTCAGCCTGAGTAGCCCTGATTTTATTTTGCTTTGACTTTGAGCTTCTCTCTAAGGTTTCATTTGAAGAATGGATTCTTCTGGTTAAAAGTTTGAATATCACTGTTAATTCCTTTATTGTACAAAAGGGAAACAGAGGCCCAGAGAGGGGACAGAGTTGCCCAAGGTCACATAGACATTTGCAGAGTAAGGATCCATCTCCTGGCCCCCAGCTGTGTGAGGAGCTGGAACTGGCATGTGAAACAATCAGAGAACAAGAAACATTGGTCTGGAACCAAGTTTGCAGACCAGGTCATGAATATCCTCATGTGTGACCATCCTTTCCAGGTATGTCTGTGGGAGCCCAGAATTATGCACCCTCCCAGGTATGTTAGTCTGCTTGGGCTCCTATAACAAAATACCATAGATTGTGTGGCTTTAATAAAAGAAATTAATTTTCTCATACTTCTGGAGGCTGGAAGTCCGAGACCAAGGTGCCAGCTTCCAGCATAGTTGGGTTCTGGTGAGGGCTCTCTTCTTGGCTTGTAGACAGCTGCCTTCTTGCTGTATAAGAGGGAGAGAGAGAGAGAGAGGTGAGAGAATCATTGGGATCTCATGTTTTCTTTTTATAAGCGCATTAATTCCATCATGAAGGTTCTACCCTCATGACCTAATCTAACCCTAATAATTTCTCAAAGGCCCCACCTCCAAATATCCTCACATTGGAGATTGGGGTTTCAACATATGAACTTTGAGGAGGACACAGACATTCAGTCCGTAGCACAGGAGTGTCCATTCTATTCAGCTCAGTTTCAATGGTCTCCATTGCATTCAGCGAGCATATAACCTGTGGGAGTCCAGCTGCCCTGACCTTGAGGTCAGTGTCCTGAAACTCCCATGGTCCAAGATTCACAGACTTTGGACCTGCTGGGGAAAACAGCACTGGGGGAAAATATCTCAGGCAGGATGCCAGGAGGAAACAGATGGCATGCTAAGGTTGGCTAATGTTGGTGAGTTTTTTTTTATGTTGGTAAAATGTATATAGCATAAAATTTATCATTTTAACCACTTTTAAGTATACAGTTCAGTGGCATTAAGTATATTCGCACTGTTGTGTAACCATCACGATCATCCATCTCCAGAATGGTTTTATCTTCCCCAACCGAAACTTTGTACCCTTTTAAACACGAACTCCCCATTCTCTCTTCCCCTCCCCCTGGTATCCATTGTTCTACTCTCTATCTCTCTGAATTTGCCCATTCTAGGTATGGAGGTGAGTTTCTAGAAGGGACTATTTACAAAAGTGTAGGGAGGGCTTGAAAAAAGCAATAAGGGATGGGGCAGTGCTCTGGGGCTGGTCACGTCAGGAAGCTAGTACCACCGCTAGGTACTGAAAACTGGAGAGACCGTTCTATGGCAGGTGTTGGCTGCCAGGGGCTGTGGCTTTCCAATTAGAGGGATGTGCCAATTCCTGGTGTGCCAGCTCTCCCTCTGACTCTGCCGAGTCTCCACTGTCCTATCAGTGTAGTCCTTACATGCCAGCCTTGGAGGCACAGAAGAGAGCAAGAAGGGTAGAAGGTGGATGTGAAGGGGCAGTGGAAGATGGTGAGCTCAAAAGCAAGCCCAGCAGGGCCTCAGAGCTGTTTAATTACACGAAAATGAACCACAGAGGCAGCACACTGAATTAAAAGGCTCCTGTGGCAGTTTGTATATTGTGGGTGAATGACAATGGGAAGGTGTAATCAATTTCCATTTCCTGTCCCTTGCTCCCTAGCAACTTCCCACACTCAATGACTGGCTTGCAAATTTGTTTTGCTTTGTGGCAGATGATATGGATGCTGAGAGGTGCGCCCCTGCCCCCAAGTGTCAAATTCTCTATCTGAATGGCTCACGCCTCTGATTTCATATCTCGAAGTTGCCAACTTCTGCTGTTGAAGGAACAAAGCTGTGAGTGGCCTTTATTTAGCCTTCAAAGCAGAGTTGAGTTATTTCTTTTCTCTCTCTCTCTTTTTGTTTTTTTTTAGACAGAGTTTAGCTATGTCACCCAGGTTGGAGTGCTGTGAAACAATCATGGCTCACTGCAGCCTCTACTGCCTCGGCTCAAGTAATGATCCCACCTCAGCCTCCCAAGTGGCTGGGAACACAGGCACTTACCACCATGCCTGACTAATTTTTTAATTTTTGTAGAGACGGGGTCTCACTATGTTGCCCAGGCTGGTGTTGAATTCCTGGGCTCAATTAATCCTCCAGCCTTGGCCTCACAAAATGCTGACATTATAGGCGTGAGTCACCACGCCTTGTGGGAGGTATTTCTTAACCCCCTTCAACCAGTGCCCGGCCTATGGGATCTTAGCTCTGTCCATGTGACTTCCTGCTAAAACCTTTCCATCACCCCTCACTAGTGCATATCTGCAATCGTTCTCTCTCTCTCCCTTCCCTTATCCTTGGATATTCTAAGCCTGACACATCCACGTGAGCAATCCCCTCCTTCTCACCCTCTGGTACCCTACTGTCCGGTCCTTTCCTGCATGCCTGAGATGATAGGTAATTTTTCTTGACTTTTTGTGTCTAAGGAGGAACCTCAGGGGCACCCTAAATGTCTTGCAGCTCTGTGTGTTTGGGGTGGGGTGCTCAGGTGGAAAGTAGGTACTGCTAATGGAAAGGATCCTTGTGTCTACAGTTCTTAGCTTCTGCCTATCATAAAAATTGTGGTGTGCTGATTACTTTCAGGGAACTTTGCATGCATTGATAAACTTATTTAATTATCACAATAAACCTGTTGTGGCATTATTGCTATTTTGTGGAGGAGGACTATGAGGCGTAGAGAGGTCAATGACTTATCAAAGGTTGCACAGCTGTCTGTCACAAAGCTAGGACTTGAACTGCGTTAGATCTGTTTCTAAAACTCTTTCCAACCAACTCAGGAGGTGGTGAGTTCTTGGTCCCTGGGAGTATGTAAGCAGAGATTGAAATGCCACTTGTCATGAAGAGAGTACAGTCCAGGAGAGGGTCCCTTCCTCTTCTGAGATGCTAAGATTCCAGGACTTTTGCTTCTGATTCAGATATTCTATTATTGACATGTGTCTCTTGGGAAGTGCAGGTTGGGGTAAATGCCTCAATGGGGTCTGGTTATATGAGCAGGCAGGAGTCCTGGGTTACAAGGAGTGGGGAGAAGGGGCAGGAGGGTGTCACACTAGTGAGAAGTAATTAGGTAATAAGTTCCCCTTTCCCCTTTCTGTTCTTGCTGGTTCTTCCTTGCTGCCCTGGGCTGTTCTCTGAGTCCCAGATGGGCAATATTTAAAAATACATTCTGTTCTGAACAGAAATGTTATCAGGGTTGCAATGTGCTCTTTGCATATGGCAAAGAAACAAGCCCAGGGCTGAGAACAGAAGTGCTGGGTTTAACCTTGTTGCTGCTGCAGGTTCATGGTGTGACTTTGGGGAAATGTCCTCATCTGTTTAATAAGGGGTTAAGGAAGCTTCCTGCTGAGGACCTTTCAGGTCCTGATGTTCAGTTCCTTGAAGCAGGCTTGCACTATGCTTTGCAATGTGTGTTGAGTCATGGCTGTACTCCATAGTAAAGGCAGAGTGTGGCAGGTGTTGACTGTTTTCTCCTGCTCCTGCCAGCCCCAAGTCCTTTGGTCTCATGTGCCTCTCTTCTAAAGACTCATCTTACCTAGGAGGTGGTTCCAGAGAAGGAAGAGGGCTGGGTAGAGTGGAGTTGGGAGCTCTCTGTCTGGGTAGCAGCCACAATCAGAAGGAGACTGGCCCATTCTGAGCTTTCTTGGGCTGAGTGGCAGCCAGAGTCAAGCCCTCTGCAGACTCTGCAGAGCTATTCAGCTTATACAGACGTGATCCACCCTGCTGGTGACTGGTGGGGGATTCTTTTAGACTAGTGGTAAACAAGTCTAAATTGAATGATAAACAAGAAGGTGATGCTGGGGCATATGGTATTTGCATCAGTTATCTATTTCTCCTTAACTGGCTACCCTGAAATTTATGACAACACCATTTATAAAGCTGTGGGTTGGCAACCAGGGCTGGGCTTAGCCATTTGGTTCTTCTGCTAGTCTCAGTTGGGCTTATTAGGCATTGTGGCAGCCAGTCTCCAAGATGATCCTTTATGATTTCTGTCTACTGGTATTCACATCCTTGGGTGGTTCTCTCCCACACTGTAGCATGGTTGCACTCTGATCACTAGCAAATAGTGGAAATGATGGTATGTCACTTCTGAGATTAGGTTATAAAAGACTGCACCTTCTGTGTGGGTCACTCTCATTCATGCTTTCTTGTTCTCTCAGATCAATTACTCTGGAGGAAGCTAGCTGCCAGATTGTGTGCAGTTCTATGGAGAGGCCCACATGGTGAGGAACTAAAGCCCTTGCCCAATAGCCAGACGGGAATTCAAGCCTGCTAATCATCAGGTAACTGAGCTTGAAAGCAGATTCACCAGTCCCAGTTTAGCCTTGAGATAACCAAATTATCTGCAACCTTGAGATGTTTTGAGCCAGAATCATTCAGCTAAACTTCTCCCAGATTTCTGACCCTCAGAAACTGAGGGAAGAAATATGGTTTGAAGCTGCCTTGGGGGTAATTTATTATGCAGCTATAAATAACCAAGACACTTATGCGTGTGATTAGATGACAGTGATGGCCATATCCACATACCTGGCAGTTGGCTGGCTGATGGCTGGGGTGACAAGGGTACAAGGGCCACACATCTCTCATCATCCAGCAGGCCAGCACTGGGATTCTTCACATAGTGGTAGTCACAGTCTTCCAAAGGCAGCAAGAGTAGGTAAACCTCAATGCATAAGCACTTAACTTTTTTTAAAAATTTCAATAGTTTTTGGGGTACAAGTGGTTTTTGGTTACATGGATAAGTTCTTTAGCGGTCATTTCTGAGATTTTAGTGCACCCATCACCTGAAGTGTGTACACTGTACCCAATATGCAGTCTTCATCCCTCCCCACAACTCCCCCCATCCCGAGTCCCCAAAGTCCATTGTATCATTCTTACACCTTTGCGTCCTCCTAGCTTAACTCCCATTTATAAGTGAGAACACTCGATGTGTAGGCACTTTTAGAGCCTCTGCTTGCATTACATTTGCTAACGATCCATTGGCCAAAGCATATCACACGGCCAACCCAGATTCAAAGGTGAGAAAATAGCCTCCATCTCTTGATGGAATAGGAAGAATTTGCGGTCACTTCTGCAACTGTAGAACATGAAGCTGATGTAACATCTCTCATTACTCTAAACACTCCATCCTTCTCTACTGTTTCAACAGTCTTCCTTTTGTTAGACTCTGTGTCTAAATTAACAAATATTTATTGAGCAATTGTCACGTGGCAGGCGTTTTCACAGTCAAGGCCTTAATCAATACCTAAAAACAGCCCTTGCAAGGTAATCCACTTCATGGGTGAGGAATGGATGCTCAGAAAGACAAGGTGATCCTAATCCAGCTCTGGGGACTCCGAGTGTGGTGTTAGTTATATTTTCTTTGTCAAGATGCCCAGAACTCTCCATTTAACTTTTTATTTTTCCGGACACACAGGTAGAATATGTGGAGGCTGGTCCCTGGCTGGCTTCTCCCCAACAGTCACTGGTTGGGGCTAAAGGGGATCAGCCTGGGGCAGGAAGATTGGGCAGAATGAGCAGACTCTAGGGGGCGACAAAGGCCAAGGTGACTCCTCATTGCTACCCCATGCTCCTTTCCCTCCTTCCTTGCGTAGGTCTATCCTTAGAGAAGAGAAAGATGTTGCCCGTCAGGAGACAAAACATTCATCTTCAGGCTCTGAGAAACAAGGGGAAGGAGGGAGGGATGGAGAGAGAGAAGGACGAGGAGGAGGAGGAGGAGAGGAAGAGGGGAGAAGAAGAAGAGAGAACAGACGGGCATAAGAAGGCAAAAATAGAGGGAAAGCAATAAGACATAGAAAATTAAAGAGATACAGAATCATAAAACAGAGAGGGGGGAGATAAAGAGAAAAAAGAGCAAGGAAATAGGAAAATGAGCCCTAAAGACAGGGATAGAGAGAGACAGAGACAGGAAGATAGAGATGCCTGGAGAGATAAGGGAAACAGACAGAGAAGGGATGAAGAAAGAGCGAAAGGAAGTCAGGCTAAAGATGACGGTGTGTGGAGGAGAGGGGTATGGCGGGTGTCAGTCACACTGTGTGACCTTAACTAGGCCAGGTCATCTCTCTGAGCCCCATTTCCTCATCTATAAAAAGGAGCTGTCTTCAGGAACTGTTGTGAGGATGACATGAGAAAATACATGCAAGCACTCTGGAAATAGTAAAGTACTATACAGGTGTTCATTAGTATTATTGGTAGTATTATCATTATTGTTATTATTATTATGTCATGGTTGGGAGAACTTAATGCTAGAATGAGTGTCAGAACCCAGGGGCTAATGAGATATTGAACACCTCTTCTCTGAAGAGCAGCTTAGTGTCAACTGAAATTGGAGTTTCTTGATACTAAGGCACTACAACTTGTAAGATGCCCTATTGATTTAATTACACTTTGGAGTCGGGGAGAATTGCACATTAAAAATACACACTTAAGAAAAATAACTGACAACATGCAGTTGTTTCTACAACTGGTCACTTTTTTTTCAGGATCACAATCAGTGTTTGAGGGTATAATGGAACATCTCTATTCTGTTGAATTCCTTTAGGTCATCAGCAATTATGCAGAATATCATAGCTATGGTGCTGTTTTTGTATCTCATGGATGTGAACTTTATTTCTTTAAAATTAACAGTATGATCTCAAGATATATTGAATAATATTGGTATTTTGTGTGCATTTCTGCTTTGAATAAACACACAGTTCCCCTTTCTGTTCCATTATCTGCATTGCATATTTCTGGAAGTTAAATAGCTTTTATTGAAAGTTAGCTGGACGCTCTGATAGGCAGGTGTTTAGTGCTCAAGTTATAGGACCTGAAGGATCAATTTGACAGAACCATCTCAGAAAATTCTCTGATATATTCAGAGAGCCAAGGCAAGTTTAACTGCCAGTTACTGCACTGACTGGTGGGTAACAGTCCATCTCTTGCATAAACACCAAATTTATTTTTGCACCAAATTTAATATTTTTGTGGTACACTTAGAGCAATAATTAGGGATCTAAATTTAACAGTCAATCTGTATATTATTATCGTTGTAGATTACACAATTGAAGTAACATTGCATAAACATGAGAGAACTACCTGACAACTTACTCTTCCTCTTGGAGGCTGACCCACTATTGTAAAACACATTCTGTTTTCAGAAATTCTAAAGTGTAAAGAAGAAAAAATACAGGAAATGCTAGTGGCCAAGAACAACGGAAATGGCCTGGGGCAGCTTATTGATAAGAGAGAGAAAGCCAAATGTTTTGAAAAGGTCCTGATTATATCTAGCATATTAAAACAATTCAAAACTGGTATTTGGGAATTTTTGCCTCATTTGACTGAATGAGATTCTATGCCTGCAATACTTCTTGCTGCCACCAGGTAGTGATAGTGTCTAAAATAGCTTATGTGTCCAAACTATAATCTTCCTTTTGTGGCCAGTTAATCTCTGTGGCCAGCAATTTATGCACTGTATCTAATCAATTACTGTCCCCTCCCCTCCATTAAAATACAAATTATACTATATTAAGCAACATTTCTGGAAGCAATGTAACACAGTGCTCAGTCTGCTTTGAGCCATGGTTCTGGCTAGATTGAGTAAATTTGCTTTCTTATCTCAGGGTAGGAAAATAACAGTAGTGCTTTCTAGGACTGTGATATAGTCATCCCTCAGTATCTGAGGGGAGATTGATACAAAAATCCACAGAAGCTCAAGTCCCTTATATAAAATGGCATCATGTTTGCCTACAACCTACAGATATAACCTCCAGTGTACTTAAAATCATCTCTAGATTACTTAGATACCCAATACAATGTAAATGCTATGTAAATAGTTTTTACACATTTGTATTATTTTTATTGTTATATTGTTATGTATTTATTTATTTTTTATTTTCTGGAATATTTTTGATCCACTGTTGGTTGAATCTGCAAATAGGAACCCACATATAATGAGGGCTGACTGTATTTTGTATTCATAGAATACTTCCCACCTTACCAAGAGCCCCTCTTTGACCGTGCACCTCTAGGTGCCTACATACCCTGGTGTAAGGTTAATGTTTATAGGTCAGCTGTTAGCTGTGTTGGGCAGGGAGCATAGTTTATAACTGGACTAACCCCTTACGTTGGTAGATTTATTAATCCATACTTAGACAACAGTAGTAGCTCTTATTTATTAAGCATTAAGCATGTACTCAATACCCATTTCAATACCAGTTTCAATCCTTACAGCAATCCTATGAAGTCAATATCATTACTATTCTCATTTTACAAAGACGGAAATCCCCAGGGTTCTGGGAAGATTAAATAAGTTAATGCATAAGACTTGCTTAGCTCGCTGGGCGCAGTGGCTCATGCCTGTAATCCCAGCACTTTGAGAGGCCAAGGCAGGCAGATCACTTGAGCTTGGGAGTTCGAGACCACCCTGGGCAACATGGTGAAATCCCATCTCTACAAAGAACAACAACAACAACAACAACAACAACAACAAAACCAGACTTGCCTAGCAGAGTGCCTAGGATGTAGCAAGTGATCATTATTTATAGGGTGTATTATTACAGATGAGGAAACAACAGCTTAAAGGGCCAGCTGGGGAGACAGGCCTGCAAACTGAGAAGTATAAAGCAGCAAAGTACAAGGGACTGGATAAAAGCACAGACGGGTTGGGTGCAGTGGCTCACACCTATAATCTTAGCACTTTGGGAGGCCAAGTCATGTGGATCACCTGAGGTCAGGAGTTCGAGACCAGCCTGACCAACATGGTGAAACCCTGTCTCTACTGAAAATACAAAAATTAGCTGGGTGTGGTGGTGGGCACCTGTAATCCCAGCTACTTGGGAGGCTGAGGCAAGAGAATCACTAGAATCCGGGAGGCAGAGGTTGCAGTGAGCTGAGATTGCGCCATTGCACTCCAGGCTGGGAAACAGAGCGAGACTGGTCTCAAAAAACAAAAACAAAAACAACACAGATGATGGGATAATTAATTGGGGAAGTATCCAAGAAGGCTTCACAGAGGAGGAAACATTCAAACTGGACCATAAATGACAAGTAGGGGTGGTGGCGTATGTTGTTCATTCCCCATTTTGTTCTTCTCTTCTTCCTTTAAATAACAGAAATATTCCTCTCAGATTTAGCAGGACACATGGCCACTTAGTTAGAGATGATAATTATCATCCTTCTTTGCAGCTAGGTGAAGCCATGGGACTGAGTTTCTATACTAACTAAAAGCAAGTGGAAGTGAAATCGCTTGCCACCACTTCCCATGGCTGGAATGTGGCCATGATGTGAGTGAACAAGTTTTGGCCATAAGGAGATGGTGGGACAACAAAATAGAACGAACCTGAGCCCCCAGATGAGCTTGGTGAGCACATCTGTCCCATTCACCTTGGGCCACATGCCTATCTTCAAGCCATTACATGAGAAGTGCATAAACTTCTACCCTATCTGAACTACTGTATTGTTGGCTCTTTTGTCTGAAGCCCATTATTTAGCCAGAAGCCTAAATAGTGCACCAGGTAAAGGAAAAGGAAGACTTGTAAGGCAGGAGGAACAGCCTGTCCGAAGACATAAAGAGTGAAAGAAGTTAGTTTTAGGAAACGTTCTCACAGGATTTTGTTTTTTGTTTTTTTTTTTGAAGATCAAATGAGATAATAAATGTATATAAAATCCTTAGTAGAGTACCTGGCACATACTAAGTTCACAATAAATGAAAGTCCCATTTTTTTTTTCTGTGTGATACAAATTACTTCTCAGAGCCTCATCTGTAAAATGGGGGTAATGTCACCTGTATGATGAAAACAGAGGTCTGAACCTTTCTACTCTAAAATAGTATGAATAGCTTGCAGAAATTCTATTGGGAGCAAGGTTAAAAGGAAAACAATTATCAAGAAACGAATGAGTACCCTGCCTTTCACTGATTTAAATAATTTACTTTAACAAAACCTCTGGTGCTCTCCATCTCTACACTTTAGCTAACATTGGTCCTATTCCTTCCTCCTAAAAATATTAGTCATTCCTTGAATGAGTTGTGGATACTCAGTGCTCCAAAGTTTTCATAGGCAGGTTTCTCAGGGCTTTCTCCTCCTATTCTCCTAACTCCTATTCACCTCACAAGACTGTACCAACATCACATGTCCTGGGGCTTCCCTGACCTTATGGGAAGATCTGCCTGATTCTCTTTATGCGACAGGTACTCCACTAAGGCCGTACACTCTCTCTTATTGGTTTAGGTGTTATTTTCACCTGCCAGACTGTGAGCTCTTCCAGGGCAGACAGCATGAATGTTTCATTTTTGTTTCTTCAGCACCTGGCCACAGTAGCTGTTCAGTTCTTATTACTGAATAAATGAGGTGTTCTCCGGCAAACATGTAGGATCAGTTAGAGTGTGTATGTGTTGGTGGGGGTGTGGGGAGGGTGGAGCACAGAGGATTTCAGGGCATCAGAAGGGCAGATGTAAAAAATGAACACGTCTCTCATCCACACAAGTCCGGGACTTTGTCATTTAGACATTATTAGGGGAAAAAGAAGAGGTAGTCTGATAGAATGGAAGCTATCTAGTTTAAGAAACAGGAGGCCTGATTTCCCTCCAAACTTGTTCAGGATTCATCTGTGTGACTTCAGTAAGTGTCCTTCCCTCTCTGAGCCTTATTTTTGGCGATTCCGTTTCTGGTCTTCCAGGAATCTAGGCGTCCTCCAGCTCTGAGATTCCCAGGGGCCTATTGGCCTCGGGGAGAGAATAGGCCTGGCTTTCAGGCCACATGAGGCTGTGACCCACAGCTGGCACTGGTCACCTCCGCTGTCTCCTCTTCCTCTCTCCTCCTTCCCTCACACCCCCTTCCTCCATCCTCCCTCTTCTTCCCCCATTGTCCTCCCCATCCTTCCCTTCCTCCCGCCTCCTCCCCTGGCTCCTCCTCTCCCCGTCCGGGACTCGGGGGGAGGCGCGCTGGGTGGTCCGGCAGCCGGGGGCGGGCGGTAGCCTGCAGGCGTAATTGGCATGCACGCCGTTGTAGCTGAGACCGCTTAATAAAGCATTACATATCTCACCGCTTCCATATTTCATTACCTCACGCGGAGCCTGTGAGAGGGCCCTAATGGGAGTCAGCTGTGTTTTTACTTTCTGTTGTCGGCCGGGACGGGTTTCTCTGCGGATTCTTTGAAATGAAATAATGTGATGCACGCCGCGATAAGGGCCGGCCTGTAATGAGGCCCAGGCCGCCGGGCGGCTGCTATTGCTCCAGGTGTCGCGTATTTGGGCTGCGAGGACAAGGAGGAGGAGGGGGCGGCGCCGGAGGATCGGGGGGGAGGGGGAAGTCGCGAGGGGCAGGGGGTGGGAGAAGGCGGAGGGAGGAGGCAGGGGGCAGGGGGCGGGCGGAAGAGGGGAGGAAGGAGGGGGCGGCGGGCCGCGGCAGGCCAGGCGGGAGAAGCCGGAGACAGAGAGAGGACGGGGACAGTGGCGGCCTGCAGAGCCCTAGGAACCCGGGTTCAAATCCTGCCCGCCAGCGTGAGAGAGCGTTTGCCCGCCCAGGCGGTCCACCGGGGTGAGGCTAATATTCATCTCACGGGGTTGTGTGCAGGTAAATGAAGAGGGTTTGTAAATTGGAAAGGACACATCACACATAAAAGGAATCATTTACTGAGAGAAAGGAACTGACGCCCTTTGAGCATCCCCTCTGGGCATGGCAGCTGCCAGCCACTTCACTGAATGATCACAGCAGCCTCACTTGCTAAGAATTGTTACCTTCCCTTTACACAAGAGGAGACTGAGGGTCAGAGCAGCGAGGGGCTGGCTCCAAGGCACACAGGAAGAGGCTGAGGGCAGCCCTAGGCAGGTAGCCAGATGGAGATAGAGTTGGAGGAGAAGTTGGTCCACTGCCCGCTGACTGGGCCACCCTGGCACCCCCCTCGAGGGGAGCTGGGCTTTCTTCTCCACCTTGCTCTATGGGCCTCCTCCTGTGGGTCTGAGGCCTTTGCCCTCCACACGGGGATGGAATGGGGTGTGGTGCAGGACTCCTTGTAGGAGGGGCAGTGGCTGGCTGTGGGGAGAAGTCCTTAGGAAGCCCCCTGTTCTGAGCATGCTCCTCTGTTCAAAATCCCACAGCTACAGTCCCTGAGTGTCAGCTTGCTTCGTGTCCACTCTGTCTTCATCTCCAGGAAATAAATGCTCTTTGAGGAGTCTTGTATCTCCTCAGTGTCTCTTAAATCCACTCACTTCTTGCCCTCCCTCCTGGCACTGCCCTGGGCCAAGCTTCTGGTCCTGCTTCGGACACTGAAGGGATCTTTCTGAAATGCTGACTCACGCTGCTGTCCTTCAGCATCGGGCTCCTCATTGCTCCCAAGGGCCTCTGGCTTCCCTAGCATGCCCTAGCAGGCCCTCCCTGCCTGGACTTTAGAGCCTCCCCCAGCTCCTCAGCTTCATCTTTATCACACCCCATCCCTGGCCCTGCCAGACTAGGTGACTGGCCTTTCCCTGAGTTCATCTCTGGACACTTGCTCATGCTGTTCGCTCTGCTTAAAATGCTCTTCCCACATGGAGCCACCTTGGGAGTCCTATTCTATCTCCAAGACTCAGCACGATGACTGCTCATTCCAGGAAGCCTTCTTGCCATGTGCTCCTCTGCTTCCGAGTTGTGTTTGCTTTCTTTCTTCTCTGAGCCTCAGTTTCCGCATATGTAACACGAAGGAGTTGGGGGCTGATCTCTGGGCTGCATGGTCTCATGAAGTTATGGGGTTAGGTGCTAGTTTCCTCTTGAAGGAGAAACAGATAGTTTGAGTGTGTCAGCATGTTAGATGATGACCATATCGTATGTGCCTGCCACATGGCACACATCACATTGGTGCTTTATATGCATTAGATACATGCGTTGCTTGGGATTATGCTGCAGTAAACGGAGAAGCTGGGATCAGAAGCCAAGTCTTTCTGATTCCTGAGCCTGTGCATAGGTGCGTGAGCATATGCATATGTGCTTGTCTGTGTGTGTACATGTAAACTCAGTACTCAGTACTCAGTGTTGGTGGCACTTTAACCTGCTCAAAACCCTCTCACCTCCAGGAGCCCGTTGAGGTTGGGATATATAGACATAGAGAGGTTGGGCTGTTGCCTTAGTTACACAGGTGCTGGGAAAAGAAGGGGGGTGTGGAGCAGGAGGAGACACTCCTCTGGCCCAGAGAACCAAGTGAGATCCTCTCCGTGCAGGATTCTTTGCTCTTCAACCTCGGCCTAACTTTGACAGCTTTGTTTCCCAAATAACCTCTTTACTGCATCCTAACTTTCTGTATATAGGTCCTGCTTTGGAGCCTTTGCTTAAACTGGTCCCTGCATCTGGAATGCTCTTTTCCAAAGCCTGCCTGTGGACGTCTTATTCTTCCTTCAAGACCCAGCACAGATCCCACTCTTCACAGAAGCCCACAGAACCATCTCTTTCTTTCCCTGTTTCATGCTCTGCATACACTTTTCTCGCCCAGCTTAGAGTGTTAGCTTGGAGCATCCTTGTTTCAAGACCATGAGCTCTGAGGTCAGAGGCTGAGTTTAACTCTTGGCCAACAGAGACCTGACCTGGTGTGGAATAGGTATGTTGGATATGCTTGTGAATGCCTGGCCAGGCAGGATGTGTTTTGAGGCTCACTGCAAATGGATGCAAGTTCTCACTCATTGAAAATGCTTGATATGTGGCAGGTAATAAAATTGTCATTATTTATTACTGTGCTTTTGCTTGGGTCAGGTTTGATGTTGCAATCTGTATTTCATTTTATTCTTACAATAACTTACAATCCCATTTTACCAGTGAAGAAACTGAGGCTAACTGATACTAAATAACTTACCCAGACTGTAGAACTAATCAGTATCAGAGCCAGGACTAAAATTCAGTTCTGTCTGCCTCAAAAAAGGAGTCTGGGCAGGGCGTGGTGGCTCACGCCTGTAATCCCAGCACTTTGGGAGTCCGAGGTGGGAGGATCATGAGGTCAGGAGATCGAGACCATCCTGGCCAACATGGTGAGACCCCGTCTCTTCTAAAATACAAAAAATTAGCTGGGCGTGGTGGTGCGCGCCTGTAGTCCCAGCTACTTGGGAGGCTGAGGCAGGGGAATTGCTTGAACCCAGGAGGCAGAGGTTGCACTGAGCCAAGATCGCACCACTGCACTCCAGGCTGGCGACAGAATGAGACTTCCATCTCAAAAAAAAAGAGTCTGTCCTTTTTGCACACATCCCATGGATCTGATTGCAAGCGCCTTGTGCTCTGTGTGTCGGTCAAACAGGGATGCTCTATTGATTAACGTGCAAATGATTTTTTGAGAGAGGGCTTAAGTGTAGTTCAGTCTTAGCCAGCCACAACTGAGATTTGCAACCCAAGCCCTAGTCCTCACCAACCATTCTGCTATCAGGTTTTCATCTCTAGACTGATTGACAGGTATTTTTTTCCCTCCCTGACCCAGAACGCCAGGCCTCCAATACTACTGAAATGTTTGCGCAATCTTGAAGCATTTATTTAAAAGTTGCTTTTCCCCAAAGGGCCTGGCCTCAACCAGATCCTGAGCCAGATCCAAAAAAACAAACAAATCCTATCTTTACAAGCTCCTCAGCTGGGCTGCGTGGGGCGGGTGGGGGTGGGGGTCCCCTGGGTCCTACCTTTCCTTGGCTGGCTGACAGGCCCGCCCCAGGGCGAGGAGACCGCCTGCCTGTTTACAGCCCTTTCCAATTCACAGGCCAAACAGGAAAGGGGGGAGGGGTTAGAGAAGGGCACAAATGTCAGAAATCACAAATCATACAGTTGCTCCTCAAAGCAATAGGCGGTGGAGATGTTAATGGGGACGTGGCTGGGTTGGGCTTCTTGAATGCTCGTCAGGGACAGAGTGAGACCCTGGCTACCACTTTGCAGGTCCCAGCATCAATAACTAAGCTCCCCATAACCTGCATAGCATTATGGATCTGAGGGGCAGTGATCTCTCAGATGGGTGTCAGAGGACCTGAGTGCCACACCTGGCTGGGTCTGCGTTGCCAGCCAGGCCCAAGCTGGTGTACATTGGGGTTGCCATCACTGTTGCTTGGAAAAGTCCATTCAACTTTCTGGCCTCCACCGTCATGGACCCATGAGGGGCTGATCTCCAGCTCTGGCATTCTCTCTCTGTGAATCATGCCCATCCGGACTCTTGGGCAAAGCAATGAGGAAAACAGGGAACCCCCCTTCATGGAAGGTATTTTGTGTGCCTGGTACAGCATTTGGTACTGTCTGGAGGTTGTCTCATTTACTTGGCACAGCCTCCCTGAATGGTCTTTGCTGTGATTCCTTCCTATATGTGAGGAATCCAGGGCCAGCACTGGAACCCACGGTCCACCTGGCCCCCTCCTCCCTGTCTCCCGGTACGCCCGGCAAAGCACTGACACCAGGTTGGATGGATGGCCTGATTTAGAACAAAGTCTAGAGTGTGCAGAGTGTGGTGTGGCCTGCATTGTGTGCCCAGGAGTGGGACCGAGGTGAGGCAAGGGCTCTGCAGAAGTGGAGACTGAGGTCTAGAGAATGGCTATCTCTCACCCACCTTCTCACAGTCACTGAGGAGCCTTCTGGTCACAGATGGGCACACTGAGGCCTGTGACTAGGCGAGCTCGAGCTATGTCCCTGAGGTGCTGCCTAAGAAATTGGGCTCAAACACTTTGCTTTTTTCCAAAGACCTCTAATGTGCAGCCCCACTGCAGGGTTCCCGCTGGGCATTATCCATTCCTGCCATTGGATCTCTGCTGCCTACTGCGAGATACCAAACTCATTAATGGCCTCTGTGCTCACCTCCTTGTCCCAATCAGTGCCAAGGCCACTTAAGCTGTGTGTCAGTCCTTACACGGACTAGGCAGTGCCACACCTCTGCCTGTACCTTCTAGAATGCTTCCTGGAATACCTGCCTGGAATACTACCTGTGTCACCTTAGGCAAGTGACTTAGCTTCTTCAAGCCCCAGTATCCTCCTCTACAAAAGAAGGACCTTATGCAATAGTAGATGTGCAAGTGCTTTGTGACCACAAGGCCCAAGCTGGTGTACCTTGGGATTACTATCACTGTTGCTGTTTTCAGTGGGCTGTTGTCAGTCTGGCCAGGAGCTTCTGTTGAGTGACCCATTGATAGACTGGCTTCTTCTCTTTGCCCCAACTAGACCCCTCTGTGAGCTGTTTGTGCTGACCTTGGGCTGGGAAGATGCTCTCAAACACCTGTTGTGGGCCAGGCTGGGAACTCTAGGAAGAAGCAAATCAAAGAAATATTTTGCTGGGAATATACGCTAAGGAATGTAAATCATTCTGTTATAAAGATACATGCATGTGTATGTTCATTGTAGCACTATTCACAATAGCAAAGAAATGGAATCAACCTAAATGCCCATCAATGATAGACTGCATAAAGAAAATGTGGTACATGTACATCATGGAGTACTATGCAACCATAAAAAGGAATGAGATCATGTCCCTTGGAGGGACATGGATGGAGCTAGAAGCCATTATCCTCAGCAAACTAATACAGGAACAGAAAACCAAACACCACATGTTCTCACTTGTAAGTGAGAGCTGAACAATGAGAACACGTAGACACAGGGTGGGGAAGAACACACACTGGGGCCTGTGGTGGGGTTGGGGGGATGGAGAGCATCAGGATAAATAGCTAATGGATACTGGGCTTAATACTTAGGTGATGGGTTGATGGGTGCAGCAAACCACCACATTTACCTATGTAACAAACCTGCACATCCTGCACAGGTATCCCAGAACTTAAATTTTAAAAAAAGAAAAAAGAAATATTTTGCTATTGTTTCCTTACACCCAGTTCCCAATCCATTGCATGTGTGCAATTGGGGGCAGCCTGGAGGAGGGGAAAGAACTGGCCGAGCTCTACCTCCCTGCCGCTGGGAGCCCTGACAGGGCTGGGACCATGTCTGACTTTTCGCTGCATCTCTAGAGCCCAGAATAGAACCTGGGACTGAACAGGCACTCACTAAGTATGTGTTTATATATATGAAATAATTTTGAGAAAGTTATCTCAGTTCTCTGAGCCTCAGCTTCCTCATCTGTAAAATGGGGATGATAATACAACTTAACTCATAGGTTCATTGTGAGGATTAAGAATAGCAATCTATGCAAGGTACTTAGAATAGTGCCTGGCACGTAATGATAATGCTCTCATGTACTTAAGAGAAACAAAGGCTCAGAGAAGGTAATTGCTTTGTTCAGTGTAAAGTGGGAGAGCTGGGAATGGAATTTAGGTTTGTCTAACTCCAGAATCTCAGATGTTGACCACTATTGTCTATTACCTGAGGTAGGTTAACCCACAGCATCCACTTCCTCCCTATTTCAGAGTAATAGAACTGTCAAGTTTTACTTAAGCACCTGGCCATCTAGAATAAAGACTATGTTTTCCAGCCTCCCTTTTGGCTAGATGTTGAGTTCTGGCTGATAGCAGAAGTTAGGTATGAAACTCTGGGAAGTCTCCTTGAAGGGAGTAGACATGAGTTCCACTATGAGTCTCACTCTGTCGCCCAGGCTGGAGTACAGTAGCATGATCTTGGCTCACTGCAACCTATGCCTCCCAGGTTCAAGTGATTCTCCTGCCTCAGCCTCCCTAGTAGCTGATGGTTGAGATTGTGTCCTAATAGCTGTAGTACCAGCCAGCAGACACCTTAGATCATGAAGTGACAGCAAGATAATGAAGCCACACATGGTGCAGCAACCAGGCAGCAGGAACCTGCGTCCCTGACAATGTAGGATCCATTGTATCAGCCTGTTTTTGAAGTCAGAGAGAAAAAAACTTTGATCTGTTAAAGGCTCTGTTATTTTGGATATGAATGTAATCCTAACTAATTCACTGTTGTCTCTCCATGGTAGACTTTCAATAACTAAATGTGCCCTACCATAGTATCGCCCAGACTGCAATGTTATGAAAATTATTTGTTGTCTTTGTCATGAGAGTGAGCTCTGTGATGGCAGGGACTCTGATTTTTCTCTGCTAAGTCTCCACTGACCAGTCCTGTGCTAGGCACCCAGCAGGTTAGTGGCTCTCTATTGTGCCAGCTGAGCTAAGCTGGAGCCCTGTTTCCCAGAAATCCTTCTCCTGCATAGTTCCAGGTTAGCAAGGGCTGCAGGAGATATTTTGCCTGAGATTCAGAAGGTGGCAGTGAAGTAGCAGCCATATTCTTTCTGGGCTGGGAAGGTCAGTGTGGGGACCTGAGTTCTTGCTCTTGATTGCTTCTCTCCTGGCTTGCCTGGTTGGCCTGGGGCAGCAGCCAGGGTTCTGTGGCTCCTCCAGCTCTTACCCCATCTGCCTCTTCAACTTCCCTGAATCTTGGGCTGGTTGCATGTGCAGTTCTATGATGAAGAGTTCTAGCTTCTCCAAGAGAACATCTGTTATTGAAGTTAGAGGCTTAGGGTGGTGAGGATCCTCGTGGGTCCCAGTTTGTCCTTGCTTCTCCTGCTTCATATCATCTTCCCTTCTGCACTGCCAGCCCTGTGGCCCTCATATGGAAGCATGTGGACTATCTAACCAGCTCCCACACTTGCATAAGATCAATCACTATAATAAATACTTTTCTTTCTTTCTTTTTTTTTTTTAATGATACAGTGTCTTGCTTTCACCCAGGCTGGAGTGCAGTGGCGCATTCATGGATCACTGCAGTCTCAACCTCCCAGTCATAAGCCATCCTCCTGCCTCAGCCTCCTGAGTAACTGGGGCTACAGGTGAGTGGCACCACATCCCTCTAATTTTTTGATTTTTTGTTGAGATGGGGGTTTCACTTTTGCCCAGACTGGTCTCAAACTCCTGGCCTCAAGCAACTGTCCTGCCTTAGTCTCTCAAGGGGCTGGTATTATATGTGTGAGCCACTATACCCTAAATTTCTTATTCTGTGTATCTTCTGGTGGTTCTTTCTCTGATTGATACATAGGTATTCAGTAAGTACTAATTGAGTTAAGGAATGATTTATTTGATTGGCCCCCTGGTATGTGGTACCTACTAATGAATGTCTATCTCTGTCTGCTTGGAGGCTGATGCAGGTGGGAGAAGGACTTGGGCTCAAACTCTAAGACCATATGTTTCCCAGCCCTTTTGGCACAGCATGCCTATCTGTGTCCAAGTAGAGTTAGAAGGGGCCCGTGAGCTAGAGGGAGCTAAGAGAGAATATAAGGAGGGGACTTAGGGTGATATTTAGGTTGGCCTGGATGCAGGTCTCAGTCACTCTGACAATATCCATCTGATATGGTTTGGCTGGGTCCTCACCCAAATCTCATCTTGAATTGTAGCTCCCATAATTCCCTCATGTTTCAGGAGGGACCCAGTGGGAGATAATTGAATCATGGGGGTGATTCCCCCCATTCTATTCTCATGGTAGTGGATTAGTCTCATGAGATCTGATGGTTTTATAAGGGGAAACCCCTTTTGCTTGGCTGTCATTCTTCTCTTGTCTGCCACCATGTGAGACAGGCCTTTCACCTTCCACCATGATTGTGAGGTCTCCCAGCCACGTGGAAATTTGAGTCCATTAAACCTCTCTCTTTTGTAATTGCCCAGTCTTTGGTATGTCTTCATCAGCAGCATGAAAACAGACTAATACAGTATATTGGTACCAGAAGTGGGGTGCTGCTGAAAAGATACCTGAAAATGTGGAAGCGACTTTGGAACTGGGTAACCGGCAGAGGTTGGAACAGTTTGGAGGGCTCAGAAGAAAACAGGAAAATGTGGGACAGTTTGGAACTTCCTAGAGATTTGTTGAATGGCTTTGACCAAAATGCCGACAATGATATGGACCATGAAATCCAGGCTGAGGTGGTCTCAGATGGAGATGAGGGACTTGTTGGGAACTGGAGCAAAGGTGACTCTTGTTATGTTTTCTCAAAGAAACTGGCAGCATTTTGCCCCTGCCCTAGAGATTTGTGGAACTTTGAACTTGAGAGAGATTATTTAGAGTATCTGGCGGAAGAAATTTCTAAGCAGCAAAGCATTCAAGAGGTGACTTGGGTACTGTTAAAAGCATTCAGTTTTAAAAGGAAAACAGAGCATAAAAGTTTGGAAAATTTGCAGCCTGACAATGCAACAGGAAAGAAAATCCCATTTTCTGAGGAGAAATTCAAGCCAGCTGCAGAAATTTGCATAAGTAACTAGGAGCCACCAAGACAACAGGGAAAATGTCTGCAGGGCATGTCAGAGACCTTTGCGGCAGCCCCTCCCATCGCAAGCTGAGAGCCCTAGGAGGATTTGTGGTCCTGGCCCAGGGTCCCTCTGCTGTGTGCAGTCTAGGGACTTGGTGCCCTGCATCCCAGTCACTCTAGCTGTGATTAAAAGATGCCAAGGTGTAGCTCGGGCTGTGGCTTCAGAGGTGCAAGCCCCAAGCCTTGGCAGCTTCCATGTGGTGTTGAGCCTGTGGGTGTACAGAAGTCAAGAATTCAGGTTTGGGAACCTCTGCCTAGATGTCAGAGGATGTATGAAAACACCTGGATGTTCAGGTAGAAGTTTGCTGCAGGGGTAGGGCGCTCATGGAGAGCCTCTGCTAGGGCAGTGTGGAAGGGAAATGTGGGGTGGGCGCCTTCACACAGAGTCTCCACTGGTGTGCTATCTAGTGGAGCTGTGAGAAGAGAGCCACCATCCTCCAGACCCCAGAATGGTAGACCCATCGACAGCTTGCACCGTGTACCTGGAAAAGCTGCAGACACTCAATGCCAGCCTGTGAAAGCAGCCAGGAGGAAAGCTGTACTCTGCAAAGCCACAGGGGTAGAGCTGCCCAATACCATGGGAACCCACCTCTTGCATCAGCATGACCTGGATGTGAGACATGGAGTCAAAGGAGATCATTTTGAAGCTTTAAGATTTGACTGCCCCATTGGATTTTGGACTTGCATGGGGCCTGTAGCCCCTTTGTTTTGGCCAATTTCTTCTATTTGGAATAGCTGTATTTATCCATTGCTTGTATCCCCATTGTATCTAGGAAGTAACTAACTTGCTTTTAGTATTACAGGCTTATAGGTGGGAGGGACTTGCCTTGTCTCGGATGAGACTTTGGACTGTGGACTTTTGAGTTAATGCTGAAATGACTTAAGACTTTGGGGGACTGTTGGGAAGGCATGATTGGTTTTGAAATGTGAGGACATGAGATTTGGGAGGGGCCAGGGGTGGAATGGTATGGTTTGGCTGTGTCCCCACCCAAATCTCATCTTGAACTGTATCTTCCATAATTCCCTCATGTTGTGGGAGGGACCCAGTGGGAGATAATTGTATCATGAAGGCGGTTTCCTTCATACTGTTCTTGTGATAGTGAATAAATCTCAAGAGATCTGATGGTTTTATAAGGGGAAACCCCTTTTGCTTGGCTCTCATTCTTCTCTCATCTTCCACCATGTGAAACGTACCTTTCACCTTCCACCATGATTGTGAGGCCTCCCCAGCCACGTGGAACTGTTAGTCTATTAAACTTCTTTCTTTTGTAAATTGCTCAGTCTTGGGTATGTCTTTATCAGCAGCATGAAAATGGACTAATACACCATCTCTGCCCCAGAATGGGCATCCTGAAGTCTGGGGGACCATCTGTTTGTCTAATCAGCCTTTGCAGAATGGACAAGAAGGAATACCCAAGGCTAATGACTCTGACTCTCAATCTCATCGTCACTTAAAGGACTCAAGAGATGTGGATGGCTCCTTATCATGCTCCAGGAACCCTCTACCAGCTCCCTATCAGCCTTGTGATAAAAGCCAAGACCCTTAAATCTGTGTACAAGATTCTCTGTGACCTTGTCCTTGAACCCCAGCCAGCACAATAATGTCCCACATCATTTGGCCTTAACCTCAGTGAAACTGAATGAATGAGATGTGCAGGTCTATGCATTATAAATTTTTCTTCTTCTTCTTCTTCTTTTTTTTTTTTTTTTGAGACAGAGTCTTGCTCTGTTGCCCAGCCTGGAGTGCAGTGGTGCAATCTTGGCTCACTGCAACCTCCGCCTCCTGGGCTCAAGTGATTCTCCTACCTCAGCCTCCCGAGTAGCTGGGATTACAGATGCCTGCCACCAAGCCCAGCTAATTTTTGTATTTTTAGTAGAGATGGAGTTTTGCCATGCTGGCCAGGCTGGTCTCAAACTCCTGACGTCAGGTGATCCACCCGCCTTTGCCTCTCAAAGTGCTGGGATTACAGGCGTGAGCCACCGCGCTCGGCCTATGTACCTATAAATTTTTATCTTCAGTTATTCTGTGCCATCAAGAGCCTCAGTTTTTAAGACTTTTTCCCAGATCAGGAGACTCTTCTTGTAGGTGGGAGAGTCAAGTCCAAAGTTTTTTTCCCTTAAGAAGCTGTTTGTCTATCTATTCACCCATCTATCTGTTCAACCACCCATCCATCCATTCGCTTATCTATCTTTCCAGTGCTCTCTGGCTCTACTCTGGGCCAGGCCCTGTGATCATGCTGAGAATCTTGGAGATGAATTAAATATACCCTCTGATCTCCAGCGGCTCACAGTGGGATAGACAAAGATGATGCAACTAGACAACAAAAAATATAAACACATAAGTGCCATCTTGAGAAAAGTCAAAAGCCATGGAAACATAGAGGATGTCCCATCCCAGCCAAGGGGGTCAGAGGAGGCTTCCTAGCAGAGGAGACATTTGAGCTGACTTTGAAGTACAAGAAGGCATCAGCTAGACAGGGAAAGCATGAAAGAGTTGTGCAGAGAGTACAGCATATGCAAAGGCCCAGAAAGGGTCAGAGAGCATGTTACAGTGGTTGCAAACTATGTGTGGTGGAGATGGTTGAGGGGTGAGAGAGAGGTCACAGCTAGAGCCTAGTCCAGATTTCTTGCCCCGTGAATCTGCTCCAGGTTCTTCTGGAAGTGGGCTGGGAGGAGGTGCAGATGGAGGCCCTGCAGAGCCAGTGCGGCTTGTATTTAGCAACTGGTGCTAGGTTCGAGTGAGTACTCACTAGGCCTGGGGGTTCCTTGGGCAAGAGGAGTTACGTGACTCAGTCTCAGGCCATCTCCTCAAGCAGATGTGTATGAGCAGATGAGGCACAAACTGCAGAGTCAGGCAGATGGGGTCAATTCTTGGCTCTGTGTAGACAGGTAACTTTGGACAAATCACTTTTTGAGCCTCAGTTTCCCATGGCTCAGTTGGGAATGTATCATTTACCCTAGAAGCCTGGTGATAACATTACTTTTCTCCCTTCCCTTTTCCTTACTAGATGATTCCGAATGGTCACTCTAGGTGAGGCCCAGGGAGATCCCCTTGGTACCCAAACTTGCTTTCCCCAGTTCATTTTGGTCAGAGTGTCCAAAATATGGTTCTGAATGCATCACCCACTGCTTGCGGGAAAAAGCACTCATTCCTTAGTAAGGCATTCAAGAAATCTGAAACTTTATAATATAATCTCTACCTCCTATTCATCCATCCACCCATCTGGCTGGCTGTCCTTTCATCTCTGTGTTCACCCCCTTATTCACTCAACAAACACTCATTTCTTGTCTCATCCCTCCTCCTCCTTTTCTTTCTTCTTATGCTCAGTCTCTCCAAATGGCCAGCTTCCTTGACCTCATGTTTGTGTGAACAGGCTGTTCCTTCTGTTCACTGGATGCAGTGGGATCCTTCCTTCCTTTTCCTATCACTCACCTACTTTTTCTTCCAGGCCAAACTCAAAGGTCCCTTCCTCCATGAAGCCTCCTGCCTTATCAGCTATCCTCCTTCTGGTCTTCCACTCCGAATGGCTTATCTTTTTATGGGACATGTATTCCATAGCATTGTTTTTGTGTCTGTCTGTTATCCACTGACCTCCACCCTACTCCAGCAGGGTGGCCTCTTTGTACAGTTGTTTGGGTTGTACACTGCACAGGAACACCCAGCTGAGGAATGTGCCCTAATGTGAGGGCTGTACCTCTCGAGGGAAGAGTGCTTTTTTTCTAATTCATACAAAGGTACCTGTTCTGCAAGTGATGAGCTCAAGTGGCTGAGCTCACCCATAGGGGGCACCTTTTTCTGTTTCCTACACAGGGGCTCTCTGAGCCAGTGGTGGCCTTCCCCTGATTCTAAGTTTCTGTAGGCCAGGACCACGTTGGCTTCATCCCTGTTCCCACCGCTCCTAGCATAGCAGTGCCAGGCCCCAGAGACCTCCATAAATGTTCTTGGAGTTGAAAGGAGAAGGCTATCAGTAGTGAATCTCTGTTCACTGGGCCTTGGAAGGGCAGGACTCATGCCTATCTTGTAGGGAGACGAGGCTTCCGAGTTGATGCAGTGGTGATGGCAGGTTTGTGTGGAAATTCCCCAGTAAGTGGTGTTCTGGGCCTGTCTCCCAGGGACCTCGAGAGCTTGCTGGAAGACCTGCAGACCAGGGCTCCTCTAAATATTGTTTTAAACTGATTGATGCCATGCCAGGCAGGGAAGGGACAGGCATTTTTCATACATGAAAAACAATACATTCTAGGGCCAAGATGAAATTATTTTACATTTATACGATAACAGGCAGGGAGACAAAGACGATGTTTGAGGACGTTTAAACCCTCAAAATCATTAGTCACTGTCCCAGCAGGCTACACAAATAAATGATCAATGCACAGAAAAACAAGGCCCTCTGAGGTGTTTGCCCAAGACCACTTATGTGTCAAACAGACTTATTAGATGTGAAGGGAATGATTATTTGCACAAAGTGAAATGAACATGTGCAATAATACTGTAAAATGTTTATTAGTCTAGAGTGTGCTGAATGTTCCTAAAATATATCAGGTTCTCAGCTTGCATTTAATGTACTGTTATAAATGATATCACATCCTTCCAAGCCGATTTTCCGCTTAACGCTAAGCTTCTTTGCTGGGGAAATCGTGTTTTCAGATCCCAAGTATGAAAACATTGTGGGGTTAAACTCTCCCTTCTACTCCCTAACCCCCACCCCAATCAGTTACCTCCCTATAAAACTTGTCCTGAGTCTGGCTGGGAGGGATAGGGCAGTTGGTCAGGCCAGATGGTGGTTGGAAAAGGAAAAGGGGGTCAATGAGTTATTGTGGTGGGGATATTAGGCTGGAAGTCCAGTGATTCAGATTTCAGGATCTACTCACTAATCTCCTGCTGTGTGACCTTGGGGTAGTCCCTTCCTCTCTCCGAGCCTTAATAATCTCAGTCAGAAAATGGGAATAATGTCTAAAGAGACTCCCAGAGCTGAACGCTTACATATTCTAAATCCCAGCTTGCTAAGTCATGAGTCTGAAAGATAAAAAGAGATTCTGGAAGTGAACAAATAAAGTGCTACAGAAACATTCTTATTTTTTTCTATGATTCTGGCCAATTCTTACTTAACCTTTGAGGCCCTGACCAACTGTCCCCTCCTCTGGGAAGCCTTCTCTGACCCGCTAACCAGCTGGTCAGTCTGTCATCTTTGCTCTAACAGTGCAAAATCCTTGTGTCCCTTATTGCCCCGCCAGCTCATGGTATCACCACATCTCTCTGTGTGAACAGGCTCTTCCTTCTGTTCAGTGGGGAAAGCTCTACAGGAAGGAGAAAGTGGCTTCATTCTCTGTGCTGCTTAGACCAGCAGGACTCTCCTCCCTCAGTGAGTCGTCTGCCTCCATGAATGCAGCCGCTGAGCTGGCCAGCTTCCTGGCATGCATGTCCAGCTGTCAGCTTGCTCTGAACTGAGGTCCCCAAAAGATCCCCAGACCTGGGTCAGGCACAGAGCTGGTACTCAGGAAATGATTCGTGGATGCTGGATGGGGAGGAGCCGAGCTAGTGTGACCCTTGGAGCTTATCCCCCACCCACCCCGCATGTTAAAGATGGGAGTTTTATCCCAGAGTAGGGAAGGGATTGGCTAGGGGGCTACTCAGGCCTCTTGGAGAAGGGTCAGAGAGAGTGTTTCCTATAACATGTCAACTCTCCACCCAAGAAGGAGGGGTAGAGGAGCCCAGCCAGATCCCATGTCCTTGGCCCAGAACGGGGGTGGGAGGTATTGGTAGTGGGCAGTTCTTGGCATCAGCTGAGAGCACAGGGCTGGCTTTGGAGGTTGTGGAGGTGGTTGGGGATATGGGGGGTTTCCAGTTTCCTGGCTGAGTCACGTCCCTCTCCTTTCCCCTGCCCCCAGAGGTTTGCTCAAAGGCCCCCTGGAGGGTGATCTTCTGTGAGCTCAACTGATGGTCTGGGGATCTTTTGGGGATCTCAGTTCAGAGCAAGCCGACAGCTGGATGCGCATGCCAGGAAGCTGGCCAGCTCAGTGGCTGCATTCATGGAGGAAGACGACTCGTTGAGGGAGGAGAGTCCTGCTGGTCTAAGCAGAGTGGAGAATGAAGCCCCTTTCTCCTTCCTTCACAGCTTTCCCCAGAAATGACTGAAAGCAATCTACATGGAAATATATACTAAAACGTGGGAAAATAAAGTTAGAAGTAAGCATTCAAGGCAAAGATTAAAAAGTTTAGGAGGGTAGGGTGGATTCTGGAGTGAGGCTTCTAAGCAGGGATCCTGCCCTAAGGTAGGCCCTGCACGCTGTGGAGGCAGGTCATGTGTGTCACTCCAGGCTTCCAGTGGAGGGGACCCAAGCAGGTATGTGATTTATTGTGCCCACAAGATAAACACAGGACCTTTGCTTGGAAGAAGTGCCCTTGGTTGGAGGCCAGAGAAAAAAGTCTCCTGTGATTTCTCAGAAAGGGGCACACAGTGTCCCCAACAGCTGCCTGTCAGCAGCAACATAAGCTGGCTGCTTCTTCCTCTGCCTCCCCTTTCTTCTCTTTATTCTCTTGCTCCACCTTCTCTACTTTCCCTCCTCCTCCTCCTCCTCCTCCTCCTCTTCCTCATCCTTTTTCTTCTTTTCATAGAGTTTAGTAAAGTAGTCCTTGGAACACGGAAAGAAGTGTTCCTGTTCAAGTTGAACCCCGGGTAACTATTAGGGTGCTTTGCGTAGGGAGATAACCAGGCCCCAGCATGAACTTCAGGCGGCCTGGGCAAGTGTTTTTCCCCACCATAGCAGTGGGCAGTGGTGGGTTCAAGGTTATCCCCACTGAAGTGCAGTGCCGTATTGAGCATCTCGTAATGAGTGCCTTCTACATGCCAGACATTTATTGGGTACATCCTATGTTAACTCAGTTGGTCCTCACAACCTCCATTCAGGGTGGTTCTTCTTATTCTCAAGGTCACAGGCAGAATGTGGAAGAGCTGGTTTTGGCACCAGGTTCTTGCACTCCCAGGCTAGCCCCTGGCAGCCCCACTCCTGTCTCACTGTATGATCCTGAGCATTTCTATGGTCCTGACTCTTGATTTTCTCATGTGTACAGTGAAGGCCATGTGTTCCTGAGAGTCCCTTTACGTGGATAGTCTGTGGTTGCCTGAGTAGCTGAGTCCGCCTTTGCAGTGGGCTCAGGTAGGCATTTGGGATGCACAGGGACTACCTCTTGTTTTACCCTAAATAACTCCTCACCTTTGCCCCTTGGGCAGAGGCTCCTCCTGCTGGTTACCCTTAGAACCTGTCCCTGGATTGGGCCTCTCCCCCAAACTCCCTTCCCAGAGAGACTGAGGCTCACATGGAACCTGCATTCCTCAAGCAGGGATGGAGCCTCAAGATTTAGCACCTGAATCAACTTCTTAGGCTGCTGTGGGTGGGCCAGGCTAGGTGGTAGAGTAGATTAGGGATTGGGACACAATATTCTCTTGCTTTAAACCCCACTAATTATACTACACTCCAGATTCGTTGCCACGCCCCTACATGACTGGGCTCCTGCTTCCCCTCTGACCTTATTTCCTCCTACTCCTCCAGGGTACTCAGCATCCCCTCACATCAAGACAGCCTTTATAGCTTCCGTATTAGTGAAGGCGACCCAAGCTGCTGCAACTGATACCACTCCCAGATTTCTGTGGCTTAGCCCGATAGTTGGTTTCTTGCTCACATTAAGAGTCCAGTGGGCTGCTCCAGTGGCAATCATGGGCATATCACAGCCTCATGGTGCTTCTCATTGTGATAAGCATGTTCTGGGGCTTCCTCAGCTTCTTGGTTCCCTGGTTCATCCCTAAGAGTCTTAGCAGAGTAGTTATCATCACCATATTGGTGACCTGTTCAGTTTGCTGCTCTTTTTTTTTTTTTTTTTTTTTTTGAGACAAGATCTCACTCTGTTGCCCAGGCTGCAGTGTAGTGGCACGATCTTGGCTCACTGCAGCCTCAACCTCCCAGGCCCAGGATCCTTCTCCCTCCTCAGCTTCCTGGGTAGCTGGGATGACAGGTGCATGCCACCATGCCTGGCTAATTTTTTGGTATTTTATGTAGAGATGGTGTTTCACCATGTTGTCCAGGCTGGTCTTGAACTCCTGGGCTCAAGCAGTCCTCCCACTTCTGCCTCACAAAGTGCTGAGATTACAGGCATGAGCCACTGCACCCAGCTACTGCTATCTCTTTTGGCTAGTTGCAATTCTTTTTCATTTCTGTCCTCTCTTTGGACCACAGTTGAAAAATGAAACCAGCTGGTATCTCAGGCATCATTGGCCTTGAGGAAGAAGACATGCTCTATAGTGCTAGTCATTGACGTTATGAGAAGAGAATTCCTTCTAGATGCAAAATCTCCTCCAAACTGAGACCTTCTTTCTTGACTTGCCTGTTTCGGACATCAGCTGCCTTAAACATTCACACCATATCTGAATATCTTATTCTACAATGCAGTATTTCTTCCTTCACTTTTTTTACACTTTGACTTACTATGTGCCTACCTAACCTAACTGTGCTGACTCCACAAAGCGTTTATGCACTCTCCTGAGAGAAGATGCTCTTCTGAGAATATTTTATTCTCTCCTTGGAATCTGTGGATTTGAAGATGGCTCTTGTCTTCTCCTAACATGGGAATCAGCGAAGCGTTTAAAAACTGCTGCAAGATAAACAAGATTCCAGTGGGGCAGTCAGTAGGAGGGCGCATTCAGAGAGAAGCTTTGTCACAACAGAATTACACCAAACTATTTTTTCAAGGTGAACTTCTTACCTCTTCCATCTCTTGGAATAAAATATTTTTCTGCTTCCAAAATAAAACAAATGCAAGTGTTCCTCCTCCGTGTGGTGATTCAGGGACCCAGAAGCCTTGCATTTGGTGGCTCTGCCATCTGCTGGGGTGCTGATCCTCTGTGCTCAGCTGGCTCAGGTGATGGCAGGGAGCAGAGACATGGGAAACAGAGGCATAGGGAGCAGAGGCATAGGGAGCAGAAGCACAGAAGACCACAAGGGGGGTTTTCTGGCCTGGAATTGAGGGTGGCCCTTCATAGAACCTAGTCATACGGCCACACCTAACTGCAAGGAAGGCTGGGGAATACACTGTAGCTGTGCACCCAGGATAAAGTACAAATATGTTTGGTGAACAGCTAGTTTGTTCCTGCTGCAGCCTTAAAAGCCTTTTCCTTTACCTCCACCAGGCCCGAGGGATGGGCAGCAGAATTAGCACCCCCATGTTGCAGATGCAGATGCAGAAACAAGGCTCAGAGAGGCTGTCCACCTTGCCTCTCCTCACCACCCACCAAGGTCACATAGTGAGTTGGTGTCAGAGACCATGTGTCCTGGCCTAGAGCCTGTGCTTCTTCAGCTAGAAACAGCCCGGTCACCCCACTCTGAGCATCCCCCACTGGCCTGGCCCTCCCCTAAGGCCCTTACCAATCTCCACCTTGTGTCAGAATTCACCAGGGACCTGGTGGTTCCTGGTCCAGGGGTGAGCTTCTGCAGGTTGAATGTACCTGCAGTACATGGAGTACATGTACCTGCAGTAAATATCTAGCTCAGTACATGGACTGGGGCCTGGTATGGGCACAGCACGGAAGACTGAGCAGGGAGAGGCTTGCTCAAACCTCAGAAGGGCTGAGAGGTGAATGCGAGGAAGATAAGAGTGAGTGGGTGACAAATGAACTTGTTGAGCAGTGACTGGGATGTCCACAGCACTCTCTGCTGCTGAAGTCTGCCTCTCCCCACCACCCACCATGCCCTGGCAGCATAAAATCCCAATTCCACCTCTGCCCTCATGATTGCATCCCTCCTCCTGTCCCATCTCCCACTGTGCTCCAGCCACAAGGGCCTGCTCAAGTGTTCCTGCCTGGGCTGAGGTCTTCTGTGGCCCCTCCAGGGGCACACTCACCTTCCTCCAACCTGCCCTGTGCCTGAGGCTGACCCGTGTGTCCTATCAGTGGGCTCTGTGGAGTCAGGCCTCCAGCTGGGTTTGGTCACTGTGAGGTACCCACAGAGAGAGAAGCAGTATGGGTCAGGGTCTTTATTCCCACGGTTCTCTCCTTATAGATGTCTTGGACTGGTTCCTCGATCAGAGGCCATCACTCCTCCCAAAGAAGCCGACTCTAAGTTCCAGCAATCACTCCTTCCCCTCTTCCCTTCAGGGTGATAACAGTTTTGCTGCTACTGGTCCAAGGCTACTGCCCTATTCCTTGTGTTCCTTTCACAATAGCCTCATTGTAAAGAATCTCTCCTTGAATTCTCCTTCCTTCCTTCCTTCCTTTCTTTCCTTTCTTCTTTTTCTTTTTTTCTTTTTTTTTGAGACAGAGTCTCACTCTATCACCCAGGATGGAATGCAGTGGCATGATCTCACTGTCACCTCTGCCTCCCGGGTTCAAGTGATTCTCACTCCTCAGCCTCCTAAGTAGCTGGGATTACAGGCACACACCACCACACCTGGCTAATATTTTTTGTTGAGACGGGGTTTCACCACGTTGACTAGGCTGGTCTTGAACTTTTGATCTCAGGCAATTTGCTTGCCTCGGCCTCCCAAAGTGCTGGGATTACAAGCGTGAGCCACCGCGCCTGGCCTGAATTCTCCTATCTGGAGTGTGCTCCTGTTTCCTGTTGGGATGCCGACCTGCACGCCTCATCTCAGGGCCTCCATACTTGCTGTTCCCAGTGCCCGGTGTGCTCTTCCCTCAGGTCTTTACATGGGCAACTACTTTTCAGCTTTAAGGTCTCAGCCTGACTAATGTTTTCTCAGAAAGACTTTCCCAGAGAGAGGGGTCACCTCTAGCCAAAGGTGTCCCCCTCACCCTGGTTGTTCTCAATCCCATAGCCCTAGATTAGTTTCTTCCTTGTATCTGTCAGTGTTTGCAATGTTTGTCTGGCTTTCTCCTCTGGAATGCAAGCTCCGTAAGAGCCGGGGTTTTTATCTGTCTTGTTTACTTCTGTATCCCCCAAGCCTAGGACACTGTCTAGCACACAGTAGGCACTTACTATAAATGTTTATTGAATTTGTAAATGAGACAGATTCAATATGCAAACCAGGGAGTAGCATAAATGAATGAATGAATGTATATATTGGCAAGTAACTCATCTGAATTAATGGATGAATGAATTGGGCAAATGTGTGACAAATGAATGAACACATTGACACAGACATGCACCTGGGGAGAATGCCATGTGAAGGCGAAGGCAGGGATTGGGGTGATGCCTCTACAAGCCCAGGACTCAGAAGATTGCCGGCAAGTCCCCAGAAGCTAGGGGAGAGGCATGGAACAGATTCTTCCTCACAGCCCTCAGAAGGAACCCACCATACCCATACCTGGATTGTGGGCTTCTAGCCTCCAAAACTGTGGGACAATCTGTTTCTGTTTGTGAAGCCACCCAGTCTGTATTACTTCTTATGGCAGCCCGAGCAAATGAATAAAGTATGTCTAGGCTTTAGGCTTCTAGAGCTTTAGAGGTGATGACCTACCATGTACAGGCTTTGGAGAGGCAGCACAGTGTGGTCGCAAGAGAGTGGGCTGGCAGCTGGGGACAGTCCCAGCTCTGCCACTGACTTGCTGGGCTAGTCTTCCTGCCTGTGAACTGAGGGGGTGGGACTGCAAGATTTCTAGGGTCCTTCCCAGCCCTGACTTTTCCTATTTGAGGAGCTGTGAAGAGGAGGCCAAGCAAGGTCAGGTGGCACAATCCAGGTCACCCAGAGGGTTAATCGGAAGTGGTCCCAGGAACAGCGTCTCGCCAATTGCATGATGATTGCTCCTTTGCCCGAGATGCCTCCCAGCAGAGTCTACAGCAAGCCTGACCTTCTCTGATCCTCTGTTCTCAGCCCCTGGGTGGCCTTGGTGCTGTGTGGGTCTGATAAGGCCCTGGCTATTTGGAAAGGTGGCTTCCTGCAGGAGGGAGTATGAGGAGGGCCCTGCTGGTGTCCTGCGAGTTCTTGCACTGCCTCCCTAGGCTGCCTGGATAGAAGGCAGAGGCCTGGGACCCACTGTGCAGTGGCACAATATGTCTTTGTCTGGCCAGGGCTTCTGGGGATCATGGAGGCTGATCACATATCCATTCTCCCCAGTATTTTCTTGGAGTCCCTGGCGGAAGGCTCGATGCTCTGGCTGGCCTGCTGACTTCCCTTCCTGCCTGATTCCAGGGCCTTCTTAGAACTAGCCTAGGGACTCAGGCTGGTCCACACCAAATGGATGGCAGCATTTAAAAACTAACAGTTTGCAGTTGTCAGGTTGTTGCTGAGTGGCCCTCTGACTCCCTTGCCTTTCAGTGTCTGAAACAGTGTATCCAAGGGAGGTCTACAGTGAGATGCTGCAAGTCTCTGTCCTCACAGGGCTACTGCGGTACGTCCAGTTGTCAGTTTCACGGAGCTGGAAGGGAGAGTAGAGATGCTGCTTGGCTGAATGGGAGGTACAAAGATTCAGTGTTTGAAAACATGGATCTTAAAAATGACAACCTGAGTATAGGGTGGTGAGGCCTGTTTCACAGTTTTTGCATGAAAAAATCTGGAAGTCATAGTGGCACCCAAGCTCAGTGCAAGATGACAATGCCAGAGTAAGGAAGCACAATTGAGGCTGACTTAATGATGCTTTGCAAGGAGGTAGCAAGTCTGTTGTCTCTGACTCATCTGATGAGCTCTTTACCCAACATAGAATTCTGGCTGCAAGCCTCCAGTGACCAACAGTTCTCTTTTGCTTGCTTGAAGTAGCTCTGTCAGAAAGTTCTTCTTTGTATTCTGCTTCCTTGTAATTTTATTCAGCAAGGTTTTCAAGTACATACTGGATGCCATACTGTTTTTCTCTGCGTTCTGTGATACTCATTAAGCTTATCTGCCCCACCTGTCCACTGAAAGTCTGTGATTTCTAGACAGTGACCCCATCTTTCATGCCTTGTCTTCTCTAGCAAAGACAGCCATTCCTCCTTCATCTGTTTTTCCCAGGACATGGCTTGGAGAACCTTTCCTTCTTGGTTGTGACTCACTTTATTATTCGTCCACTAACCCTTATCTTGAACTCCTTGTGGAGCCTGCTGAGACCGTCACCTCCCTTGCCCTGAGATGCCACTCCTATTGTGCAAACAGAGGTGGGAGGCCCAGGTACTATGAACTTCTAAGCCTCATTGACCAGAACTTTTAACCTTGGATGTTGCTTCAGCAATGGCTCATTGGTCCTTGCCTGAAGGGACTTGCATTAAGACACACACTGAATTAGAGAGCTGTGCTCCTCTTTCAGCCCCATCCTGGCTACAGCCTTTCCTCTCTTCTTCCTCCAGAAATGACCCTTTCCCTTGGCTCCCTGATTAGGGCTTTCCAATTTCAACCTATCTACACTGCAAAGGGTTAATAACTTGGAGTGCCCTAAAGCCCAGTTCAGAAAGTCTCTTTCTGGCTCTGGGACTCAGTTTCCCCATGTGTAAAGTGAGGGGGCCAGTCTGGCTCCTCTCTAAAGCCCTCTCCAGCCCTGATATCTGGTGTGCTGAGTGCATAATGTGGGCATTTCCGCTCTCATGACCCGGCAGTGGGACCGAGGTTTTGGTGGCGCCACTCACATCACACACGGCGGCGTAGGCCGCCCTGACTCTGCTGAAGCCTCCGCCAGGAAGCCGACGGGGAGAAAAGTCCTCCCCCGACCAGCCGTGGATTTCAGGGAGAGGCACCCACCCACCGGGAGAACAAACATTAGCATCCGTGTGGTCACCACTTGGAGGTGCACAGATGAGGGCTAATCAAAGGCAGGGAGAGGTGTGTTTTTGTCAGTGAATCCCCTTGGCTGGGGAGCAAATCTCCATTTTGGCAGGAGGGACTCTTACTTGATCAGGGCTGAGTTCTACGAGTGACTGTAAATTCTCAGTAAAACAGCCCCGTTGGGCCTAATTTCAACCACTTAACCCAGAGGTTGCATTCTTGAAGTGTTCTGCCAAATACATTCGTCTCCCGGCTCTGAGACCACAGCTCCTGAGCTCTTGCACGCAGCAGCTGCTTTACCGCCAGCCTTTCTGTTCTCACCTGCCTGCAAGACTTGGGATCCACTCCCCCCTCACTTCCCCCTTCTTTCTCACTCCCACGCGAGGGAGCCTCCCAGTGTGGCTTCTCGGCAAGTGTGGGTCTGAGCTGGCCACCCTGGCTCCTGTTGGTTTGAGACCAAACAGCCGGGCAATTGATCAAAACCTGGTCAGCATTGGAAACCCTATATAAATGCCTGGCTAATTCGGTCAGACACTAAATCAAGTTGGCCAAACAACAGCTGAAATGGGCAAGCACAGCCTAAACTACTGGTCAACTTGGTCAAACATCTGTCAGCTGGTCTGAACAGTGCCAAAACAACCTATCAAGTTAGCCTAAGTAAAGGGTACCTTCAAAACAATTGGGTCAAACTATAACAAAACTTCCACTTAGTTTGAATAACAAGTCAACGTGGTCAAGTCATACCAAAGCAATTGTTCAACTTAGTCAAACAACCAATCAGCTTGATCAAACAACTCTCAAACAACCTGTCTTTAGAATTAAACAAAGCCAAAACACCAAACCAACTCAACAACTAGCCATTAGGTCAAACCATACCAGAACAATGGGTCAGCTGGGTCAAATGATAGAAACACACCCGGCTGTTGTAAACAGCCAACTGATGGCCTCATACAATGTCAAAATATTTGGATTAATTCACTCAAACATCCAGTCATTTCCATCAAACCCAGTCAACACAGTTAATGAATGCCAAAACACCTACCCAACTTAAACAGCCAGTCAAATGGGTCCAACCGTGACAAAATAACTGGTCTACTTGGTGAAACCACCAATCACCACAGCTAAACAAGCAGTCAACCCAATCAAACTATGCAAAAGCAACAGGTCAAACTGGTCACCAAGCAGTAACAAAACACCCACTCCGTTCTGTCAAACAACCACTCAAGCAGGAGAGGCTGTGTCTAAACATTCAGTCAATTCCATGAAGAGCCAGTTGCCTCGATACTATGAAACCAAAACAACCACTTAACTTGGTTAAATTAATGATGAGGCTAAGTTCTTGGAGATGCGCCCTCTGCTCTGTCTGGCATTCTCAGGAGAGCATCACCAAAAGAGGTGGTCTATGCAGCAAAGTGAGCGGTTAACGTCTTTATCTTTCACCAAAACATCCATCAGTTCAGTCTTGCAACATCCAGGAAGAAATCAGACCTCTCGCTTCTCTGGGTAAATAAACTCTAACTTGGAGATTGAGTTTCTCAGGTCAGGGGAGAATGGTCATTGGCAGACAGGGAGAAGGTTTGAAAGAGCTAGTTCTATCCCTTCTCCCCAGACTGTACTGGGGAAGAAAAAAGTCTCCTCTGGTATCCCTGGTTGCAAAATATTTGGGATGGAGATGCTTTCTTCCAATGACCAGACCTTTGAGGGGTGAGCTGCTCAGAACCTGCAGCAAGTTAGTGGTGAGCTATGACCCATGTGTCGAGTTAGTTTCTCAGAGCTAAAGGCACTAATCCCACAGCACAAGTCTGGCTTCCAAAATCCAAGTCTTTCACTGGGACAGGAACTCCCTTCATCAAGTCCAGGAGCTCTGGTCCCCAGCAGAGCAAGACTGTTCAGAGGTTAATAGTGACAGTAACATAGTGAGCTCTCACTGTGTGCTAGGCACTGACCTAAGAAGCCTTTAACACACATCACATTTTATCTTTACAAAACCCAATGAGATTGGCAATGTTATTCCCCCATTTTCCAGGTGAGATTCATGGAGGCTCACAAAGATGAAGAAAGTTGTTTTAGGTTATGGAGTTGTTAAGTATCAGAGCCAGGATTTGAAACCAGCTCTAACTTAAGGAGCCAGCTGTACCTATGAAATCCTTATTGAAAAAAAGGATGAAGGAAGGAGTTGGCCTGAACTGCATCATACTGAAGGTGTAGGTGAGATGCTGCATAATGAACCTGTGTGTGTCTGAATGTGTGGCAGCTGCAAAAGAAGAGGTACTTCATCCCAGTGGAGACACAGGTGTAGACAGGTTGGAAGCCTGAATTTCAGTAACGCACAATCTCAGCTTACAGTCCACCCTGGTGCTAAGCCCTCTTGCCCAGGAATGCCAAATGGGCATTACTCATTACCCCAGAGGCCAGTGGGTCCTGGGGTACCCTGGACCTATAGGCAACCTTCAGGGCTGGCTTACTGGACAGGGGGCAGGTGACTTCCTGAGATCTGCTCAATCCTTGCCACTGAAATCCCTCTTGGCACCTGTACCTGGGCAGCAGATCTGAACCCATTATTGACCACAATTGACACCCTCCCTTCATTCAAGGGAAGAAAGTCATGTTGACTCACCTCCTTACGTTAGGCACAGACCATTTTATTGAACGTTAACGCAAATCACACGGGCAGGAAATGTCGTAAAGAGAAAAGTAATCTTCTGACGGAAAAATAAATTATCAGCCGTGTTCCGAAGGAAAAGAAACATTCTTAAATAATTTCTCTTGCTGTTGGTATTGGCTGGCAGTGTGGGCCAGCCAAGCAAATGGTAATTTCCAAATTAGATTATACATTATGTCATATTAGTTTTATATTAGAAAAACAAACGGGATCAGAGGAGAAGTGCCAAGGTTGGCGAGCTGTGCTTGCCACGTGACCAGCCGTGTTTCCACTGCAGAATGTTTAATGATTCCGGGAGAGGTGGAAGAGCAAACATTCAGACCGACGCGGGGGAGAGTTGAGGTTGGTTGCACAGAGGTAGGCTCTTCCAGGAGGGAAAGGACAGCTCCCAGGCTGGGCCCCTCTGAGTATGGGTACGCAACCAGGCTGGGGAGGCAGGGAGCACCCCCACAACAGTCTCGTTTTCTTTTCTCCAGGTATTTGGACCTTCCCTTGGAAAAGCTGGTCTGGGGCATGGGCTTTGGAGTCAGGGCACCATGGCCAGTCCATGTTCACAGGAGCAGCAGGTGGAGGTGCCCCATGTCAGTCCCAGAAGTCTGAGTGGGGCTATGTTGGTGGCCTACTTCCCTAGAGAGCTGCCCTTGGGCAGTGGGGGCAGATATCTGTCTCCCTAGTGTGCAGGGCCAGGGGAATGATAAGGAGGAGACTTTAAATGAGACTCATATTGCTAGCTCATGGTTTTTTTTTGTTTGTTTGTTTTTTGTTTTTTTTTTTTTTTTTTTTTTTTTGAGACAGAGTCTTGTTCTGTTGCCCAGGCTAGAGTGCAGTGGCATGATCTTGGCTCATTGCAGCCTCCACCTCCCAGGTTCAGGTGATTCGTGTGCCTCAGCTAGGATTACAGGTATGCGCTACCACACCAGCTAATTGTTGTATTTTTAGTACAGATGGGGTTTCACCATGTTGGCCAGGCTGGTTTTGAACTCCTGGCCTCAAGTGACTTGCCTACCTGGTTCTCCCAAAGTGCTGGGATTACAGGCGTGAGCCACCACACCCATCCAGCCAGCTCATCTTTGGTGAAGACTACTCCATGCCAGGCGATTTACCTGTACTTACTCCTCACGGCAATTCCACCAGACCATGTTACAGATAAGGAAATGGAGAGACAGAGAGGGCAAATAACTTGTCTGAGATCACATTATTGAGAACTGGCAGAGCCTGTGCATAAACCAAAGCTCCAAGGCTGAAATCTGCACCACCACAGCAAATGCCTGTGAGTGGGTGGGGAGTGAGGGATGATGAATGGCTGGTCAAGAGGGTTCTTGCAATTGCTGAGGCATCGGAGTCCTGACCTTTAAAGCCCCTTTCTCCCTAAGACTGTTGCTCAGACAGAAAACAGCACTTGTTTGTGTGTGAACTTGGGCAAATATCTTTTACCAAACTGTGAGCTTGTCAAGGACAGGGATCTTGTGAGATTATCTCTGAAAACTTTGTATCCAACTTGGATGTTGATATCACTTTTGATGGTTGCGTGGAGACAGGAGAAAGAAGAAATCTAGATGGTGAGAGCTAGAAAGGGCTCAGGGCCTCAGGAACCCGGGTCAGTGTTTGGCGTTTATAAATCTAGGTGACTCTGAAGAGTGCAGAGCTGCTCCCGGTCCCATGACAGGCATTGGCTAATCATTCACAGAGCCCCTGCCCGACAGATCTTCTGAAGTAGCCACTACTAATCAAAGTTGGCACTGAAAGGAAACTTATTTGCTACTATTGGCCTTGCCCACCCCCTAGTTGTAACTGAGAAAACCAATAGCAGAGATGGGGAGGCAGCTTGTTTGAAGTCACACTACCAGTCACAGACAGAGTCGGATCCCAAACCCACCTCCCAGAGCATACAATGGCGTTAAAAGAGAAGATTTAGGACAAATTAATTACCAAGTATCTGACAAGTGATAGCCTGTGGCCAGCTCTGGCTGCCTGGAGCCTGGAGGAAGAGAGAAAATAGAACCTGGGGACCAATCACACGGCACTGCAGGCTGGAAGTCCCATCACTTTGGGCAGTCCTGTCCTCAAACTCTTTTCCATATTTCTCAGTAGATCTGGGTTCTAGCTCCAGCTGGATTTTCCTTTGGTAGTCTATGTCCTCTCTCTGGACCTCAATTTGTTCATCTGTTAAATGGGGACAGGCATGGTGCTCAAGCTCTCTGAGATGTAAAATTCCTTCTGGCTCTAATATTCCAGGATTCTGTGGTCTCAGAATTCAGCCCAGACTGTCCCAACACTCAGCTTCTCCTTGGAGTGAGTCCATGGGAAACTACAGCAATTTTCTTGGACCACCAGTGGGAGAAGGAGGCATTCAGCAGGATTTCTGCCTAACTTCTGTCTGACACCCCTGGTGGCCTGGGGGGCTACTGCTGCTCCTGACTTACTTCCCTTTCCCCCTGGAGAGCCCAGCTCCTGGGGATGACCTGACCCGAAAACACATGCATTCACTCACCAAATACTCAGAATCCTTCCTCTAGGCCAGAACTCTTGCTGGGTGCTTGGGACCCCATCTTTGTCCTTGGAGGAGCTCACAGTCCAATGAGGGGGGCAGAAATGCATGGAGACCACCCAAATGCAGTCTGCACAGTAGGTAAGACCTGTGACTGGGATAGCGGGGAAGCCGTGGGAATGCAGGGGAGTCTTCCGGGGAAAAGTGGTGTCTGAGCTAGACTCTGAAGGATGAGGCAGAGTTCAGCAAAGAAGAGCAGGGGGTAGGGTCCATGCTGCAGGCAGAGGGAACAGCAGAAGCAAACGCCCAATTGTTGGAGGCGGAGTGAGTCACAGGTAGCTTGGTGGACTGGAGGACAGGACTGTGTGAGCAACAGGGGAGGTGAGCAGGGACAGGTATACCTTTGCTAAAAAATATTTATTGAGTGCATGCTAATTGTGAAAGACCTTGAATGACATTCCCAAATCCTGAATCATCTCCCTTCCTGGGCCCTGGCCTAAGTGTCTGTAACATTTGTAATGAGGATTTGTTTCTAAATTTAGTTAATTGCTGTTTGGCTTTTCCCATCTCATGGGAATAGCTCTACTAGAGGGAGTGGGCCAGGAAACTGGCCTCAAGACCAGGAATAGCAGCAGGGACATCATAGTCCAGGAGAGGAGAGATAGCAAGGGTGGCAGCCAAGGGCATGGCCTGGCCCCTTATGGTGTTTCCACCTGGCCTTTGCACTATCTTCTTGGCTGCCCATGTCTTCCTTGGGGCATGAGATCCAGCAGCCTCACTCTACAGCCTGGGGAGCATCCTGGGCTGGCTGGTGCATGTGGGGCAATTGAGTGCAGAGACTGGAGTGGAGTGGTTGAAGGAGCAGGAGGACAGAGAGGGCCCTTGGGGAAAGAGTTTTGTGAAGCAAAGTCCCAGAACAGGGAGGAAGTGGTGGTCTCAGCCAGGAGGCAGAGCCCTACAACCACAGGGCCCAGACCCTGGGAGAACTGAACCCGGGAGAAGCAAGAGGGAGCCATCATTAATTGCACAATAGTGTGCTATATGCTTTGCTTATATTATCTCACTAAAATGCCTCAATAACTTTGCAAGAAAGGGTTATTACTCCCATGTTGCATTTGGTTTTGATAGTACTAGTATAAACACAGAGAGGTTAAGTAACTTGCCCAAAGTGACACAGCCAGAAAATGTTGATGCTGAGGTCAGAACTCAGCCTGTCTGACTCCCAGTCACTTCTCTTTCCAGTGTGCCATGGTGGCCCATTGTGTTTCTTGCCTTTCTCCTTTCCTAGATCGGTGAACCTTCCTTCCTTCCTGTCTTTACATGGGCTTTTCTTTCTGTCTGGAGCACCATCTCTTTTATGCATATTCTTTACCTGATGATATTCTCATTTTCCAGGTCTGGTGCAGATGTCCTTTGTGAAAGGTCCTCTGACCCTTCCAGGTAGATTTTATTTTCTTCTTCCCTCCCTTATCCATCTATCATCACCCACCATCCATCTCTTTATGCCTTACCCATAAGGATTTCTGGCTGTCTAGGTAGAGTTCTTTGCTGCCTCCCCTGTGATCTCACAGCACTTTGAAAAACAAATGAGCACCCCAGTCAATTGCATATATTTATTTTTTGTACTTGTGTCTGTTGGCTCCACCAGCCTGGGAGCTCCCTGAGGGATGGCTGGGTCTGACTCTGTTTTGCCCCAGGCATTGCCCAGCACAGAGTCCACTTCCTGTTTTTTGCATTTGGTCTGTTTCTCAAAGAAGAGTTTTCAATATCTGCAATGATTTTGGGCTGAGACTGAGAGCATTTTTTTGATGCCAAGAGAGACATGTACAAATCACTACTGTTAGATGGGGAGAATTGAACTGGAGAAGTCACTAATAAGTGGATCCTTTCGCTTTCCCCAGGACCATAGGGTGATCCTAGAACTGTAGAGAATTGTGGACATTTCAGGGACTCCAGATTTGCCTCATTAGCCTGTGTTGCATAAACCATTGCTCAAGACTGGAGGAGACATGGAAACTCAGTGTGTCTCTGTGGGCTCACCAAGGGGATGCTGGAGCACGTGCCAGTTCTGGATGGGGATGGGTTGAGTATTAGTCAGTTTTTTTCTAGATTATGCTGTGGTAATAGACACACCATGGCATGCTCCAAATGGGGGCTTTACAATAACAAAAGTTTACTTCCTGCCCACATGATATTCTGCTTGCGGTGGCTGTGGGTTGACTGTGGCTCTGCTCCATGGGTCTTCTTTATTCCAGGAAGCAGCTGTCCCTATTTGGGACATGACATACTCAGGGCAGAGAGCAAAAGGCAAAATGGGTGAACCACACAATAGCTCTTAATGTCCCTTCCACTCATTTCGCTGGCCAAAGCAAGAGGTGTGGTGGGGTCCCATGTAAACTCTGCCCACAGGAGACCCTGCAAGCTACTTGGCAATGTAAATCCTCCTACAGGGGCAGGGAGCTGGGGTATGGATAATCAGGAGCAATAGCACATCAATCACAGGCAGTAACCATCATGTGGGCTCCAGCCAGCTCCCTCCACCAACCTCATGTGGCCCAGGCAGGTGCTTCCTGGCTTTAAGAACCTCTGGAGAAAAATGATGCCCAAATTGTATATAAAAGTGTTGCTCAGCCTGTGGGGGTTACACAGGAGTACAGAGAAAGCAGAGACAGGTGGAGTGAGCTGGTTGTGAAGACCTTTCCTCCCATCTTTGCCCAGCAAACTCCTACTCTTCCTCTGGGGTCCAATTCTAATGCCACCTCCTCTAAGAAGCCCTTGGGGATGGACCCTCCAAGCCAGGGTTGGTGCTCTTCCTCTGTGCTCCCACTGCCCCTTTGCTTTTCTCATTTCACAGCTACTCAAGTGTATGCGATGTCTGTTTTTGTGTCTGAATCCCCTGGGAGCAATGGTGTGCTGGAGTTGGCTCCTACCAGCTGTAAGAGTTGATGGTACACATCTTTTCCCAACTCTTTCTGTTCAGTGGTCATGTGTAGGTAGCTTGAAATTGACCATGGTGGGATATTTACATCACGGAAATCAGCAAATCCTACAGATAAAGAACATTTTCCTCCGGAAGTGCCAGTTGTTAAACAATTATTGTCAGCCATTGCCTTGGACTGTGGACAACATGAGGGCTGGACTGTGCCTTGCTCATCTCTGTCTTCCTGTTGAGTCTGATGGGGGTCTTGGGTGTTCCACAAGGAATGACTGAATGAGTGAGTGGGGGGATGAGGGAATGAAGTTTTGGAGATAATGGAGTAGAAAGTGAATGAATCCATGTCTGGCTGGATTTTGAGTTTCCATTGGGTCTGTCTGTCCTTCCTCCCAGGCCCTCCTCCTTCTCCCAGGCCCCTGGCTCTGAGCTCATTGCCTTAGGGTAGTTATGTGATAGGCAGGACACAGAAAGCCTGCAAGCCTTTCTGGCCTTTGTTCTGCAAATCTCTGAGCTTTTAAAATTGAGAGTGTTTACAGAGGAAGTAAAGGGGAGAAGGAGGATAAATGAGAGTACTTCTCAGAAACATAAAGGGGAGGAGGAGAGAGACAGGACCAGGTCTCTGTGTCCCAGGCAGCTTTGCTGGGGAGGTAACAAGAGCCCTGGGGGGAAGGGCTGTGGGTGCATCCAGGAGATGTTGCATTTTGGTGGCAGAGGCAGCCAGATATGCAGGATCAAGTGGGGGCTCCCAGGTATAAGCAACGTGAGTCAACTCTCAGGGACTAAGTGTCCTTCCCTGCCTGGGCCCCACATCTTAACATCATGTAAGATTCCAGAAATGTGGAATGACCCCAGAAACTTGGGGTAAGAAATTAAGTTACAGGAAACAAAGAAAGTGATGTTTCTATCTTGCTCCTATGCGGGTTCCCATGATTGAGACCTGGGATTTATACTGCCACTCATGAATAATTTAGATCAGAGGTTGGCAAACATTTTCTGTGAAGGGGCATATAGTAAATATTCTCAGCTCTGCAGGCCATATGGTCTCTGTCACAATTATTCAACTCTGCCATTGTAGTGCAAAAGCAGCCACAGACAATACGGAAATATGAATGAGTGTGGCTGTGTTCCAGTGAAACTTTGTTTATGGACACTGAAATTTGAATTTCATATAATTTTCATATGTCTCAAAATCTTCTTTTTTTAATTTCCCCCCCAAACATTTACAAATGTAAAGAGCAGTCTTAGCTCACAGGCAGTGGCCAGATCTGGCCCAGGGGCCATACGGTTTGCTGAAACCCTGATGGAGAGGACTGTGTGAGTGAGCAAATGTGCGCATCGGTCAACAAGGCAGCAGGGCACTAGTGCCTGGCAGAGGGGGCAGGAGAGCACCCTCACCTGAAGGAATAGTGAGAACCTGTCTGGAGCGAGGACACCCCCTCCTTTTTCCCTCTGCACCCTGCACCCCCACCCAGCCCTGCTATTGGCTCCCTGGGCCCTTATGCCATCTGTGGCTATCCAAGGTGCCTGCCTGTAAGAGCTGGGCCTTCGGTGGGAGGATAGCTGGGCAGCTGGACCCAGCAAGCTGGGGGGGCCAGCCGTGTTCAGTCTCCGGGAAATGAGTGTGGACACAGCGCAGGCCCAGTGGGGCTGCCCACCCTGGAATGCCTGGATCAGGTTCCCGGTGGCGTCTGAGCTCTGTAAACACAGTGGCTGGACAGGCCACCTCTCTGACGTCCATTGAAGGCAGCTCTGCCCAGGAGGAAAGCAGGATTGGGTCTGACAATTTGACATAAGCCACAGGGCAGTGTCCAGAGGCTGGGGAAGCCCAGCGACCCCCCTCCCCAATGTCTCCATGCTTGCTTGAGTGGCAGCTGCTCCCAATTACCATCCTCTGTAGAGCCAGGGGTCTTCGGAGTGGGAAGCCCCTCAGAGATCTAGGCTGCCTCTTCTGACAAAGGTGAAGAAACTGAGGCCCAGAAAGGAGCAGACACTTGTTAATTGCTGCAAGACTAGAGCTAGAAGCTTGGTCTCTGGCCTCCCACAACAGGGCTCTGGAAGATCTGAAGAAGATCCTTGGATGGCAGCTGGGAACTTGCCTCTCAACCTTCAGCTGCCCCTGGTAGGGGATTCCTTTGGACCCGTCAAGGAGCACTGGTGCGGGAGTCACTCACAGCCAAACCACACACAATGTCAAGTGTGAACACTTAGATGAATGGACATAGAGATCACAGTTGATGAACACCCACTAAGCACCAGGCTGTTAAATGCATAATATAGGCCAGCCATCTCTTGTGCCTTTTGTGGCCAGGCTGCTATTCACGTGGGAACACACTCATGGTAAATGCAGGCACATGCACACTGACATGTGCACACAATCACAGAGATGCATGGCCACGACCACTATTAGTACAGCCCCTTGTTAACATGCACATCAGCAACTGTGTCTGTCCGTGTATGCTCTTGTCAGGGACACATACATGCTCACTTGTGCACATGTATGCACACACACACCCCACACTCTCTCACACTTTTCCACTGGCAGCTCTGGCAGGTGTGCTGCCACTTGGACTTGAGATTAACAGTTCTCTCTGGGGTCTCTAGACTTTCACCTTTTTGTTCCTGATATATTTCAAAGTTCTACTGAAAAGTTTGAGGACAGGGGCTGAGGGAGGGGGCTGAGAATGGCAAAGCATTCGGCAAATGGGATAGCAAAGCAAGCAATTTAGAAAATTCTTGTCATTTTGAGCTCTTCCCAGAGATGCTCACGGGAGCCATAAAGATGCTCATGGCACCGGGCCTGCCGATGTCCAGCCTTGGGCTGGTCTCACTGCTGAGGAGCAGGCCTCCAGCTTCCTCAGGCCCAGCCTAGTCTCTTCATTGACACCAAGCCCACCACCCTCTGGTTGCTCCACCCTCCACTGAGAGTCCTGCTGGAGAGGGCTGTGCACACTCAACCCACTCTTCCCCAGACCAGGCTGCCCGGCTGCACACAACCTGCTGTAGGTTGATATGATGCAGCTAACGCTGAGAGCCAGGCACCATTTAGAGTGCTTTATATAGATTGGCTCATTGTCACAACAAACCTGTGTGTTACAAGGCCGGGCACGGTGGCTCACACCTGTAATCCCAGCACTTTGGGAGGCCGAGGCAGGTGGATCACAAGGTTAGGAGTCTGAGACCAGCCTGCCCAACATGGCGAAATCCTGTCTCTACTAAAAATACAAAAAATTAGCTGGGCATGGTGGCGGGCACCTGTAATCCCAGCTACTCGGGAGGCTGAGGCAGGATAATCACTTGAACCCAGGAGGTGGAGGTTGCAGTGAGCAGAGATCGATCTGCGCCACTGCACTCTAGCCTGGGCGACAGAGCGAGACTCTGTCTCAAAAACAAAAACAAAAACAAAAAACAAAAACAAAAAACCTGTGTGTTACAGACTATAGCTACATCCATCCTGCGGACAAAGAAACAGAGGCACAGAGAGGGAAAGCAACTGATCCTGAACCACAGGAAATAGAATAGCCAGGATTCACGTCTTAGCAATCTAGCTCACCCTCTTAATGGGTGGTAACAGTCACCATCTTAATCACTCTGTAGTGCCACCTGTTAGGACACAGGTCAGGTTAACTCCAAGAGGTTCCAGGACTTCAAGACCCCAGGGAGGACTGGGAGGAGGAGATTTGTACATCTTATGGGCACAAAGTGTGCCATGCCCTACTTTGTGCATGCCCTGTCCTGGGAGGGCCCATTGGCCTTGCCGCCATCAGATTCCACCCCTCAGGCTCTTTACACTGCAACAAGTGGATCCCTCTTCTAGCCCAGATATGGTCCTGCTAGCTCAACACCTCTGGACTGATGCAGTTTCCTTTAGGGTCCGTATTACAAGAGTTCCCACTGGATATAGCTAGGGCTAGAAGTGAGAATGCTGCACTGACAGGGCTGGGCTGTGCAGTCACCTGAGGTTGAATGTACAAAGGGGGACACAGTTCCCAAACCCATTCTTTCCTGCCCTGGGTCTTCTTCTCCCACTTGCATGTCTCATGCATGGTTTAAACTTCCCCACCTCCTACATTATGCTTATACTGTACACTCTCCATTACCTCCTCCAGCCTTCAAAGCTCACAATTGCCAACTCTTCTGGGAGCCTTCCTAGATCACACAGCTGGTATTGGCAGTCTCTGCAGGTCCCTTTTGCTCTGTGTCTGTGTCTTTATATAACCCCTCAGCCTGCCTTGGGTTGGATAGTTGCAACTGATTCTGTAGGTGCTTATTGAGTGCTGCCTATGTGCTAGGCGCTGGAAATACAGCTGTGAGCAAGACAGACATAGTCTGTACTTTCACGGAACTTCCAATCCTTCTTTGCTACTGGAATTAGGGGCTCTTCCACCAACTGGACCTTCTTAAATTTATTAATTTCATTCCCAGTGCCTGACACAGAAATAGCACGGAATAGGTGCTTAATGCATGTTTGAAGGATGGAATTTGTAATCTTGGTTCTTTATGATGCTTTAAAATTAATTTAAAAATAAATCAATTAATTTAAAAATTCAATCTGATTTACCATTCTAATTCAATTTGTTCTGGGAGGAGAGGGGTCCCCCAAGGGGCAGGGTGCAGGCTTGGGACCAGTCCTAGGCTGGTGGGGTGGGCGGGGATGGCCATCCTGTGGTGGTTGTGGCAGCAGCTGCAGAAGTGGACACATCTTTGTCTCTAGCCTTGGCCTGGCTGCCTGCCCACCCTCCCGCCTGCCATCCACATGGTGGAAATACTGACGAACAAGGCCCTTCCTGTCTTCCTCTCTTTCCCCCTTTTCTAAAAATAAGCTGGAACCTTCCCCTCATCTGCCCCCAATTTTCTCCTGCTTGACCCCGACGACCTCATACCCTCAGATGAGGCCACATGTGTGCCCACTGCTGGACAGATGGGCTGACCCCGCAGTGCAGATGGTGGGAGTGAGGAGCCCGCCCTGGCCTCTGCCCCAACCCAGCCGGCCCCTCCAGCTATGCCCTTCCTGGGAACAAAGCACTGGGCCAGCCCCTGGACTGCTGGTGGGATGGGAGAGAACTTGTTTGTAACAAAAATCTCCACCCGGGTTTTATGAACTGTCATGATAATAATAATCGCCCACATTTGTATACAAAGCACTTTCACATCCGTTATCTCCTTTAGTCCATGCAGTAACTCTTTGAGATTGGTATTATTGATAATGCCCGGAATGAACACATTAGGAAACCAGAGAGGTTCATTTACTTCGCTAAGGTTGCATAGCTAGGAAAGAACAGCACCAGGATTCAAATCTATATTTCTCAGATTCAAAATTCTGCCCCTTTACACTCTCTCTCCTGTTTGCCAATGTCTGAAATAGGCAGTGGTTTTGCAACTTTGTGCAGAGAGATTTTTTTTTTTTTTTTGAGACAGGGTCTCCCTCTGTCGCCCAGGCTTGAGTGCAGTGGTGCAATCTCTGCTCACTGTAACCTCCACCTCCCAGTCTCATGTGATCCCCCCACTTCAGCCTCTCAAGTAGCTGGGACTACAAGCATAAGCCACCACACCTGGCTACTTTTTTTTTGTTTGTTTAATAGACGGGGTTTTGCCATGTTGCCCAGGCTGGTCTTAAACTCCCGAGCTCAAGCTATCTGCCTGCTTCAGCCTCCGAAAGTGCTGGGATTACAGGCATGAGCCATCATGCCCGGCCCAGATATCTTCATATCATTCTTTTAGTTGCTATTTGTTGAGTTGGTATTAGTCACCTACTTGTGTGTCAAGCACTGTGCTGGGAGCTCCACCCTGACCCCAAGAGGAAGGAATTATTAAACTCACTTGGAGGAGGAGGAAGCTGAGACTCAGAGATGGAATGCGACTTGCCAAGGTCGTTCCGCGGTGAGACTGGGGCTTCAGTGTTTGGACTGAGGGCTGCCTGACTCCAGAGTTTTTTCTCTGCAAAACAACTCACAACAGTTGGCATCATGTGCTACCTTTTCTTGTTAAGTAATTATTAATAATTTGACAGAACATCTTTTGAGTGTCTGCTCTGTGTCAAGCATATGGACACAGGGATGAGCGAGACCCACACAACCTGCCCTAGTGGGCTTTATGAATTAGTGGAAGATGGACATGTAAATGGCAATTATGGTGCAGAGTGATAAACCATTATTAGCCATAATAGTAAGCTTTGCACAGTGCTTATTGCTCACTGAGGGCCCTCAAGGGAAATCTGGCCATTTCCATGTGATGCTGAAAACGGTCTGCTGGCCTCCCTGTGGCTGCAGCTTCATGTCTGAGCCTCCTGGCCTGGCATCCCAGGCCGTGGTGATGTGGTAGAGCCCACCTCTCCATCTTTGTCCCCTCCTGGCACCCTACCTCACTTTGTGCTCCAGCACCACCTAACTGCTAGAGGTACCTCACACACTGGGAGTTTCTCACCTTGGCTGCTTTATCCTGCTTGGCGTCTGCTGGAAATACCTCCTATCTCAGGCCCCACTTTCTCCTGGTTAACTCTTACCCTGCAAAACTCAGCTCAGATGGTACCGCCTGCCCAGGATACATGCGGTGGTTGGAAGGGGGGGATTTTCCTCTAATTGGAGATGTTTGAGCCAAGGATGGATGATCAGGGCAAAGAGACAAGTCATCTAATTTCTATGAGTTTCAGTTTCCTTTTCTGTGAAGTGGGCTCAAGAATAGGACTTAACTACAGGAAGATAAGGGGATTGCTAGAGGGAAGCACAGTAGCCTGTGGGAGCAAAGTGGAGTGTAACCCAGCCTGTGGGGTCAGGAAAGCTTCCTGGAGGACTCAACACCAAGGAGAAGCCTCAGATGGTATTAACGGCTAACACGTAATTGTGCTTCTTATGTGTGGGGTGCTGCTCTAAGCCCTTTGTGTATGTTAAATCATTTAATCTTTGTGACAACTCTGTGAGGCAAGTGCACCTCATTACACATCAGGAAATTGAGGCACAGGGAGATTAGGGGACCTGCTTAAGGCCACGCAGATAAGAAGGGGCAAAGCCTAAATTCTAACCCAGGCTCTTGGCTCCAGCATCCATGCTCTAGCCACTTACCTACTAAGGAAGGGGAAGAGCAGCGGGGGTGGAACCTAGAGCGCAGCACCAGGGCCATGCTTGTCGTTCCCACACCCTCTCCCCTGCCCCTGCCTCCCAGCCTCCATGCTGGAGTGGGGTCCTGGATGAAGAGTCAGTGGGGTTGTTCTCCTGACTGGGCCCTGGGCCCTCGGATTCATTTCTGCCTGGAAGCCAAGGGGCATCACTCAGTTGGTGAGGAGCTATGACAGAAATGACTCTCTTCTTCCTCCCATTTGCAGGGGCTTTTCATGCCTTTCAAAGCACTTTTCCTGTCTGTGATCTAAGCCTATTTTTACTAATAGAGAAAGAGGCCAAGACAAATCAAATGATCCCAGGACCCTTACCACAAAGTCATGATGGGTTTCCTCCCTCCCTCCCTCCTTCTCTCCTTCTTCCCTCCCTCCCTCCATCTCTCCCTCCTTCTCTTCTTTTCCTCTCATTTTCCTTTCCTTTTCTCTTGCCATAACTATTTATGTGGAGGAGGAGGGGAATAAGAGAATGAAATACGTAGGGGTTATAGAGTGGGAAGAGTACTGGACAGGAGTCAGAAGCCTTGATTTTTGGTCCTGGATTTGCCATTAATTTACCATATGACCTTAACAAGTCACTTTTTTCATCTTGATAACTTGGGGTAGGGGGCTGTCACATTCATTCTTTTATTTGACAGAATTGTTGTAAGAATCAGTTCAATAATATTTGTTCTTACATCTGGCCATCTATCCATCCATCTGTCCATCCATCCATCCATCCACCCATCCATCCATCCATCCATCCATTCATCCATCTGCTCATCCATCTACTCACTTATCCAACCATTCATCTGCCCACCCACTCATTTATCCATCCACCCATCTATGTCATCATCTATCTACTTATCATCCACCCACTGCCTCATTTACCATCCCTTTCACCTATCTACCACTCATCCATCCACCCACGCGTCCATCATCCATCCATCCCCTGGGTCCCTGCTCTGTACCATGCACCATAAGAGAAGGGCTGTAACTGCCATCTCCCCAAGGTGATTTCCTAGCTTCTCTTGTGGAATCTGAAGGCCCATTCCTACTTTTTTCTTGGAAGAAATGTCTGTGCCTCCAGTGTCACACTCACCAGATACCTTTTGTCACAATCAGTCCTTAAACAGACTGGGAGGTCCTGAAGGGCAAGGACTGAGGTTGATTCAGCTCACTGTCCCCAGTCTTGTCCAGCCCTCACCCTATATAAGCATCAATGACTGTTCTCTGAGTTCATGTCTGTTGAGCCCCTCCCACCGCCCCCATCCTAATTCATGCTCAGCTTTCGACGATAGTGTGAATTAGAGTGAGGGACCTGGAGTCAGATGGCAAACAGTTGCCTCGATGTCCTTTTCTCTTGGGAACCTTAGTCTTACTGTTTTTAGAGAAACATTCTTACCCTCTTTCTTCAGAGATCCAGAGAGGCTGAGTCCAAGTCAGGCTTACACAGCAAGCCAGTGAGAGACTTGGAATTGAAGCCCGGTCTTCTCATGCTAATGAGCAATCCCCACAGCCTCACTCATTCAGATGCTGCCCATGGAGACCTGCCACATGAGCTGCCAGGAGTGGGAGGCAGCTCTGAATCCCTAATCTTCCTCTCCATCTTGCTGGCCCTGGACCTGCCCCGTCAGCCCAAGCAGCCCTGTGGTACCAAGACCTGCTGGCTGCCCTGGCAAGACGTGGGGCTGGATCGGGATTGGAAGGCTAAGGGTTTGTTATTTTCGGGCTCAGGCCTGCTCCAGAGCTGCCAGGCCTCTGCTGCCTGGTGAGGACAACCCAGACTTTCCTGGTTCTGTCCAGCTGTGGCAGTCCCCAGGACCACGCTGAGTGACAGGGGTCAGGCCTCCCCCGGTGCCTGTGATGTGTCATTGGTAGCTGTGAGCTGGCCCCCCAGCTTCTCTGCTCCCAGAGGCCAGTCTCCTTAGGGAACGTGCACTTGATGGGCGGGCTGTAAACGAGCTGTCAGCAGAGGTGGTCTCGCCCCTCCCTCTCCTCCCTCCTGCCCTCCCTCCCTCAGAGTCTCAGAGCTCTCAGCCACATTGGAAGAATTAGGGGGCGGCTGGTCCAGGGAGGTGGCTGGTTCTCATGGTGGGGAGCGTGCATAAGTCCTAACACATTGGCACTGCGTGTGTGTGCTGGCCGCAGGAAGAGGGCCCTGGCTGTGTGGACGCCGTCCTGGGGGGCTTGGTAGGCAGGGCCTTCCCAGAAAGCCTTTCTCCCCAACTGGCCTCAGGACCTTTCTGGACCAGGGAGATGCCTCCAGTATTTTTCTGTTTGCATTCGTTATAGATTCTGCTCATCTTGTGTGGAAAAGATCCAGCCTGGGGCCTGGCTCTTGGGTCCTGGGTCAGCAAGATCTGCTGATGTGTGGCCTTGCGGGAGCCCTTTCCTTTCCATCTCTTTGTGGGGCTTCTATGGTCGCTAAGAGCTGTTGAGCTGACAATCTGGGATGCGGATCTACATTGTTTAGGAAGTGCTCACATCTACTCTCTTTACCCTCCACAACAATCCTGCAGAGTTGGTACTCTCAGACCCACTTACAGATAGGAAGATGGAGTCTCAGAGAGGGCAAGGCACATGGCCAGAGTCACATGGCCAGAAAATGGCAGAGCTGGGATGGAAACCAGTTTGTCATATTACAAAGTCCATGCTTTTTAACTTCTCTGTGTCCTTCCTGAAATCTGATGTTTTATAGGTCTCGAATGCCTGCTGTATACCCAACCCCGTGACGCTGTGGACTAGGTGGGGGCTGTGGCTCCTGCCCTCATTGAACAGGGAGCCCAGGTCCAAGGGCACAGACAGTGTCACCAAGGTTGGGGTCTCCTGTGTCTATAGGAGTGGTCAAGATGGCCAGGGCTACTGGAGTGGGCACAGCCAGCACCCCTGACTGACACTGCCAGGGGGCTGGAGGGGGCGCCAGCTGAGAACCCCAGGGACGGTGCTGAAAGGGAAGGGGGTTATATAGATGTTCCTACCCCTGCTGCCTCCCTCCCATTTTTGTGATAATTCAACAAGGCCTCCACTCCTCTCTTTATATCATTAAGAAGTCATAGTAGCTAAAGATGTACAGGGTGCTTGCTACTTGCTGTGTGCTGCATGAAGCCTTTTAGACGCATGCTGTGATTGAAACCTCACAACTACACTGTGGATGAGGTCCTATTATTATTCACATTTTAGAAATGAGAGAACAGACTCTGGGGCAGAGCTTCTGGCTCCAAGTCTTATGGTGCTAAGTAGCAGGGCAGGGATTTTATTTGACCCCAGGTCTGTGTGGGACCGTGCTACTCTCTCAACACAGGGCCACTTCCTGAGGAGGCAGCAGGAGCAGGAGCCGCCACCAGCCCTTCCCAGCCCAGCTTAGACCGGAAGCAATTAGATGGGCTTTGTGAGGCCTGGAAGGAACTTGGGCCAGGGGATCAGGGCACCCCTGGACCTTTCTCTGGTTCTCAGTCTGCTTCTCCATCAAATGGGGTAGCTTCCTTCTTCCCCCGGCCTCTGGAGTTTCCTGGGAGATATGGGTGGGCTTGAGGTGTCGAGAGTCTGCTCCAAGATGAAATGTGGCTGGAGATTCTGGAGTCCGGACCATCGGGAAGAGGCAAGACTGTCCCAGTCTGGGGGGCCGTGCGTCCTTTGGTGGCTCTATGAGCATCCAGCGCTCACCTCGCCGACCGCCAGGGCTGGAACTGGCAACACATGGATTTGATTGGGAAATCCGTGTGGGGGGTCTGAGGTGGGGGGTGGAACAGCTGATCAGCCTAAAAATAGCAGAGCCTGGAATTCTGGGGGTGCCCCATTCCAAATTTGGAAGTGGCCTGTAATGTTCTCTGTATCGGGCACCCTACGTGGGTGGCTTTTTGACGACTTGGGCAAGCACTATTATGGCAGCCGCACTGGGACAGGGAAGGTCTGGGCTCTGGTCCTGGCACAGCCTCTCCCTGGCTGAGTGACCTGGGCAGAGAAGGCCCATACCTTCTCTGGATGTCTGCCATTCGCCTTGCCCCAGCTGCTTGATAATTTCTGCCCTGGTCTTCTGGCAAGGTGGTTAGAGAGATGCATTTGGATAAATGTAAACTGTGAAGTGTTGCATATACATTTGTGGTCACCGGAAAAAGGGAAGGCACCCTGGGAGGGAAGATTTTATTACAGTGTCCAGGTATAGCTTCCAATGCCTTCCCGTCACTCCCAGCCTATTCTCTTAGATGTTTCCTGTTGCTTCTTCATAGAAAACGCTTCCTTTGCTGGAGCTAAAATCAGAATGGCACCCCCGTGGAACTGGCTGTGCTGACAGGTACCAAACTTTCTGTCACTGGAGGCATTCAAGACATAGGCAGACAATACCTGGCAGGGATATCATTTATGGTTTAGACTAGATGCTGATGAACTTCCTCTGACCCTCAGAACCTGATCTTCTGTCCATGGGGGCTACACTCTACCTATTATATCTGACTTGGGAGTGTCCTGCTCAGATCTGGGGCAGACCCACTACCCTAGGGCCCCCTGCACTGATGGAGACTAAAGGACTTCAGCACCCTCACTGCCCATCAGTGTTCATGGGTCCAGTCTTCACCACACCTGAGCCTCCTCTTCTGGACATACTCCAATGCTTTTGTTATGTAACCCCCAGGACATCAGTTTCCCCTGCAGAATGGAGATGTTAACGCCAGGCATTCCAGCTTCGCAGAACTGCGTAGGGACAAGATGACATCATCTCGCAGGCACCTCAGAAACCACCAAATTCCCCTTCACTGACTTTGCTCTGGAGGATAGGCTGAGGTCTGGGGAGCAAGGTTCTGCTTAAGGTCGTATATGAAACACCGGCCGACCCAGCCCTTAAATCCTGGTTTCTCAGTCTACAGTCCTGTACTTGGAGCACACTCATGTACTGAGGGGTCTCACATCATGACGAACCCCAGTTTGAGTCTTGCTAGTCACTGGCTGTGTGGTTGGGGCAAGTCATGTCACTTCTTTGTGCTTTGGTTTTCCTATCTGGGCACTATAATGTCCCCTTAGGGAGCTGCAGAGCGGATTGGATGAGACAGCATGTGGGAGGAGGCCAGGCTCTAAGAAATCAGGCTGTGGAAGCAGCATGGGGCTGGCAGTTTGGAAATGCCCCTGAGCTAAGAGACAAGAAGGTAGAGGGGACTAGATAGCAGCAGAGCATCTTGAAGGAGTTGGGGTAGGGAAGACAGAGGTTACAGGAAATGGCAGACATTTTTTGTTGAATTAAACCATTAGGGGTGACCCCCAAGGGGTAGGGAAGGAGTCTTGTCTTCAGAGGATCTCCTTGTTAAGGTCTGACTCATCCTGCAGTCCTTCCTGAGCCACTAGCAGAGCTGGCTTCTCCTCCCGGGCTTCCTTGAATTTTGTGATACCTGCTGACAGAAAAGCTTTTCAACACCATAGGGGAGATGAACAAACTTGGGTTTGAAAGCCTTACTAACTGTTTGACCTTGGGGGAGTCACTCATGAAGGCTTAGTTTTCTCAGTTGTAAAATGGGCACTAATAGTGTCAACCACATGACTATGCTGTGAAAATGAAGTAGCTTAATATTGAGAATGTGTATAAACAAATGGAGCCATTGTTGTGATGACAATGATGACATCCGGTTATTCACTCACTCATTCATTCAAAAACCCCACAATGCATTCATTCTCTGAGTTCTTGATGGACGCTAGAGACACCACAGGGGTCAAACACTCCCTGACTCTCAGGAGCTCAGAATCTAAGTGATCAGTGTGCAAACCCACAATTCCAACTCAAATATAGTGCAAGTTCCTGGGGTTGGGGGGTAAGGGAGATAATCCTATCAGGTCCAGAGGACACACAGGAGACCCCAGGCTGCCAGCAGTCAGGGAAGGCTTCACAGAGAAGGAAACACTTAAGCCGAGAGTTGAAGGAGAAGCTGACTTCGCTCAGGTGGACAAGCTAGGAAAGACACCCCAGGCGAAGAGCACAGCATCTTCCACACCCAGAGGCAGGAAAAATAATGGGGACCCCTAAGCAGATTGGGGTGGTTGGAGCATAGAGTAGCATCCTGCACCCAAGACCCCACTAGGGTCTTAGGACCATCTCCTCACCCAAGTGGCCGTGGAGAGTCACAGCCAGAAGGACCCTACAGGAGGGCTGTGTTTTGATGACGATGATGATGATGATGATGATGATGATGATGATGATGATGTGAAAATGACTTGTTGCTGGCAGCACTGTCTAGGCCCCGCTTCCTGAAGAGTGCTGCTTGCAGTTGGCTCGCAAATGCTCCCATAGGTTGGAGGTGCACAGGCAGTAGGAAATGGAGGCACTCAGTGCTCTTGGTAAATAGGAAAGAGCTCTGCAACAAGAATGCCCATCCAGGAGGGCCCTGAGGCTGCTGAGTTCCCCCCGTGGGGCTGTATCCACCACTATGTCCCCTGGACCTAGCACAAGGTGGCATCAGTACTGTGAAGTGAGGGGGACCTTCAGAGAGGGACAGGGTCACACAGTCATCCCCACCGGCCTGCTCCTGCTGGCCTTTTCCGTCCCATCCATCTGGTTAGGCCGCTGCTGCCACTCCCCTGACAACCTGGTGGACAGCATCCTCACACAGGAGAGCTGGTAGGCTAGGCTGGCGGTCCCCACTGCCCTCCCCAGCTTCTGACCCACTCCCTTCACCCACCCTAGCTCCCGGGATTGTCCGTGGGCAAGCGGCAACCTTCCAAGGAGCCTTCAAAGCCATCCTTGTCTTCTTGACGAAAGGCATCTGGGGCCTGCCAACCCCTCCTCTGCCTGAGAGGGAAACACAATACGCCGATAATGATCTAATATTTATACAACGCCTTTCTACCAGATGCATCCCAACAAAGTTTACAAGCTGTCCCTGCTGACGGCGCAATGTATTCCAGATCCTCTCCAGCCCCTGCCCCACCCTCGCCCTGCGGCCCCCACTCCCTCTTGGGCCTAAATGCCAGCAGAGGCTCATAAATCCACCTGAGGGATAGGAGAGCCCAGCTGGCCTGAGGGACCGGCCCTTCTCTGACCCTCTCAGGCACTGCCCTGCAGGGGCATCATTTATGCTCATGACTGGGGGAAAAAAAGCCGGCCCGAGGAGGGGCAGGGCCGCACTCGGGTTTTGAAGTGTGGCCAAAGCTCACAGCACCCAGCGAGCCTCTCCCCTAGCCCTCCACAGCCTCAGACCCGTGGGAGGGACAGAGGGAGGGCCCGGCTGGCGGGGCACAAATGTTCCTCCCAGTCACTTCCTCTGCAGCCGGCTCCATGAATGAGGATTTGTGTTCCTTCCCTCCCCATAAATTGCCCTTGGTCACCAGGGCCATGTTCTGTGTCAGAGTCCCTGACCACCAGTCTTGGACAAAACTTGCTTTGTGAAGTCCGGGTGGAAGACAAACAAATGATTATTACCTTCATTTATCCCCTCCCCCCACCTTTTTTTCTTGGCCTGGGGTTAAGACCTTTTTTCTCTGTCAACAATCTTGACTTTGTTCCCCGAGAAGGAAACAGCTCTGGGAGCGACTTGCAGAGATGCTGCTTGCAAGAAAACCGTTTGGGAGGAGGGTGAAAAAAGACAGAGGTTACAGGAAATGGCAGACATTTTTTGTTGAATTAAACCATTAGGAGTGACCCCCAAACCAGAGCCAGGCAGAGGGAACAACTGGATACATTTAGGTCAGGACAAGCAGCCAAGTGAGGAGCTGAAACCAATTACCATAAATGAATGTTTCTCTTTTATTCACGACCACCGTGCCTGTTCCCAGGATGCTCTTGGGCGTCTTATAAAAACAGATGAACTCTCTGGTTTTGTTCGGGGAGTTATTAGCTAATGCAACTGTTGGGCAATTTATCAAACATTAGCACATGCTGTGATTAATGACCAAGAGAAGTCGTCACCGGCTGGTCCAAAGCCGTAGAGGCTGCCTGGACTTCAGGGCTTAGGGTAGGGTCTTCTCCTTGGTAAGAACTTTATTTAGGAAGTTGTTTCCCTAAAAGTAACAGCCATCCTCAAGTCCACCCCCTGTGTAGGGTTCTTCTGGTCATGACCCACTTAGGTGAGGAGATGGTCCTAAGATGCTGGTGGGGTATTGGGTCCAGGATGCTGCTCTGTGCTTTGGCCACCCCAATTGGCTTAGGGGTCCCTATTGTCTTTCCTGCCTCTGGGTGTGGCAGATACTGTGCTCTTGGCCTGGGGTGTCTTTCCCAGCTTGTCCACCTGAGCAAAATCAGCTCCTCCTTCAGCTCTCAGCTCAAATGTTTCCTTCCCTGACTCCTGGCAGCCTGGGGTCTCCTTCTGTGTGTCCTCTGGATCTGATGGAACTGTCTTTCCTCACACTCCATGTTCGAGTCGGATCTGGGGATGTGCACGTTGATCACGTAGATTCTGAGCTCCTGGTAGTCAAGGTGTGTCTGATCCCTTGTGAAGTCTCTAGTGCCCAGCCAGAGCTCACAGATGGTTTGCATGGAGGGTTTTTGAATGAGTGAATGAGTGAACGGCAGACCCATACACAGCAGTGTGCTGCTGTGACTCCTATAGTGTTAGGCTATATAAAGCACAAAAGCAAAAGCTTCGTGGTTCTCTCAGCACAGGTTCACCCTATTGTGGAGCTGCAGGAAACAGGCATCCATCTGAGAGCCACACAGGGGAGGAGTCTTACTGAGCGTGGCAGTTGTGCAGCTACTTTCTTTCTGCAGGCCTCAGTCTCCTCATCTGTGAAATGGGCTAGTAACATATCCAGAGCTTCTTGAGAGGAAAGTTGCAGAGGGCTACATGGTTTTGGGGACATTTCCAATTCAAAAGGAGAGGGAAGGAAGCAAAGTGAATTAAAACTGTTCTACTCTTTGCCCTTGAGTAACTCTGACTTGAAGAGAGGGATGGTTCAGCTTCTTCACAGGCTGGGCATTTGGCTAAAATGACCCCGTGTGTCGGGGGGAGGAAAGAGCTGATCTTCAGAATCAGGAGGAGTTGCATCCAGTCCTGCTCAGCTGTGTTCTTGCTGTGTGACCTCACACAATTCACACCATCTCTTGGAGCTTCAGTTTTGGTTCTGAAAAATGGGACAATAATACTTCACACCCTGGGGGATGTCAATGTCTAAAAAGTGCTGAGTTCAGCTCTTGGCCCAGAGCAGGGTCTCCTTCAATAGTAGCTTCTGTTATTGTTATTAAATATATTAACAAATGTCACCGGCAGGTGAGAAGCATCTTTGTTGTTTGTTGCAGACAAGATATTTAGTACGACTCTTGCTGTTACAGAATTAACAGTCTTCCTCCCTGCTAATTCCCCCATATATGTTTCCGACCTAGCAGCGGTCCCTTTGCCAGGCTGCAGCGGGCCTGTCCCTGCTGAGCTGCACCATCCCAGCCTGCTGGGGCCGACGTCTGCCAGAAAAGCAGACCACCTTCTCAGATTTTCCATTGCAGCTGGGAGAGAGACAAGGAGGTCGGGCTGGCAGAGCAAATTACAAAGAAGCCTCTGGCTCTAGCTCCCACTCTGGCAGGGCAGGCCCCTCATGTGGTGGGCGAGGCACTGCCAAGGAGCTGGCCCCAAATGGGTCTGGAGCAGCAGGCGTCCACCCACCAGGACATATAGGAGCCCCTGAGTTACCCTGGGTTAGCAAAGAGCAGGGAAGTACGCAAGCAAGGCAGAGAGTGTCTTCCTGTCTGCAGAGAAGGGCCAAGGTTTGAATCCAGGCTCTGGAAGACTTCAGGCAGGTTGCTTCTCCTCTTCCAGATGCAGCTTCCTCTATCTGTAAAATGGGAACAAATGTGGGTCCACAGTCCCTTATCTGACATGCTTGAAGCCAGATGTATTTGGAAGTCAGAACTTTTCAGATTTTTAGGGTGTAATGTTGTATATACCATACTTTATAAAACAGCCACAGCCGGGTAAGGGGAGCAGCCTGTAAACAAGCGCTTGCTGACTTCTGCAGTGAATTGGATGAATACGCACATTAAGTAGAATTAGTAAAGATCATAAATAGCTTCATGTAGGTTCAGGCTGGGATTTTTGACATGAAAACAATTTGCTGCAAATTTATGGAAAAGCTCTACTTTTTCTGATCTTCTTGGATTTTGGAATTGATAACAGACTAGGGATCTGTAGTCTATGCCATGGGCTTGTGGTGAAGACAGCAACAGAGAGTGAGCATAAGGCAGCTTGCAGATTTTCAGAAAATGGGAAGTATTTGTTCCCCCAGACTGGAGGTTCTCCACCTTGGCTACACATTGGAGCCACCTGAGGAGCTCTAAAATCTATGATCCCCAGACCCCACTCCCTGGCAGCATGAAATCTGCAGCTGTGGGCCTGCAGCCCTGGCAGTGATGTTTCAAAGCACTCCTTGGGTGATTCTTTTCTTCTTTTTAATCTTTTTTAAATGAAAGCTTTATTGAGACATAATTCACTTACCATACAATTCACCTTTTTAAAGTGTATAACTTAATGGCTTTTAGTATTTCAGAGTTGTGTAAGCATCACCACCATCAATTTAAGAACATTTCATCACCTTAAAAAGAAGCACCATATTCTTTTGCTTTCACTAACTTACTCCTCCACCTCCCCAACCCTAAGCGACCACTCATCTGCCTTCTGTCTCTACAGGTTTCTTATTCTGGACATTTCATATAAATGGAATCATACAGTATGTATGGTCTTTTGTGACTGGCATTTTCCACTTAGCATAACGTTTTCAAAGTTGAAGGTTCATCCCCGTTGTTGCATGTATCAGTACTTTATTCTTTCTATGGCTGAAAAACCTAATTTGCTGTATCCATTTATCTGGTAGTGGAGATTTCGGTTGTTTCCACCTTTGACTATTATAAATAATGCTGCTGTGAACATTCGTATGCAAGTTTCTGTGTGAACATATGTTTTCTTTTCTCTTGGATATGTAACCAGGAGAGGAATTATTGGGTCAAATGGTAACTCTATGTTCAACTTTTTGAGAAACTGCCAGACTTTTTCCCAAAGTGGTTACACCATTTTATATTCCCACCAGCAGTGTATGAGGGTTCTGATTTCTCCACGTCTTTGTTTTCTCCGACTTTTTGATCATAACCATCCTCCTGACTGTGAAGTGATATCTTATTATGGCTTTGATTTGTATTTCCCTGATAATTAATAACATTGAGCATCTTTTTATGTGCCTATTAGCCATTTTTCTATCTTATTTAGAGAAATGTCTTTTCAGATCCTTCATCCATTTTAAAATTAGCTTTTTAAAATTATTGAGTTTCAAGGGTTGTTTATATGTCCTAGGTACAAGTCCCTTGTCAGACATATGATTTACAAATATTTCCTCTCATTCTGTGCATTCTCCTTCCTCTTTCTTGATAGTATCCTCGGAAGCACAAAAGTTTAAAATTTTGATAAAGTCCAATTTATGTATTGTTTTCTTTTGTTGTTTGTGCTTTTGGGGTCATGTCTGAGGGCTCATTGCCATATTCAAGGTCTCAGAGACTTATCCATGTTTTCTTTGGAGAGTTTTATAGTTTTGGCTCCTACATGTAGGTCTTACATCCATTTTTAGTTAATTTTTGTATATAATGTGAAGTAAGGGTTCAACTTCATTTTTTCGCATATGGCTATCCAGTTGTCCCTCCATAGGTGGTGCATGTACAGTTTGAGACTCACTACATTAGATCATTAACCCCAGGAAGGCTGAATTTGTGTTTTCTATGTCCTAGAAAACCACAGCAGCAACACAAGAATGAGTGAATGGATGGACGGATGGATGGATGGATGGATGAGTCATGAGGGCAAATGTGCTATGAGTCAGAGACTCTGTCCCGACAGAAAATAGGTAGGTATTGATGAATATCAACCTCCTTACTAGGGAGAACCCCCTCTTGGTATGGCAGAGCTTGTCCAGACTCTTTTACTTTACCTTTGGTGGTTAGGAGCTCCCTCTCCACAGAGCTAGTCACTGGGGAGGCATCTTGTTGACCCGTAGGAAAGTTTATTCTCACACAGAGCTGAAACCTGCCTCCTTCGTGTCTTCGCCCCTTCCCCCAGCCCTGGCTCTGCCCTCTGGGGCCCCCCGCCAGTGCTTCAACTTCCTTTACTGTGGGCCAGCTCTGACGATTGTGTGACAATGAGGGTGGCTGGCTGTGGCTTCCTCTCCTGCAGGCTGAGCAGCACCCACTTCTCACAGGGTGGGATTGTCAGCCCCTCATACCCTGACTGCCCCCTGTGCATCCATCTCAGCCACCCCTGTTCTGCCAAAGGGCAGGCCCAGGACCTGACACAGTCCACCAAATGGCATGTAACCAACCAGCTCAGAGAAAAGCAGGTCGTGTTTTCCCCCTCCTTTTGGCCTGTAGTCTGAGCAAGCAGTGTGTTGCTGTTGCTATTTTTCATTAGCCCCAACACACTGCTCGCTCAGATTAAGCTTATGGTACTCATTAACAATATATGCAATGTATCATTTTATTATGCTATATCGATATCATCAATATTATTATTAATGATATATTAGGCTCTATTAATGCTGATGATGATCATCTACTGAGTGTTTACTCTGTGCCAGCATTATGCACAGTGCTTTATAAATATTGTCTCATTTGGTTTTTTTAAAGGGATTTATTTTTGTATCCATTTTAGAGAAAAGTGAGTCTCAGAGCAGTGAAGTAGCTGACTCAAGGCCACCAAGCTTGGATTTGCACCTGTGTTTGCCTTCAAAGACCCTGATTTCGAGCTCTGTGCTATCCTGCCTCCTGATGACTGTCCTTCCTGAGGGCAGTGCTTCCCCCAGTGTTTCCAGCCTGCCTCTCTGTTTTTGCTCACAGATTTCTGACCAGTCAAGGATGAGCAGAAGCAGAGTCCTTAGTATTCCATTCTAACCCCTGCGCAGCCTAAATAATAATGCTTCAAGATTGTGCAGTGGGTTGGGAGCATCACTTACAGGCATTTGTCTTTGGACCCCTGGCACTTCCTCTGTGGACTGAAGAGGCAATCACCATAGCACCTTCCCTTTCCTGGCACTTGCTGCATCCCAGAGCAGGGTCACCAGGCATGTGGAGCCCACCAACCCTTCAAGGAGGAGTAGGCAGGGTATATTGTACAGATGGGCAAAGAGCCCAGCTGGAGCCAGACTGGACCATGTTTTGCAGCCTTGCCCTCCAAGGAGGCACTGGCTGTTCTCACACTGCCAACCTGGCACAAGCCCCTGTGGCTGTGAGCAAGTTGGGTGTGGCATGCAGAACCCTTGGAGGCTGGCACGTGTCAAGAGAAGAAAGGTCCTTGGAACCACTTTGCAAGTTTATTAGGCACATTTTCAAGGCCCAAACAGGCTCCAAGAAGTTACAGAAATAGCTGGTGATTTATTTCCAGTCAGTGTAGTTTGACCAATTCAATTCACTATAGCATACTAGAAATAATTCCTATCTTCTCATCCACTCTTTAACTTATTCATTCAGTGATTCTCTCATTCATTCATCACTATATTCAATTATTTTTGCTTGTTCGCTCATTCATTTTCTCATTCATTCATTTACTCCGATACCTACATAGGTCTACTTCCTCACCTCTTTTAAGACTTTTTCTCAAATGTCACATTCATAGTGAGGCCCTCTGTTCTATCCCCCACCACAGGAAAAGCCCTTTACCTGTTTTAATTTTCTCCATGCATTTTCCTAATATACTATCTAATTTACTTATTTGCTTTTTCATTGTCTGACTCTGCTGATTATAATAAGCAGAGATTGGGTCTATTGCTTTTATGACTAGGTCCTCAGTGCCTAGAATAGTGTCTGGCACATAAGGGGATTGATAAGTGTTTATGGAATTAATGAATCTGTTTATTTTATTCAAGAAATACAGTTCTGAGAGTCTGCTGGATAGACAGTTGTTTTTGAAGGGGGTCAGGATCCAGGACAGGTGCTTGGGATAGACGCTCGTGGGGTGAACTTTGAAGGCTGGGGATGCCTGTGTTAACAGAGATAGTGATGGGTGACTGGTGGATCATTGTAGGCTGATGGGACAGCTAGTACACAGCAAGTGGAAAAGTACAGGCTGTGTTTGCAGAGATGCTCCTGAGGCCAAATGGCTGGATTTGGTGAGTAATTGAATGTAGGGGCTGAGGGTGAGGGAAGCCTTGGGGATGACTGAGGTTGTGTGTTGGACAGTCTGGGTGGAAGTGATGTCATTAACCAAGGGAGACATCGGGGGCTTCGAAAAAAGGAAAGACAATGGCTTCAAGACCTCTCTTTCAAAAGCAACTTTCAATTACAATTTGACCCATGTTTTTTGTGTTGTGTTGATTTTATTTTTGATTCACATTGTCTGCTTCTGCCAGGCGCCTGGAGAAGAGGGTGTTTTGGGCACCTCATCCATCTCTGCTGTCTTACATCTTGGTGTCTGTGAAATGTGGCTTCTTGGTTCGAACGTGAAAGGGGTTTGCACAATGGAAGACCCGCCCATAGGCTTTCCTTTGCCGTGGCTGGCATGAGCTGTGGTGAGACTGGGATGGGAAATGAGGCATTAGAGTTTGACACTTGGACTTTATTGCCTCCAAATGATTGTCTGCCTTTTGAAAATTATAGAGAAGCCTGCTTTGGAATTTTGAGCAAACATCAGCCACAGCTCCACAGCTATGGATTTTATGTGAAATTACAGCCAGAAGAGGAGGAAGAGGGAGAGGGGCAGCTGGAAGTCTCCCTGGGAGAGGAGTCTTTGAAGGGCTGTTCCCTGGCAGAGCAAACAGATCTGTTCTGCAGGGTCCCTGAAGGAGGGGACAAGGAGGAGGCTCTAAAGCCTATAAAAAGGTCCTCTCATAATCAGATATTCCCAAAGATGAGATGGGTTGACTTTGAAAGTAGTGAGCTCCCTGATCTGTGAAGTATGCAAGCAGGGGCTGAACAGATAATTATTAGAGAGCCTGCAGAGTGGCTTCTTGTTCTAGGCGGGTAACTGGAGTGGACTTCACTTTGAGGTACTTCCAGGACTCATGTTCCAAGCTGCTAAGAGATTTCAGAGATTAAACATGTCGCAGCATTGCCATTGCCCCTCTTCCAACTCTGAGACATCCTCCTCCTCCCACGATCCAAATCCATGGCCTTGAATGATGGAAATTAAGACATCAAGAACAGGTCATAGTAAAAGTGTTCCAACTAATGAATGAAAAAAAAAAAAGACAGAATTTGGTATCACCCACTACTTTGCAATACCCACAGAATTAATGGAGCTAGACACTGAACATCAATGGCTGCCAACAATCTCAGAAAGAGACACAGCCAGACCTTGTGTGTTCCCGATGAAAGCGCACAACTCCACCGATCATCTTGCCAAAGGGGTTTGAGCCTAAGTGTGATCTACTCTCTGGATCCAGCTGCCAATTTGAAGGAAAAACAGGACAGAAGCACATGGTGAATGGCATCATGAATCGGCTAGCAGCAAAATCCAGACTATGGAAACTCTTTTTTTTTTTTTTTTTTTTTTTTTGAGACAGAGTCTCACTCTGTCACCCAGGCTGGAGTGCAGTGGCGCGATCTCGGCTCTCTGCAAGCTCCGCCTCCCGGGTTCACGCCATTCTCCTGCCTCAGCCTCCCGAGTAGCTGGGACTACAGGCGCCCACCACCACGCCCGGCTAATTTTTTGTATTTTTAGTAGAGACGGGGTTTCACCGTGTTAGCTAGGATGGTCTCGATCTCCTGACCTCGTGATCCCCCCGCCTCAGCCACCCAAAGTACTGGGATTACAGGTGTGAGCCACCGCACCCGGCCTGGAAACTCTTTAGGTCAAAGAGCCAGGGTACTTCCATGGATAAACTGTCAGGTAGAGCAAGGGATGGCAGTGGAAGGCTGGGGATTACAAGAGACCTAAAAGACATCAAATATAGGAAATGAACATGACTGAATGATAGTGTCTAGGGATGTACATTTAGGTGATCAAATTATAAGGAAAAGCAAGAAAATAGTAATTACAAAAGTTAGAATTGGCACGGTGGTTCATACCTGTAATCCCAGCACTTTGGGCGGCCGAGGCGGGTGGATCACAAGGTCAGGAGATCAAGACCAGCCTGGCTAACACGGTGAAACCCTGTCTCTACTAAAAAATTGGCCAGCCGTGGTGGTGGGCACCTGTAGTCCCAGCTGCTTGGGAGGCTGAGGCAGGAGAATGGCGTGAACTCAGGAGGCGGAGCTTGCAGTGAGCAGAGAATATGCCACTGCACTCCAGCCTGGGTGACAGAGTGAGACTCCGTTTAAAAAAAAAAAAAAAGTTAGAATTTGTGGTTACTTTTGGAGAAGAGAGAGGAGGCACCTGGAGGGGCTTCTATGGTGACGGACACAGCTTTATTTCTTACCTTGGGAATGGTTACAAAGGTATTCACCTTAGAGTGATTCATTAAATGATATGTTTGCTTTGTATGGTTTTCTGTTATTTTACAATAAAAGGTTAAAAAGACTAAGTCACAAATATGGCATTCTGGTCTTACCCCCCAAGCACCTGTATATTGGCAGCCCTTGTCTGCTCAGAGTTGGGTGACCCTGACTGGCAGTGGTCTCTTTCTTCCAGTTTCCAAGACACTCTGAAACACAGAGACAAAGAGATAAAGAAAATGGAGAAACATCCCTATGATGGAAAAAAATAAACAAACTCATTGCTTAAAAACATCAGCAACAGTAATAATAACAATAACAAAAAACCCATCTGTGAAATTTACAGGTCTCCAGTTAAGCTGGTGCGTCCCTTCCTAATTAGTCCTTCCCTGGATGAGAATGGGTCTGGGTCCATGTTGGGGAAAGGTGGTGGTGGTGATGGGGGTAGCTGGGTGCCTGTGAGAAGCCTGAGGCTGTCTCCTCTGTCTTTCCCATCCCCTGAGACCACCACTGCCCAGCAGTATTGGCCTGGGAAGCTCTGCATGGCCCCTGGGCTGCTCAGTCTCCTGGGAGAGGTGCTACTCTGTTTCCTGTGAGATAAGGCGCAGGGATATATTTAGATAAAAGCAAAGTGAAATTGAAATCCCTTGGGAAATCCCTTGGGAGGGGTGGTGTGGAAAGATTCCGGAGCCTGCTCAGCGGCTCCAAGTTTTACAGTCTGGTGAACATAGAGCCTGGCCCTTGTCCGCGCTGAAGGCAGCCACCAGGGCACCAGAATTGCGGGTGTGTGTGTGTGTGTGTGTGTGTGTGTGTGTGTTGGGAGTCCTGAAAGGGACAGGCTTGCTTGACTCCTGCTCTCAGGGGCTCACATGAGGACTTCCTGGGATGGGCCTGGCAGAGGCAGCAGCGGAGAGAGAGCCCTGCCACTGTCCTGAACACTGCAGTGTGATTCAGGGAAGCCATGTGACTTCTCTGGTCCTCTGCTGTCTCATCTAAAAGAGAGGGGATGAAATAAGATGGCCCGGAGTTCCCTCTCAGTTTTCACAGTGAGGGACTCTAAACTGCAATATTTCTCTGGCTCATATTTCTTTGACCCTCATGCTGGGTATCAAAGAGCTTTCTTTCTACAAAAAGCCTGTAGCTTATGCTCACACCTCCCTCTTGGAGGAGGTGCTGAGATGCCTTGATATCTAACCTTCTCATTTCTTAGAACTGTTGAAAAGAAAGTGCATCTCTAGCTTTCCTGACTCACTCAGAACCTGTGGTGCCTGCACATGTTGTGAGAATTAGGAAAAGATGCCCCTGTGCAGGCATTGCCCAGCATGCTCATAGTGAGGCTGCTGCAGAGGGGATGGTATCTTTGGAAAAATTGAAAAGAGGAGCCCTTTTCGCCCCCCACCACCCCCCGGCAAAGGACACAGCCCTGTGGCAATGCACATAGCTTGGAGAGCAAAACAAGAAATGAATTTTTCAGCCACCATTTCCCTCTTGGCAGGGTGTCTTGAACAATGAACAACCTGTACAACTGCACATAATGGACTGTTTAACTGCTTTGGGCTTCTGAAGGGGCCAGGCATCCATTCTTGCTCCAATAAATGAAAATAAGCAAATAGAGAGGAGTCTTCAGAGAATTCCTTTCCACATGAGCTCCAGTGCTCAGCATGGGGTCTGGGAGAGAGTAGGATCATGGATTACTCTACATCATGGTTACCAACTTCAGCTAGGACCCAATCACAGTCTGCAGCCTTTCTGTTGAAGTACACAAATTCTCTTCTCTCTTCTCAGATCTTCACCCACCCTTTCCATCCTATCCTCTTACCCAGAAGACACCTTGTTCCCTACTCACAGAGACGCAGAAGGTGCCACATGAGACTTTCCTCAGCTTCCCACAACCAAAGCTATGTCTAGTTCCACCCTCACCATCATCCCTCCTTCCTCACCGTCTCCAGCCACTCAGCCCTTCTCTGCATTCTCTGGATTTCTTCCCGACTTCTTCTGCTGCCTGACTCCTCTCTTACACCATTCAGGTCTCCCTTAAGCATAATTTCTTCCAGGGTGAAAAGGAGGTGGTAGGGAGCTTCCCTGATGCCCTGTCTGCCCCTGTTAGAGGAGAGTTCTGTCTATTACAAACTTCAGTGGCTTTCCTTCCTTTTGCATAATACTCTGTGCATTTGCAATTTACTTCTTCAGTTTCTCTTCTTCCGTGGTAGACTGTGGGTGCCCACGGCAGGGATGGTAAATGCCTCCTTCACTTGCGACAGCTTCAGTGCCTAGTCCCTAGCCTGGTATGTGAAATGGGGGGCAGGGCTGGCATTTACTGTCTGTGGCTGAACAAATGTGTGACTGTGTGTGAAGTGAGGTATAAATGAATTTGGGAATGAATGCTATGAGTTCCTGTGGCTCGCTCCCCTTGACCTCATTTGCAACAGGGACCCATGGATCCCACAAAGATAAAAAATGGAAGGAACAGTACTGATTGTCCAAGTCTGTCCTGCTATTCTACCGCATAGGAAACTGAGACCCAGAGAGAGTAAAGAGGAATGGGCCTGCCTAATGTCACGTGGCCAGGAAACAGCAGAGACTGAGGTCCAAGTCGGGCTCCTTGCCCTGGTCTAGGGCCCAGAGGAGAGAGGTCGTTCAAGAGAAAATTTATTGGGAGTAGCTCCTGTAATACGAAGTGGTACCTCCATGTATACAGCCATTTAAGCTTCTGAAAGACTGCCACTGCACCCTCTCACTAGCTCTGCAAGATAGGCCATGCATGGCTGGCCAGCCCCTCTGTTTAAATGGAGAAACTGAGCCCTGTGCTCCTGGAGTGGGGCTGGGGCTGCTGCCTCCCTCCCATATTCCTGGAGAAGATCACCTCAAAGGAAGTGAAGATATTTTTGAAAGTGTGTGTGCGTGTGTGTGTGTGTGTGTATGAAATGGGGGAGTTTTCAGCATCAGCTGAGGATAGAGAGGGAGGCTGGGGTCAGGGGGGCCTAGAATGACAGGTTAAGGAGTCTGGGTTTTGCCCAGTAGTGGAATGGGAGCTACCAATGGTGTTTGGTCTGAGGGTGCCATGCTGGGAGTGGGTTTTCAGGAAGGCACCTCTGGTACATGGGAAGGTGGGAGGGTGGGTGTGAATCTGAGACTCAGGTCGGGGGTGCAAGCTTGATTTCTCTCCTCCTTTGGGTGGGCAGCTGGCAGCCTGCTGGGCAGGGCAGGGTGGGTGGGAGGCAGATAGTGGGGGTGAGCTCCTTAAGAACAGCATCAGCCTTCAGCCTGTGGAAGGATAAAGAGCTCACGTTTGGGAGCAGCCAGCCAGCATGTGTCCTGGGACTGGGCTTCCTAGCCACACACTTTCCTGTAAGGAATCCCACCCAGAGCTGTTCCTCCCAGGCCCAGCCCTCTGGGGAGCGGGGAAGGCGGGGCCTGGCTGTTTGCACTGCAGGGAACCAGGTGGGATGTCCGGGTCCCTTTTATTGTACTGCCAGGGGCACTGAGGGAACTTGGTGTGTAGGGTGTGTGCCCGTGAGAGTAAGACGGACTGGGGGCACCTGAGAGAGGTGTGTACAAGTGTGAGGCTGTGTGTGCATGTGAACAAGAGGACATCTCTTGCAATGTGTGTGAAGCTGAGTGTGGGTGAGTGTGAGATTGTGTGAGGCCTCTGTGCATGAGCATGAAACGGCACAGCAATGACAGGGGGTGTGTGTGTGTGTGTGTGTGAGTGAGTCTGTGAGGTGAAGGTGAGTGTGCTTGTGTAACTTTAGTGTGTGTGTGCCTGTGGGGTGAAGGGGTGTGTGTGTGTGTGCCTGTGGGGTGAAGGGGTGTGTGTGTGTGTGTGTAACTGTAGTAGGTGGGTGTGTGTGAGCCTGTGAGATGAAGGTGAGTGTGCATGTGTAACTGTGTTGTGTGTGTAGTGTGTGAGTCTGTGAGGTGAAGGTGAGTGTGCGTGTGTAACTGTTGTGTGTGTGTAGTGTGTGTGTGAATCTGAGGTGAAGGTGAGTGTGCATGTGTAACTGTTGTGTGTGTGTAGTGTGTGTCTATGAGATGGTGAGTGTGCGTGTGTAACTGTGTTGTGTGTGTCTATGAGGTGAAGGTGAGTGTGCGTGTGTAACTGTGTGTTGTGTATGAGTCTATGAGATGAAGGTGAGTGTGCGTGTGTAACTGTGTTGTGCGTGTTGTGTGTGTCTGTGAGGTGAAGGTGAGTGCGCATGTGCGTGTGTAACTGTGTTGTGTGTGTGAGTCTATGAGAAGGTGAGGTGCATGTGTCACTCTGTGTAGTGTGTGAGTCTATGAGATGAAGGTGAGTGTGCACAACTGTGTGTTGTGTGTGTGTAGTGTGTGTGTCTATGAGATGAAGGTGAGTGTGCGTGTGTAACTGTGTGTTGTGTGTGTAGTGTGTGAGAGAGTCTGAGATGAAGGTGAGTGTGCATAACTGTGTTGTGTGTGTAGTGTGTGTGAGTCTGAGGTGAAGGTGAGTGTGCGTGTGTAACTGTGTTGTGTGTGTAATGTGCGTGTGGGTCTGTGAGGTGAAAGTGTGTTTGCGTGTGTAACTGCATGGTGTGTGTGCGTGAGATTCTGTGTTGTGTGTGCACAGCCAGCAGCATGTAGAGGCAGGGAGGCCTGGTGGAGCACACCTGCTTCCCGGTGACTCCAAGTCTTCCCAAGGGTTTTCTTCCTTTGAAGTGGGCGGCAGGAAGGAGGGGCACTGAGAGCTGGCAGTGAGGGGCCAGCTCAGAACCCAGAAGCCCTTTTCAGGGGATCGAGCATCTGGGCCGCAGAGGCCCTCGGAGATCCTGCTGCCCAGCTACAGCTCACCTGCAGCGCCTGCAATGCCGTCGGGGCTGAACAGGCCAGTGCTGTAGCTGCCTCCCCGCCAAGGCCTCTGCCTGCTGCACCTGCTGCCCTGACCTGTGTGCTCCCTATTGTAGCTGAGCCCAGGACTGGGGCAAAGAGGCTAGGAAAACCTTGCCAGGTGAGCAGTTTTTGGAGCTGGCACAGTGCTCAAAATAAAATGAAACAAAACCTGGACTGGAACTCAGGAGTCGTGGGCCTGTCGCAGACCTGCTGGTGATCTTGAGTAAGCCCCTTGCCCACTCTGGGTGCCGAATGGATGAGCCTGGATGCCCTCTCAAGATCAAAGGGAACGATGAGGCCTGTCTGATCTCCCAGCTTCAGAGGCAAAGTCCTGTGACCCATTGAAAGTAATTTTATCTCCCAGCTCCTGAGCGCAGGTGCTGAGTGGGATTCAGTGAAGGGCTGGCGCACGGGGAGGGCATCAGGAAGTGCTAGAGGAACTGGACTGGGGACTGATCCCCTGGGGCTACTGAGTCTATGCCCCAGGTAACTGGCTGGGCACAGACTTCATCCCCAGGCTCTGGGAGAGAGAGGGGGAAGGGGAGGCAGGGCTGCCACTAGCCCTTAGGACTTGTTCGTGCGAATTAGAACAATTAGAAAAAGGCGCTCAGTGAGTGGAGCATCCTGGCAAAACCGGACTGGTGAAGGTTCTGCGCGCGTCTGCCAGGTGCCAGGGAAGGTCTCCCAGCGGTCTTGCGCGGAAGGCGTTATCAGCCCCGCTTATTAGATGAGGCGGCGCCTGCAGTAGAGGGGGCCGTCTCCGCAGGGTCTGCAGCGCCGGGGCCCGCACCTCCTGCTCCGCGGCCCGCCGCCGCCAGCCCGGGGCTGACCTCTCAGAGCAGGGCGGAGGATTTTCACAGCACAGCTTCCCGAGAGAGCGGGATTAAGGGGGAACTGCTCGGGTGGGCCAGAGCCAGGGGCTAGGGGGAGGCCGGGCGGAAACCCAAAACCTCCGCAGCTGTTTCCAGTTTGCCGCCCTGGCTGGACCGCGGTGGCTGCGTGCAGAGCGAGCAAGGCTGCGCGGGCCTGGAGCGCCCACGGGGCGCGGGACCTCTCTCTGTCTCCCCCCGCCCCGCGGGGCTCTCTCTCGTCCTCTCTGTCTTGGTGGGGCTCAGTCTGTCTCTCGTTTTCTCTCCCTGTTTCTAAGATCTCGTGGAATCAAAGACATTTTGGAGGTCTCTGGTCCATCTGAAAGGGGGATACTGGGTTCACCCGATCCCACGCTTTGCCTTCTAGAGCTTGCTGCCCTGGACACCCCCCACCCCATTCCCCCACCCCGACCCCGCCCCTCGGCCCCCAGCTCCAGGCCCGCCAACCCCGCCAACCCCGTTGCACTCCCATGCAGAGAGGTGGCCCTCCAAGCCCAGGGTTCAGAGCTCAGGTCAGGAGTCCTGGCAAGGGCTTTGGGGACAGGCTTTGCCTCCCAGCCAAACTCTGCCCTTCAGGCCCACACCCTCCTCTCCTGGGCATCTTTTCCACCTGCCTGCACCCCTAAGCCCCAGGCTTACCCCATGGGAGTCCCCATGAAGGTCCAGGGTCCCAGCACTGACTTTATACTCTAGGCAGAGGCAGGAAACCTCCAAGCCCCGCTCCCACCCAGGAGTCAAACCCTGGAGACAGCTCAGACAGAGATTGAGCAGTAGTGGAGGAGCCAGGGCCTGCGCTCTGGAGTCATACAGATCTTGGTGCAAATTCTGCTTTGCTGCTTACTAGCTGTGCTCCCTTGAGCAGACACCTTGAGCCTCAGTTCTAAGATGAGGGTGTACTCAGGAAGCAGTAGGTGCAGTGCTTGGCGCAGAATAGGCTTCAGGGCACAGGGGTTCTGCTCAATCCCTCTACAGCCCAATACTCCATATGATCCCATCACTCTCCTGTTCTAATGCCTTCCATGGCTCCCTAGTACCTATAGAATAACCCAAATCCCTCTATTGACAGTACAGGCCTTCTATGATGGCTTCCAAATCCACCTTTCATGCTCTTACCTCAAAAGCACTAGAGAGAGGCTGGAACAACACACTCCACGTTCTCCTACTGCCATGCTTTTCCTCAGTCTGTAGCTGTCACCAGGAACACATTTCCCACAACCTCCTGCTTGCCCACATATTTATGCAACTTAAGGTCTGCAAGGCCTTGCCTGGTGCCTTTCCTAGTCAATCTGCCAGAAAGGAGTGGTTTATTCCTTGCTTCACTTGACCATGCAGCTTCACAGACAATCAGCCAGGCCCTCAGCTGGGCAATGGGGTCAGAGAAGAGTAAGACCAGCCATATACTTGGGTAGCTCGAGTCTGGGGGGTTAGACCAGGTTCATCCTTGGCATCTGGCAGGTGCGGTGGTCTTCCAGGGAGGGGAGCATGTGGGCAGGTACTGCCGAGGGCAGCTGGCAGGAGCCGAAGTGGGTACTCTCCAAGAGCTGGCTCTGGCCCTCTCTTCTCTCCACAGCATGTGTCCCCACCAGACCTCATCACTTACCAACTCATCCACAGTAGAACTCCTGGGTTGAGCCTTAGAGTTTAAACTTCAAGTCATAAGCTGGGGCTGAGGCCACTGGTTTGCCACCTGATATAGTTTGGGTATTTGTCCCCTCCAAATCTCATGTTGAAATTTGATCCCCAGTGTTGGTGGTGGGGCCTAATGGGAGGTGTTTGGGTCATGGAGGTGAGTCCCTCATGAATGGCTTGTTGCTGTCCCTGAAGTAATGAGTGCATTACTGTTAGTTCACTGGAGAGCTGGTTGTTTAAAAGAGCCTGGCACCCCCGCCCCACTTTCTTGCTCTATCTCTTTCTATGTGACACACCTGCTCCCCCTTCACCTTCTGCCATGATTGGAAGCTTCCTCAGCCCTCACCAGAAGCAGGTGCCGGTGCCATACTTCTTGAATAGCCTGCAGAACTGTAAGCCAAGCAAACCTCTTTACTTTATAAATTATCAAGCTTCAAGTATTCCTTTATAGGAATGTAAAATGGACTAAGACCACCTTAGACAGGAAGCCCCTCCACAAGCAGGGGTTTCCAGCTTCCAGTAGCTCTCCTTTAGGCCAAGGAACTCAACACCCCCAGATGGGCGAGGGAAGAGTCAGCTACACCCATGTTTGAATTTTGCTTTCATTGCTTCCTTGCTTTAAAACCTTGGGCAAGTTCCTTAACCTGCTATAGCCTCAGCTGCTGCTTCTGGAAAATGATGATAAATAGAGATAATATAATAGGAGGTAATATAGAACAGTGCTTCTTAAACTTTAGTGTGCATCACCTGGAGGGCTTGTGAAAACAGATTGCTGTACTCCACCTAGGAAATTTTGATTCAGTAGGTCTGGGATGGGGGTTCAAGAATTTGCATTTCTGTCCTGCTCCCACTTGACAGCTGAGGGCTGCCAGACTACAGACCAAGTGGCACCGATGTAGAAAAAATGGACCAATACTGTTGTATTAGTCCATTCTCACACTGCTATGAAGAACTAACTAAGACAAGGTAACTTATAAAGAAAACAGGTTTAATTGACTCACAGTGCCACAGGCTGTACAGGAGGCATGGCTGGGGAGGCCTAAGGAAACTTACCATCATGGTGGAAGGGTGAAGGGGAAGCAAGCATGTCTTCAGATGGTGGCAGGAGAGAGACAGAGAGAGAGAGACAAGCACAAGTGCAAAGGGAGAAGTGCTGCATACTTTCAAACAACCAGAACTCATAAGAACTCAATCACTATCACGAGAACAGCAAGGGGGAAATCTGCCCCTATGATCCAATCACTTCCCACCAGGTCCCTTCCCTAACATTGTGGATTACAATTCAACATGAGATTTGGGTGGGGACACAGAGCCAAATTATGTCAACTGTCAGTTGCTGTTACAGTGTTGCATGACATGTGTCTGGTGCTCTCACCTCTTTGGGACAGAGCCCTAATTTATCTCTTTCCCACTGACTTGGCCCACCTCACCTGGCTGGGCCTGGGCAGCAAACACTCTCCCGGCTGCTGGTCCAGCAGCCTGTGTTGTCAAAGTCAAGTCCTTATAAACCTGACAGCCGCCCACAAGGCCACAAGATGAATAGTCATTTTAGCTCGGTTCCAGAAGAGACACAGAGAAGCCAGGCCTGGGGTATGGGATGGTCAGGGAAGAGGAATCATCTCAGGCCTATGACAACCCTCTCAGATCACTCACTGAGGGTTCTCCTGGGCTCTGTGGCCACCCCTGGGCCAGGCCACAGTCCAGACCCCTGCTATTAAAGCATGTCAAGAAGCCACTTTAATTCTCAAACTAAAAAGTCACAATGGCGGACATCACCGAGAGCTGGCTGCTTGGCACTCTGGGTAGTGCTCAATGTGCTTTTTCTTTAGTTCTGAAAACAGGCTTCTGAGCTTGTACTATACTTGTCCCTTAAAACTTAGAAGTCATTATCCTCAGCAAACTAACACAGGGACAGAAAACCAAACACCACATGTTCTCATTTATAAGTGGGAGCTGAACAATGAGAACACATGGACACAGGGAGAGGAACAACATACACTGGGGCCTGTGGGGGTAGGGGTCGGGGGAGGGAAAGCATTAGGAAAAATAGCTAATGCATGCTCGGCTTAAACCTAGGTGACGGGTTGATGGGTGCAGCAAACCGCCATGGCACACGTTTACCTATGTAACAAACCTGCACATCCTGCACACGTACCCTGGAACTTAAAATAAAAATAAAAATTAATTTTAAAAAAGTTCAGTGAAGGCCGGGCATGGTGCCTCACGCCTGTAATCCCAGCACTATGGGAGGCCAAGATGGGTGGATCGTGAGGTCAGGAGATAGAGACCATCCTGGCTAACACGGTGAAACCCTGTCTGTACTAAAAATACAAAAAAAAATTAGCCGGGTGTGGTGGCAGGCGCCTGTAGTTCCAGCTACTCGGGAGGCTGAGGCAGGAGAATGGCGTGACCTGGGAGGCGAAGCTTGCAGTGAGCCAAGATCACACCACTGCACTCCAGCCTGGACGACTGAGCGAGACTCCGTCTCAAAAAAAAAAAAAAGTTCAGTGACTTGATCTAGTTCATATAATGAGAAGACAGTACTTGTTTAAAGTCATAGAGTGAGTTTTTTTGTGGGGTGAGAGGCTAGGACCAGGAATTCTCCCCCGGGGTGCTTCCTCTTTTCCTTACATACCTATGACCATGGTGATGGTGGCACGCTGTCTTTGGTGGAAGATTTGAGGTAGCTGTACCAGGTGTGCCACCAAGACGTGAGGGGCTGGCTGTCGTTGTAGTACTGTGTGTGTGAGTGTGTGTGCTTATTTTTTGAGTCCTTACTACACGCCTGACAATACATGCATCTTATTTGAGCCTCAACCCACCCCTAATGTAGCAACCATCCTGATCCCCCTTTTAGAGATGACGTCACTCAGAGCCATCTTTGGTGCTTATCTCCCCAAACACGGAGCCTCTGCACACCTCGGGATTCCACATCCCCCCTCTGAGAGTACTGCCCTCACAGAGTGTCCTGGTGACCCTGGGCAGCTGTGCCCCTTTCTTGGTCTCCTCTTCCTTAGTCAAATAAGTGCTGGACCATGATCTTAAAAATCCCATCCATGATGCAGAATGATAAGTGCCCTAATCATGGTGATACCCTGAGACTGATCATAGCCTCAGGCATGGGGCACTATTGGTCGCAGGGGCACATGGAGAGTAGGTGCAGCATTGCAGCTTTTCTTCAAGGAAAATCTTTTGTCCACAAAGCACCTTTATTCTGTGAAGCTATGAAATTCTTGTGTATGATTATTTAGAATTTGGAAAAGGAAATAGACTCCATTTTTGTTCAGAAAAGTACAACACCAAAATGTCTATAATGAAAGACTTTTAAAGCCACCACTAAATGTGTAAGGCTCCTGACCTCAAAGGCAAGGCAGGAAGCATTTGTCCTCAGGGCTCAGAAACGGTGGGTGAGGATTGCCTTTATACTCACCTCCAAGGCTCTAGGGAAGTTTGAAGATTTGACTTCAGCTTTGTGCAGCCAGGGCCTTTGGCATTGCTTTAGGTTTTATTACCCAAACAGAATGTGTGTGAGTGTGTGTTGACCGGTCTGTGGGCCAGAGTGTGAGCCCGTGCCAGGATGAGCATGCGTGTGTGGTATGTGTGTGCTTGTAGGTGACACAGGCTGCATGTGATATGCATGGGAGGGTTGAATGTGTCTGACTTTGTTCCTGGGTGTGTGGGGTGGCCGGCATGGGGTAAGCGACTCCGGAAGGCCTTGGAGCTCCATGTATGTTGCCTGGCTCTTCGGGAGTTTGTTGTGGGTTTGTGGAAGGCTATTATGTGAGTGGTGACTGGATAGCAAAGCTGACTGGGACCTGATTAGGACACTAAACAAATACAAGAAACGTATGATCTTCTAAATCTCCCCAGAGCTGAGGTTTGGGTTGATAAAAAGGCAACAGTTTGAAAACAGACCATCAAACGAGACCGTTTCTGATCTACTTTTTTTGCTTTAAAAAAGAAACCAGCCCCAAATGACAGTGCAATTAATGCAAAAGTTCTGGCTTTCACAGAAAAGACATCTCTCCCCAGGGAGTCCAGGGCACAAAGCCAGTCATGAAGCCAGAAGGAGGAGTACAGGGGCCATAGGATTATGTGGCATTCTTGAATTTCCCCCACATTGCCCTCAATGGGTCACTGCCCATCCTGTTGCCACTGCAGGGTAGAAAACACCAGTGACAGTGATAATAACACATGCAGTGAATGGATCAACCCTTGAGCTTTCCACCTTCCCAGTTCCCATCAATCCTTGATTGCATCTGAGATATAGATGATTGCATCTGAGGGAGAGAGCTAACAGACCAGGAGGAACAATAATTTAAAATAAGCATAGTGAGAGTCCTCAAAGAGACAAAGTGGGATATGGGGACCATGAAGCACATCCAAGTAATTACAGAGGAGAAACAAGGGGAGCTCGTGTATGAGAGAGTTTATCACCAAAAACCTTCACTAAAGGAACTTCTAAAGGCATATTTGGGAAGAAGGATACTGAACCCAGAAAGAGGGAATGTGATGCAAGAAGGAACGCTGGGTAAGAAAAGTAAATATGAGGATACATGTAAACAAACACTGACTGTCAAACAATAATATAATATTAAGGATTATGACTAATTGGGGGTCAAAAATCAAGGTAGAACTAAAATACTGGAGAATAATATTGTATAAGATGGGAAGAAGAGTAATTTAAGTTGAAGCATTCTAAAGTCTTTGTATTGTTGGGGAGGAGGAAAAATATTACTTCATTTTAGATTGTGTTAAGAATGCATGTTAAAAATTTAAAGGTAACTAGTAAAAAAGTAGAAATAAAATGTATAACTTATAAACCAGTAAAGGAAAAAATGAATTAAAGAAAAGCCTTGATTAATTCAAAAGAGGATGGAAAATGAAAGTAAATAAAGAAGCAAAGAGAAGCAGGGTAAGCAAAAAGCAGAAAATAAGATGGTAGATATAAACCTAAATATATGAGGAACTGCAGTAAATGTAAATGGATTAAAATCTCTAGTTAAAAGATAAGGATGGTAATATTGGGCAAAAATAAACAAATATGTCTATCTACCCCATTTTGGCTGTATGCTATTTACCCCAAACACACTTAAAACATAAGGACCCAGAAAGGTTAAAAATAAAGTATTGGAAAAGGATGTCGTGAAGATAAATAAGACTAACGAATGATCCCTTAATCGCCAAATCCAGCAGTTTACTAAAACATTGTGACTAGTTGTGTTTATTTCATTAATGCAAAGATTATGTAACATTTTGAAATCTATTAACTCAATCCCAAATATTAGCAAGTTAAGAGGAAAAAAAACCAATGGTCCCAATGAATTAAGAAAAAGGATTTGATGAAATTCCATATCCATTTATGATAAAGATCTCAGCAAACTAGTAATATAAGGGATATTTCTAAACCTGAAAAGAGGTTTCTACCAAGAACTTACAGCTAACACAGTATGTGGTGGGAAAATATTTGAAGCACTTTCTTTAAAATTAGGAATTATGCAAGGATATCTGCAATCACTGTTTCAATTAAACGTTGACCTGGAATTCCTCACCAGAATAGTAAGGCAAGATAAAGAAATAAACTAGATTGTGATTGATTATGATAGGATATAATGATCTATGTAGAAACCTAAGAGCATCTACAGACAAACTATTAAGATGAGTGAGAACTAAGTGAATTTGCTCACTACAAATAAGATCAATGTACAAAAATCAATTGTATTCCCATATACCACAACAAAGTATTAAAAATAAACATTTAAAAAGATAGCATTTATAATATGCACAGAAAACATAAGGTACTTAGGAATGAATCTAACAAAATATATAAGAGACCTTTTGGGAAAAAATATAAAACTTTAAGATATCAAAGATCCAAATAAATTAAAAATATATAATATTAATGGATAGGAAGAGTCAATGTTATGAAAGTGCCAATTTTCTCTAAATTAATAATATATTTATTAGGATTAAAATAAAATACCAACAGTGCGTGTGTGTGTGTATGTGTGTATATAATTTTTAAAACTTATTCTAAAATTTACATGAAAGAACTAAGGTTCAGTAACAGTTAAACAATTGAAGAAAAGAAACAAGGTGGTTAAATTTGCCCTAGCAAAAAGTAAGACTTATTTTAAAATCTTGGTAATTAAGACAGTGTGTACATCTGGAATAGATATGGTTGTATAAATCAGCATATTTCTCCTTCTCTTAGAAATCATCCAAAAGCAACAAAAAGGATGAAAAAATAAACTCTATTTTTGGCAAAACTTGAGGACAGGTATTACCCAAGACTCCCAAGTATGTGTAAGAATTGTCCAAAGAAGCTGAGATTAGGAAGAAAATAAATAGGAGGAAATGAAGAGAAAGAAGCTCCCAGAAAGATCTCTTTGATGAGATAGCTAGGCAAAAATATTCTTCCTAAAGGTAAGGGGTATATATTCAGAGATGCAAAAGCTATATCTCCTATTTTCAAAAACAGGTGCGATAACTGGAGTGAAACGTGCTAAAGGGAAAAGACTTCTTGGACTTGATTTGGTTGAGAAAAACTGAAGATGCAGGTCTACACAAAAAATCATAAGGGTGAACCTCTTTTCAGAAGCAATTTGTTTCTGTGGCAGCAGAGAAGAGGCCCTTCTAGTAAAAACCAGCAAGTAAGGGATTCCATCTTGCCCTAACCAAAGTACTCTCCTGTCTGGCAGTGGAAAATCTAGGAAAACTGAACTCAACTTATTCAGTGCTAGCAAAGATTTTTAGTGCTATGAGGAGTTATAACAAGGATCTAACAGAGCATCAATACAAAGATATTATAAGAAATGCATCAATACAAAGATAATTTTTTGTACTAAGATAAAAGGAAAATATTCAGAAGTTTATTAATGGACAAGGACTCCTCCCCAGAGAAAGGTTGCCACAGAGCAGATAAAAATTGGGACCAAACATTATCATGAATTTAAAAAATCTTTTTGGAGCTATTGCCTATATGAAGTAAGACAACAAAACAAAGATGAAAGAGCCCAGGGAAGAAAAGGTATGATTACAGAAAGAAAAAATACATTAGCTGGCAAAATCCAAGAAAGGATTATTAAAAAAAAAATCCAGAAATGAAGATAGCTTAGAATGAGTACAAAGGAGAATGTACTTTGAGGAAAACAGTAAGTGAACTAGAGGATAAAAACGAGAAAAGCAAGCAAAATGAAACAGGAGAATATTTTTAAAAAGGATTGGGGGAAAGAAAATGATTAATATATAAAACAGGCAATGGGGGCAGTTCCAAGATGGTCGAATAGGAACAGCTGCAGTCTACAGCTCCCAGTGTGAGCGATGCAGAAGACAGGTGATTATTGCATTTTCAACTCAGGTACCGGGTTCAGCTCACCAGGGCTCGTAGGACAGTGGGGGCAGGACAGTGGGTGCAGCACACTGAGCATGAGCCAAAGCAGGGCGAGGCACTGCCTCACCCAGGAAGTGCAAGGAGTCAGGGAATTCCCTTTCCTAGCCAAGCAAAGCTATGACAGATGGCACCTGGAAAATTGGGTCACTCCCACCCTAGTACTGCACTTTTCCAATGGTCTTAGCAAACGGCACACCAGGAGATTATATCCTGTGCCTGGCTCAGAGGGTCCCACGCCCACAGAGCCTCACTCATTGCTAGCACAGCAGTCTGAGATCGAACTGCAAAGCGGCAGCGAGGCTGGGGGAGGGGCGTCCGCCATTGCTGAGGCTTGAGTAGGTAAACAAAGCGGCCGGGAAGTTCGAACTGGGTGGAACCCATTGCAGCTCAAGGAGGCCTGCCTGCCTTTGTAGACTCCAGCTCTGGGGGCAGGGCATAGCCAAACAAAAGGCAGCAGAAACCTCTGCAAACTTAAATGTCCCTGTCTGACAGCTTTGAAGAGAGTAGTCGTTCTCCCAGCATGGAGTTTGAGATCTGAGAACGGACAGACTGCCTCCTCAAGTGGGTCCCTGACCCCTGAGTAGCCTAACTGGGAGGCACCCCCGAGTAGGGGCAGACTGACACTTCCCACGGCTGGGTACCCCTCTGAGACGAAACTTCCAGAGGAACGATCAGGCAGCAACATTTCCTGTTCAGCAATATTCACTGTTCTGCAGCTTCCGCTGCTGATACCCAGGCAAACAGGGTCTGGAGTGGACCTCCAGCAAACTCCAACAGGCCTGCAGCTGAGCATCCTGACTGTTACAAGGAAAACTAACAAACAGAAAGGACATCCACACCAAAACCCAATCAATGTGCAAAAATCACAAGCATTCTTACACACCAATAACAGACAACAGGAGCCAAATCATGAGTGAACTCCCATTCACAATTGCTTCAAAGAGAATAAAATACCTAGGAATCCAAGTTACAAGGGATGAGAAGGACCTCTTCAAGGAGAACTACAAACCACTGCTCAACAAAATAAAAGAGGACACAAACAAATGGAAGAACACTCCATGCTCATGGATAGGAAGAATCAATATCGTGAAAGTGGCCATACTGCCCAAGGTAATTTGTAGATTCACCGCCGTCCCCATCAAGCTACAAATGACTTTCTTCACAGAATTGGAAAAAACTACTTTAAAGTTCATATGGAACCACAAAAGAGCCTGCATTGCCAAGTCAATCCTAAGCCAAAAGAACAAAGCTGGAGGCATCACGCTACCTGACTTCAAACTATACTACAAGGCTACAGTAACCAAAACAGCATGGTACTGGTACCCAAACAGATGTATAGACCAATGGAACAGAACAGAACCCTCAGAAATAATACCACACATCTACAATTATCTGATCTTGGCAAACCTGACAAAAACAAGAAATGGGGAAAGGATTCCCTATTTAACAAATGGTGCTGGGAAAACTGGCTAGCCATATGTAGAAAGCTGAAACTGGATCCCTTCCTTACACCTTATACAAAAATTAATTCAAGGTGGATGAAAGACTTAAATGTTAGACCTAAAACCATAAAAACCCTAGAAGAAAACCTAGGCAATACCATTCAAGACATAGACATGGGCAAAGACTTCATGACTAAAACACCAAAAGCAATGGCAACAAAGCAAAACTTGACAAATGGGATCTAATTAAACTAAAGAGCTTCTGCACAGCAAAAGAAACTACCATCAGAGTGAATAGGCAACCTACAGAATGAGAGAAAATTTTTGCAATCTCTTCATCTGACAAAGGGCTAATATCCAGAATCTACAAAGAACTCAAACAAATTTACAAGAAAAAAGCAAACAACCCCATCAACAAGTGGGCAAAGGATATGAACAGACACTTCTCAAAAGAAGACATTTATGCAGCCAACAGACACATGAAAAAATGCTCATCACCACTGGCCATCAGAGAAATGCAAATCAAAATCACAATGAGATACCATCTCACACCAGTTAGAACGGAGATCATTAAAAAGTCAGGAAACAACAGGTGCTGGAGAGGATGTGGAGAAATAGGAACACTTTTACACTGTTGGTGGGACTGTAAACTAGTTCAACCATTGTGGAAGACAGTGTGGCGATTCCTTAGGGATCTAGAACTAGAAATACCATTTGACCCAGCCATCCCATTACTGGGTATATACCCAAAGGATTATAAATCATGCTACTATAAAGACACATGCACAAGTATGTTTACTGTGGCACTATTCACAATAGCAAAGACTTGGAACCAACCCAAATGTCCAACAATGATAGACTGGATTAAGAAAATGTGGCACATATACACCATGGAATACTATGCAGCCATAAAAAATGATGAGTTCCTGTCCTTTGTAGGGACATGGATGAATCTGGAAAACATCATTCTCAGCAAACTATCGTGAGGACAAAAAAAAACCAAACACAGCATGTTCTCACTCATAGTTGGGAATTGAACAATGAGAACACATGGACACAGGAAGGGGAACATCACACACCTAGGCCTGTTGTGTGGTGGGGGGAGTGGGGAGGGATAGCATTAGGAGATATACCTAATGTACATGACAAGTTAATGGGTGCAGCACGCCAACATGGCACATGTGTACATATGTAACAAACCTGCACATTGTGCACATGTACCCTAGAACTTAAAGTATAATAAATAAATAAATAAATAAATAAATAAATAAATAAATATATATATATATATAAACAGGCAATGAAGATTCAACTTGTGGACTTTTGGAGTCATCAAAGCAGTTAACCAATATAATAATACAGAATGAATATTTAAAGCTTAATTCAAGAGGCTATTTCCTGAAATAAAGTAGGCTTGACTATATATATTAATTCATGGTAATACCAAGACATATTCTGGTAAATGTATTCTACCTTACAGATAAAGGAAGAATCTTGATAATCCAGGTAAGTTTAGGTCATGTATAGAGGAAAAAAAGAAATAAGAATAGCCTTAGATTTATTCAAATTAACTTTTAATGTTATAAGACAGAGAAGTAATATCTACAAAATCCTCAAGATAAGAAAATGATACCTGAGGGTTTTTATATCCAGCCCAAGTGCTCTTCAGTGAACAGTTCTTCGGTTATAAAGGCTATAGACAAGCAATTTTGAACATGCATGATTTCAGCATAATCAACCAATAGTTAATTAGGGAAGTTGGAGCAAAATAACTAAAAAACTAAAAAGAGTGTGAAGATTAGGCTGAGGAATAGAAGATAAATAATGTTCAAAAAATATAGGAATGATACAACTAATATAAATTATGAGAGGATCAGGAGGAAGATTGAAGGTAGAGTGTTTGCTGTTTGCTTAAACTTTTACAACCAAGAGTAAAAGCATGTATTTTAAAGCTGACAAATCAAGTGATTGAACTATATGCCTATTTAATAGTACAGAAGTATACACTGAAAAGGTAATATTAATGACAGAAATCGAGAAGTGGAGAAAAGAAAAGGAAAGGAGAAGAAAGAAGTACACCACTTTATCATTTTTCATAGGAGGGAACTAATAGATGATATCTAATGAAGTAGAGAACCAAAGAAGTTATATAAAGTCCTAAGTATAAATATAACCACTAAAACAAAAATGCAATTTTTCTAACTGTCAAAGTAACTTCACACACACACACACACACACACACACACACACACAAATAAAGAAAAGAGAGCTCATAGTAAAGAACTTGGCAAAGTAACATCAATACTGAAAAATATGCAGAAGCCAAGATCAAATACATCAGTCATATTAATAAATGTGAACAGGCTAAAATCACCTATTAAAAGAAAAAGACTGTCAGGAAGAAAGAAATTCTAAGCAGTATAAAAGAGACATATTATACCTAAAGCAAAGCCATTCATATAGATTTAAAATAAATATTTTGGCAAAGGTCTATCCATCAAATGCAGACACGAATAGAGAGATCATAATTAGACAAATAGGATCTCAAGTCAAAAAGCATTAAATGAGTCAAAGACAGACATGTTATATGTAAAGGTTGCCATTTGCAATTAACATATTTATTATCCATTGACGCATATCAAATTACCCTAACATTTAGCAGTTTAACCCAATGAACACTTATTATTTCATACAGTTTCTGAAGATCAGGAATCTTGGAGCTGCTTAGCTGGGTGGTTCTGGCTTGGTTCAGGGTTCCTCAGGAGGCTGCAGTAGGCTGCTGGCCAGGGATATAATCAGCTGGAAGCTTTACTGGGACTAGCAGATGCAGCTCCAAGCTCACTCATTTGGCTGTTGGGGCAGCAGAGAGAAAGGGGGAGGGAGGGAGGGAGAGAGAGAGAGAGAGAGTGCACCCGAGATGAAAGTCATGGTGTCTTTTATAACCTAATATCAAAAATAATATATACCATAATTTTTGTGATATTTTCATATTCTATTGGTCATAAAGACCAACCCTGATACATGGACTACACATGTATATGATACCAGGACATCATTGTTCATAACCATTATAGGTATCTATGCACAAAACAATATAGCATCAATATTCATAAAACTGAAACTACAGGAGCTACAAGGGGAAATAAACCATAAATACATGATTAAGGGAAGACTTAATTCAGTGATCATAGTATATGATTAGGCAAATGGACAAGAAATAGTCAAGGATAGAGAAGACTAAATATCATTTTGAAATCTATATTCCAAAAACAGATAATCTACCATTTAAAAATTCAGTTGGCCATAAAATGTTTGTGACAATTAATGTAAGACCAACAAGAAAACCTTGATAAATTACAAAAATAAAAATAAAAATAAAAATATTAATAATGTGGACACTGTAATGTTCCCAACAGAAAGAAAAGATAAACGTTTAAGGTGATGGATATCTCAATTATCCTGATTTGATCATTACACCTCATATACTGGTATCAAATCATCAACTAGTATGTATCAATACAAAAGTAAAAGTGATGGTTTAGACAATATTCTCTAATTCCAATAAGTTTAAATTAGAAATTAATACTAAAATCAGAAAACAAAAAAGCCCCTCTCTATTAATCAATTTTCACACTGCTATAAAGAACTACCTGAGTTTGGATAATTTATAAAGAAAAGAGGCTTAATTGACTCAGAGTTCTCCATGGCTGGGAGGCCTCAGGAAATTTACAATCATGGTGGAAGGTGGAGGGGAAGCAAGGCATGTCTTACATAGCAGCAGGAGAAAGACAGTGAAGGAATAACTGCCACTTTTAAACTTTTAAACCATCAGATCTTGTGAGAACTCACTCACTATCATGAGAACAGCATAGGGGAAACCATCCCCATGATCCAATCAACTCCAACCAGATCCCTCCCCTGACATGTAGGGATTACAATTTGACATGAGATTTGGGTGGGGACAGAGCCAAGACATATCATTCTGCCCTGGCCCCTCCCAAACCTCATGTTCTTCTCACATTTCAAAAGCAATTGTGCCTTCCCAACAGTCCCCCAAAGTCTTAACTCATTCCAGCATTAACTTGAAAGTCCAAGTCCAATGTTTTATCCGAGACAACAGAAGTCCTTTCTGCCTATAAGCCTGTAAAATAAAATATAAAAAACAAGTTAGTTACCTCCAAGATATAATGAGGGTACAGGCATTAGGTAAATGCTTCCATTCCGAAAGGGAGAAGTTGGCCAAAACAAAGGGGCTATAGGCCCTATGCAAGTCTGAAACCCAGCAGGGCGGTTATTAAATCTTAAAGCTCCAAAATAATCTCCTCTGACTCCATATCTTACATCCAGGGCGTGCTGATGCAAGGGGTGAACTCCCAAGGCCTTGGGCAGCTCCACTCCTGTGACTCTGCAGGGTAGAGCTCCTGTGACTGCTTTCATGGGCAGGTGTTAAGTGCCTGTGGCTTTTTCAGGTGTACAGTGCAAGCTATCAGTGGATCTACCATTCTGGGGTCTGGAGGATGGTGGCCTTCTTCTCACAGCTGTACTAGGCAGTGCCTCAGTGGGGACTCTGTGTGGAGCCTCCAACTTCACATTTCCCCTTCACACTGCCCTGCTAGAAGTTCTCCATGAGGACTCCACCTCTGTGGCAGACTTCTTCCTGGACATCCGGGCATTTCCATGCATCCTCTGAAATCTAGGTGGAGGTTCCCAAACCCCAATTATTCTCTTCTGCACACCCACAGACCCAACACCACATGGAAGCTGCCAAGGCTTGGGGTTTGCACCATCTGAGCTGTACCTTGGTCCATTTTAGCCATGGCTGGAGCTGGAGCTGCTGGGACACAGAGTGCCATGTCCCGAGGCTGCGAAGAAGAGCCGGGCCCTGGGCGCCCATGAAACCATTTTTTCCTCGTAGACCTCCAGGCCTGTGATGGGAGGGGCTTCCACGAAGATCTCTGAAATGCCCTGGAGACACTTTTCCCATAGTCTTGGCTATTAACATTTGGCTTCTTGTTACTATGCAAATCTCTGTAGCTGGCTTGAATTTCCCCCCAGAAAATGGGTTTTCCTTTTCTACCACATGGCCAGGCTGGAAATTTTCTAAGCGTTTATGCTCTACTTCCCTTTTAAGCATAAGTTCCAATTTCAGATCATCTGTTCATGAATGCGTATGACTGTACACTTTTAGAAACAGCCAGGTTACATCTTGATTGTTTTGCTGCTTAGAAATTTCTTCCACCAGATACCCTAAATCATCTCTCTCTAGTTCAAAGTTCCACAAATCTCTAGGGCAAGGGCAAAATCCTGCCAGTCTCTGCTAAAGCACAGCAAGAGTGACCTTTACTCCAGTTCTCAGTAAGTTGTTCATCTCCGTCTGAGAGCACCTCAGCCTGGACTTCATTGTCCATTTTACTATTAGTATTTTGGTCACAACCATTCAACAAGTCTCTAGGAAGTTCTAAACTTTCCCACATCTTCCTGTCTTCTTCTGAGCCCTCCAGACTGTTCCAACTTCTGCCTGTAACCCAGTCCCAAAGTTGCTTCCACACGTTCAGATATCTTTATAGCAGTACCTCACTCTCCCAGTACCAATTTTCTGTATTAGTCCGTTTTTACACTGCTATAAAGAGCTATCTAAGACTGGGTAATTTATAAAGAAAAGAGGTTTAATTGACTTACAGTTCCACATGGTTGGGGAGGCCTCAGGAAACTTACAATCATGGTGGAAGGTAAAGGGGAACCACAGCACCTCTTACATGGTGGCAGGGGAAAGAGAGGGAGGGGTGGAACTGTCACACACCTTTAAACCATCAGATCTCAAGAGAACTCCCTCACTATCATGAGAACAGCATGGGGAAAATCACCCCCATGATCCAATCACCTCCCATCAAGTCCCTCCCCCAATACATGGGGATTATGATTAGACATGAGATTTGGATGGGGACACAGAACCAAATAACATCACCCTCTATCTGGAAAATGAAAACAATCAAACAAAAACTTTGACCCAACAGCCTTGGGTCAAAGAGGAAATATGAATTGAAGAATATTTTAAAATGAATTTTGATGGAAATACTCCATGTCAGAGCCCATGGACTATGGTTAAAGGGGTGCACCCAGGCCAGTGTTGCTTGTGAATGAGTGGGTAGGGCAGATAGGAGCCACACTTTCTATACCTAAACTTTATCAGCAATAAAATAATATTTTGTCCTCCATCTGTTTTATTCTCAGTGGGTTCAGAATTTGGGCAAAGAAGAAGGATGTTATTTGTTGGACTGCCCGTATACTACTAAACGATGCAACAAGGCAAAAGAAAAATATTAGAGAGACAAAAGCTAGGAAGGAGGATGTAACATTAGCACTACTTGTAGATGATTTTATACCTGGAAGCCCTGAAGAACCTACAGGGAAACTATTGCCAACAGTAAGAGAATTTAGTAAGAGGGATACGTAAAGTTAAAAAACAAGAATTAACTACCATCATGTATAAATATAACCATTTGGAAGACAGAATGAAAGAAAAGATCTCATTTACAAGAGTAGTGACAATGACAACAACAAAAATAAACTACCTTTCAATAAAGTTAAAGGTAGTAGCAAGTCCTATACAAAGAAAATGTTGAAACACTTCTAAAGGACACAAAAGAAGACTTGAATAATTGGAAAGACCATGTTTTTGGCTAGGAAGACTCAACATCATAAAGATGTCAATTCTCCGTGAGTTAATTTCTAAATTTAATGTGAGCTCAATAAAATATCAGCAGTTTTATTTTTTAGCCAGACAAGCTGATTCTAAAGTTCATGTGAAAAAAAAAAAGAAACAAAAACATTCAGAAAAACTCTGAAGAGTACTATCAGGGGACTAGCTCTACCAGATATTAAAACATAATAGTCTCAGTAACTGAAACAGTGAGGAACTGATGCATGAATAGCAAGACAGGCCGATCAACTATAATAGAAAGTCCAGAAATAGAAGTTACTACACATATGGGAGCTTAGTATATGAAAAAAACTGGCTTCTAAGATCAGTGGGAGAAATGATTAACTGTTCAATAAATGTGGTTGGGGTCATTGGTTGGCCATGTGGAAAAAAAATAAAGTTAGATTCATACCTAGCACCATACACCAGGATAACTTCCAAATGGATCAAAGATTGAAAAACCAGAATAATGCCACAATATGCTAGAAGAAAACTTGAGAAAATCCTTTTGTAATCTTGGGATCAGAAAGATCTTTCAAATTATGACCTAAAATAGAGAAGACCTTAGAGAAAAAAAAATAGAAAAGTTACACTACATTAAGGAAATCTTTATGCCAAAATACAAAGCCAAAGATAACTTAATTGGGAAAGAATATTTGATACTCATTTCATCAGAAGGTTAATCTCCCTAATTTATAAAGTGGTCATAGAAACCAATGAGATAAAGAATCAAGAACTCAATAGAAAAATTGGCAAAGGATATGATCAAGTGGTTCACAGAAAAAGTTCTACCTCACTCATAATAGAAATGCAGATTAAAGCAACACCAAGATACCATTTTTCACCTGTCAGAATGATAAAAAAAAATCCAAGAATTTGAAATATATACTCTGTTGATAAGGCTGAGGAAACAATGCTGTTAGGGTATAAACTGGTCTGGTCTCCATGAAGGACAATCTGGCAAAAACCTATTCACATTAGAAATGTATGTATTCTCTGATCTAACAAATCTAAGAATTTAAAGGTTGATTTGCAGAATATGCAGAGGGAAGGGGCATATGCAGAGTTCTTTGTAATAGTTAAGATTGAAAACAACCTAAATACTCATCAATAGGGGAATGATTAAATAAACTATAATACATATATTATTCCCATACAAAAGAAAGCCATAAACCTATACAAAACATGAGGAATCTCTCAGTGTACTCACATGGCAGATCTTCAAGGCATACTGTTAGGTAAAATATCTAGTGTAAATGACACATCACAATTTGTGTGAAAAGATGGAGGGATAATTATATATTTATATTTGCTTGAATATACGTAAAAATCTGTGTTTATCTGTTTAGAAGTGGGATGGGGGAAAGAATGTGGGATGGACACTTTTATATCTTATTTTGCCTTATATAAATGTATTACCTATTTAAATAATTAAATACTTTTAAAAATCTCATAAATGAAAACATTTGATACTTGGTACAGGATTAAATAAATAGAGCAACAGATAAGAATAGAGAGCCTAAAAACAGACCCCTACCCCTATGGAAAATTTTTACATCAGGGGTCCCCAACCCCCGGCCACAGACTGATAAGGGTCTGTCACCTGTTAGAAACTGGGCTGCAGAGCAGAAGGTGAGTGACAGGTGGTGAGTGAGCCAGCCAGCAGGAGCAAACCTTCCTCTGTGTTTACTGCCACTCCCCATTGCTCGTGGTACTGCCTGAGCTCTGCTTTCTGCCAGATCAGCAGTGGCATTAGATTCTCACAGGATCACAAACCCTGTTGTGAACTGTGCATGTGAGGGATCTAGGTTGCATGCTCCTTACAAGAATCTCATGCCTGATGATCTGTCACTGTCTCCCATCACCCCTAGATGGGACCATCTAGTTGCAGGAAAACAAGCTCAGGGATCCCACTGATTCTCCATTATGGTGAGTTGTATAATTATTTCATTATATATTACAATGTAGTAATAACAGAAATAAAGTGCACAATAAACGTAATGCCCTTGCATCATCCCCAAAGCATCCCTGCCCCCATGTCCGTGGAAAAATTGTCTTCCACAAAACCGGTCCTCGGTGCCAAAAAGATTGGGGACCACTGTTTTACATGACAGAGGTGACATTCCAAACCAGTGGCAAATTGATGGACAATTCAATCAGCTGGGACAAGTGTTATCTATCTACAGATAGTTCTCGATCTATGGAAAAAGTAAAATTGTTCTGCTAACTCTCACTTTATGCAAAAATTAATTCTAGAATCAATATGGAAGAATATGGAAAACCAAAAACATAACAGTTTCAGATAAAAACCTAGGAGAATATCTTTCTGACCTCAGGGATTTCTTAAACAGTTTACAAAAAAACCAGAAACAAGTATGGGAAAACATGGATAGATTTGACTACATTAAAATTCAAATGTTTATATGCATCAAAAGACAAAGACACTACAAACAATGTAAAAAGAGAAGTTACAGACTAGGAGAGGATATATGCAACACATTTCACAAAAAAGTGATGAGTATGCAGAATACATAAAAAGACCTACAAATCAATTAGATATGCAAAGAACCTACAGAAAAATAGCCAAAATATGCCAAGAGTCAATTCACAGAAGAGAAAACCTGAATGGCCAATACATATTTGAAATGGCGGTTGGTCACACTATTAAGCAGTGAAAATCAAATTAAAATTACACTGTAATTATATTATGCACATATCATATTTGCAAAAATGTGAAAGTCTGACAATTTCATATGTTGAAGAGACTATGGGGCCATAGGAGCTCTCATACACTGCACATGGGAGAGGACATCTGTGAAACTACATTTCAGGGCAAGTTGGTAATATCTGATAAAGATCACACACAAACACATCTCATATATATATGAAATTCTCACATAAGGAAGCATGCACAGGAATATTTCTTCAATATTGTTTGAAAGAGTGAACAAGGCCGGGTGTGGTTGCTCACGCCTGTATTCCCAGCACTTTGGGAGGCTGAGGTGGGTGGATCACAAGGTCAGGAGATGGAGACCATCTTGGCCAACAAGGTGAAACCCCATCTCCACTAAAAATACAAAAATTAGCTGGGCGTGGTGGTGCATGCCTGTAATCCCAGCTACTCGGGAGGCTGAGGCAGGAGAATCGCTTGAACCTGGGAGGCGGAGGTTGCAGTGAGCTGAGATGGGAATCTCATTAAAAAAAAAAAAAAAAGAAAGAAAGAAAGAGTAAAAAGAAAATGCATGCAACCTAAATGTTGATCAAGAGCAGAATTGGTGAATAGGTTGTGGGATAACTCTATACTGTAAAGTACTATGTGTCAGTGAAAATAAAAAAAAAAAAGACCCAGAGCTACGTGAATCAATGTGGGGAAATCTCACACACACACTATTGGATGAAAACAAAACAAAACAGGACAAAACAAAAAAACAAATCGCAGAAGTATATACAGTAGGATAACATTTGTATGAAGTTTAAAGGCAGGCAAAATGATGCTATGTAATGTTTATGTTCACACAAACTCAAAAACATGCAAAATGATACTATACAATGTGTGAAGGAGTATAAGAGCATAAGATATAAATGGAAAGGATGCATCCTATCTGGGAGGGTGGTTACTCTAGTGGGAGGGAAAGGAATGAGGTTGAGGGGAGGTCCTCAGAGGTCTTCAACTGTATGTATATTGTTTTTATTCTTATCAGAATAGTGGGTACCGGGTGCTCATTTTCTTATTCTCTGTACCTTCTGATGTCAGACATATTTTATAATTGCAAAAGATTAAGTGTTCCTTTACAACAATAATAACTAACTAGAAAATCGAGTAAGTCCCCCCTTTTTGTTTTGTTTTGTTTTTTTTGTTTTTTTTTTGAGACGGAGTCTCGCTCTGTCGCCCAGGCTGGAGTGCAGTGGCGGGATCTCGGCTCACTGCAAGCTCCGCCTCCCGGGTTCACGCCATTCTCCTGCCTCAGCCTCCCAAGTAGCTGGGACTACAGGCGCCCGCCACTACGCCCGGCTAATTTTTTGTATTTTTAGTAGAGACGGGGTTTCACCGTTTTAGCCGGGATGGTCTCGATCTCCTGACCTCGTGATCCGCCCGCCTCGGCCTCCCAAAGTGCTGGGATTACAGGCGTGAGCCACCGCGCCCGGCCCCCCCTTTTTACAATAACAATAGAAACTATAAAGTAGGAATTAAGAGTGTGCAAGAACTTTTTGAAGAAAAATTTTAAACTTTAAGAAAATATAAAATAAGGCCTTAATAAAGGAATAGAAGCAACATATTGATGGACTGCATAGCTGTTAATTCTCCCCAAATTAACATATAAACTCAGTGTAGTATTATAACATTTCCCTCTCCCCTCATGCTCACCCTACTCTTTGAGAAAGACAGTTGATGTTTTCTTAGTTTTATAAGCCAGCATGTCTGAAGCACTGAGCAGTGTCTCACACACAGTAAACACCATCACATGAGACTATTATGATGGTTCAGTCCACCACCTCATAACGTGGACTCTTGCACTTTGATTTTTTGGGGGGACTCCTAAAAGATCAAGGTCCTTTGAATGTTAGCAGAATAAACGGTAAACCACTGATTGGTCAAGGGTGTGTGTGTATGTGTATGTGTGTGTGTGTGAGAGAGAGAGAGAGAGGGAGAGAAGTAGCTATGAGAGAGGCTACCATTTTCAATTTACAAAGGAGAAAATGGGACCTAGAGAAAGAGTTTTATTCAAGGTGTGCAGCAGTTGTGCTGAGAAGGAGAAGGAGGAAAGGTTGTGGAAGGGACTGGTGAGGCAGAAAGCTGGGACGGGAAAGAAGAGAGAGAAGGGAAGGCACAGTGAGGTTGCTGAGGAGGTAAGATTCCATTTGTGTCCCTCTGCTGGTTCACTGGTGATGGAAATAGTATTTGCTCTCCCCACTCATGGTCAAGGACACCTCCACCTCCTCTTCTGAGGAAATTACTTGTCAGTCTTCATGGAGCTGTTTCATTTCCCCACTGCAGTGGGGTTCTTTGGCCAGCTGGGCACTTCCAACCCTGACCACATCTCTCTGCACTCTCATGAAAAACCACGAGTTCTTAAATGGTCCAAAGCACAATGTCAGTTCCTGGGAGTTTCTACTGAAGGAATATTATTCATGACACTTGTTAAAGATGGTAAGGGAGACTTTTTCCAAGTGGGACTATTGCAACGGGGGTTTTGCAGGAGGGGAGAGAGATCAGGCTCAACTCTGAATACAGCAGGACAAATGGGGAATTATAGCCAAGGAGCAGGGTGGGGGGCAGTGTATGGAAAATTACTAAGAGGAAAGAAACATCAAGGGGAAGAGGGATTCTGGGTAACCTGACTCAACAGGATTCTTGCTGAAGGCAAGTTGGGTGATAAGCTATAGAGAGTGGGGATGAGGAATTTGATCATATATGGAGGGTGATCAGAGGCCGGGATTTTCACTAAACTGATCAGCAGGATTCTTTCTAAAAGTGCACTAAGCGAGCCAAGGATAGGGCCCTGAATCAGAGCCTAGTCCAGAAGAGGGCTCAGAGGAGCTGACTCAAGATCCGTCAAGGAGCAAGTCCTTGTCATTTCAGCCAGCATAATCCCTGGGAGTTTGGTGAGGGATGAGTGCCTGGGCCCTGCTTGGAGCAAAATCCCATGACTTCTCCCGGGCCAGTCCCTTGTGAGACTTGAGTCCAGCAGAACAGGATCATCAGTGGGACTGGTGTAGGTCTCCAACCTGGGGACAGATTCACCAAGGGTCTCAAGGCCCATGGGAGGGCTCTCCATCCCGAAATCATAGTCACCCCACACTGTCCATTTCACCTGCCCCCTCCATTGGACACAGTTGCATCTGCATGCACAGGAAGTGGTGAGCTGCTCTCTGGGTTAAGGCTGGAGATTCCTTGACTGAAAACATGCCACCCCTGTGGAGGGGACAGAACAGCCTCTCACTACAAGAAGATAGAGCAGAAAGTAGGGAAGGACACTGGTTTCCCTTCTGAATTCTGCATTCTGAATTGTTTCATCTTCACAATAACTCTATGAGATGGGCATGACTAATTCCTTTTCATAGAAGAAGAAAGTGAGGCTCAGAGGGGTGAAGTAACAAGGCAAGGAAACATAGTGAGCATATGGGGCTGATGGTGGTGGAGTCAAGAGCCAAACCTACAGACATCTGGTTGTAAAACTAGCTGTTTCTGGTACTATTCTATGATGCCTTGTGCTGGAATCACATGGCAGGGAATAATGTTAGAATTACTTTCTAAAACACTTGAGGCTGGAGCCAGAAAGACAATGACAGAATCCTAGAGCAAAACCTTGGAGATTACAAGGGAAGGACTCTCAAGAAGGGACCTAGTCCATGTCCTGATTATCTCAGGACATGAGGTCCTCTGGTCTTGCCTCCAAGTTTCCCTTCAGGTTGTAAATGCTCAAGCCCACAGCTCACTGAGCTCTCTGGAAAACCAATTTTTCACCTCTAAGCCTGTTACCCCCATATCACAATCATTATCCTCTGGGATGTGGCTCTTGGCCCATGGCATGGCTGCAGAGCCCAACCTCAGGCATGGACACCTACGGTTCCCACACTGGACTCCTGTGAAGTGAGAGACAACATCTTTGGTAGGTGAGGATGGGAATGTTTTATAGGAATGGTGGTCGGGGGCATGCCTCCAGGCCTGGGGCACAACCCTCTGTTGGAAGGAAGGGATCATACTGAGGGAGCCAAATCTGGAATCTGTTAAAAGTCGTCATCTCCAGTCCTCAATTTTCTTGTCCATGTTCCTAACTCTGGTGCCATACAGGTGGGTGTGCATGGGTGTATGGTGGATGTATATGCTTATGGCAAGTGTGTATAGATAATATTTACTTTGTGAAGTGCCTCCACTCTTCCTCATCCTTTTGCATTAATTCACTAAATCATGCAATCCAATAGGAAGAGCCATAAGCCTTTCCTTGGGTATCCGCACCTCTGGGATAATGTCCAAGCTACTCTGTAGACTACATCAGCCCTCCCTGACCTGGCCCTGATGGCCTCTTGGCCTCTTCTCTTGCCATTCCTACTTACCACCTGTACTACTCCCTCACCTCAGGTGCTTGCCATTCTCAGAGGCACCAGACTTACTTACCTCTACACTTTTGTACATGTCTCTCTGCCTGCAATGCCCATTCTCTCCCCTATATCTGGCCAACACAGTCAAGGGCCACTTCCTCCAAGAAGTCTCCTCTAACCTGACCAGGGTGGGCTGGCTGTGCTGGCCTCTGCTGAGGAACTTCCCCACACTCACCCCTGCCTTTGCCCCACTGTAATGACTCACTTTTTTTATTCTTCCCCTAGACCATGACCTCCTTGTGGGAAGTGGGTCTAAACCATCATGGTGTTTCTAGAGCCCAGTCCAGGGCTGGGCACAATGGAGGCGTTCAGTGAGTGTTTGATGAATAAATGAATGAATGAATGAGTTACACAGTGCCGGGGTTTATGAATGCTGGCCTTGGAATCCTGCTGCTTGGGTTGGAATCCCAGTTACTGAACTTGTTGTATATGACTGTGAGCAAGTTACTAATTTTCCTATGCCTCAGTTTTCTCATCTGTAGAATGGGGCTAAATAAGAGAAACTACCTCATAGTGTTGTTATGACGACTCAATGAGTCAATACATGAAAAACGTTTAAAATGGTGCATGGCACGTGGTAAGCAGCACAGTAAATATTAGTCATAATTATTGCAACTAAATCATTTATTCATTGATTCAATCATCACTCACTTTTTTCCATAAAAAATTTTCATCTAGTATCTTTTCTGTGCTAGGCACTTGGCTGGGCCTTGGAGCCACAGATAAAAATCAGGCAGCTCTTGTCCTCAATATGGAATCAGGGGAAAACAGAAGCAGATACTGGTAATTACATCCCCAGGGAGGGATGCCCAGTGCTTAGAGGGGCATGGCTCAGGGCCAGCAGAGACCCCGCACTTGGAATAGACAGGCCTCTCTCCTCCCAGAGATCCCTGGGGACAAGGCAGCTCTCGGGAGAGGGATATGTGTAAGTGAAGGCTGGGCCTGGAAAGCCTGTGGGGTCTGGAAGTCTCGGCTCGGCCTTCATGGACAGCTGAGCCCTGAAATCCAGGGCCTTTGATTTTTCATTGACTAATGCTGCATTTCATTGAACAGAAGCTTCCTGTTAAATCAAAACAGATGAGGTTTCAAAAATAATTCTAATTGATTCCATTCCTAAAGTTCACATCAGTAGCTCTCAGACCCAGCGAAGAGAGGAGTTGTGTCTGTACGTGTGTGTGTGCACGTGGCTGTGCATGTACATGCACAGGAGTGTATGATTGATAGATAACAAGAGCGGTCACTTTTCAAATACGTGTGATGCGTTTTTCCTATTTGACTTCATGTAGACTTCACAGCACCCCCAGTAGGTAAGTGCTATTATTAGCACCATTTCCAAATAAAGAGACTGGAGCTCAGAGGGCTCAAGTAACTTGCCCAAGATCATAAAGCTGTAAGTGGTAGAGTCAGGGCTTGATCTTCTTTCTCACTTCAAAGCCTCAATTCCTAGCAACACGAGAGAAAGATTAGGAGAGGAGGAGGCCACAGGGCGATGGAGTCACTGAGCCTGTTTGACCAGGCAAGGAACCTGAGAGGCGTGGAATGACAACGAAAAACAATCATGACAGATGCCATCTAGTGACCCCACCTACTACTTGCCAAGCTCTGTCACTGGTGATTTACAGATACTAAATCCTCACACTATTTCAGTGCAATAAGTATTATTTCCACTTTTCAGATAAGAAAATTGAGGTACAGAGGGATTTAAAAAAATCCTCCAAAGCCATATCACTAATGAATGTTTCCATTTCCCCAAATCTTTGTTTCTTTGTGGATATTATGTACATTATATGCACGTGTATATATGGCAGGAAGTTATGAATTGGGCCTGTTTCTTCAGAATATTGCATTTAGTTCTCATATTATGAGGTATGAGCAGCTTCATTCATTTATCCATTTGTTCACTCAACAACTCCCCTAGGCCCAGCTCTGGTTCAGGAAGTCAGAGCAGACAAGATGGACAAGGTCTTTGCTTGTCAGAGACAGACAATATGTCCCTGAATTGAGATAGCAGGAGGGCTCCAATTGGCTAGGGATTGGCTACTTTGGTAGGTAGATTTAGGAAGGGAGAACATTTACAAAAATAAAAAAAGAGCTGACTATGTAATGTTCTTGGGGAAGAGTGATTCAAGCAGCGGGGCAGCTACTGTAAAGATCCTGGGGCTGGAACAAGCTGGGTGCATTGGAGGACCAGAAAGAAGGCCAGCGTGGATGGTGCTGATGACAGGGAGCAGATGATTCCAGAGGCAGAAGCCTGGATTAAGTGGGCCTTGTAGACGAGCACAAGGAGGTTGGATTATGTTTTAATTGCAGTGGGGAGTCAACGGAGGGTTGTAGCAAGTGTGTAGCTTGATCTGATCTCCATTTATAAGGATTGCTTTGGCTACAGAGTGGAGAATGTTGAGGGACAAGGTAGGGAATGTGGAATCAGAGCAACCTGTCTGGAAGCTACTGCAGTGTCCAGGAGAAAGATGACAGTGACTGACTAAGATGTCTCAGTAGAGATCAAGGGAGGTGGATAGATTTGGGATGTGCTTCTGAGGAACAGTGCTTTCTGATGGATTAGATGAAGGGCATGTGGGACAGATGAATCAAAGATGATCTTTATGTGAGCAACCTGAGGCAGGGTGGAGACATTTACTGAGATGCAGGAAGACTGGGGAGTAGGATTTGGCGGTAAATCAGGAGTTGGACAGGAAAGTGGAAGATGCCAATTAGAAGCCTAAGTTGATGCATCTGGAGTTCATGGCTATGGATTTAGATTTTAGAGTCATGGTCAGAGAGTCAATATTTATAGCCAAAACACTGGCCAAGATCACATAAGGGAGAGTACGGGACAAAATCAAAAGGAGCCAAGGGAAACCCAATGCGTATCCATGAGTCAGCCATGGTTCTATTTCAAACTAGAAAGCCCAAAGTCCAGCCTTATGTGGATCTTTCAGGGCAACCATGGGGAAAGCAATGGGGGCTTCCAGGGAGGAGATCAGTGTTTGATCTCAGTCTGCTACTTTTATTATTTCCTAACTTCAGTGACTGCTCTTCATTGTGCCTTGGTTTATTCATCTGTCCAATGACAATAGTGCTCACCAGAGAACAGAATGAATTAATGACTGCAACAGTAATACAAGTATGAGGGACTGTACTGTTGCTTTGGGGTGAACTGGGAAGGAAACAAAATGCTTCAGGTAATTTAAGGTTCTGGTTTGAAACTGGAATTTCAATAGACCATGCTAACTGTAAATCCCAACCAATTTCAAATCATCCTCAAGTATTCTCCTTTAAAGACTTTCTCTAATCTCTCCAGTGCAGTGATTGACACCAATGCTACTCTCACTCCTGGCTGCCCCCTGGGGTAGAAGAGGAGGGGGAGGAAGGAAGTATCTGATTGCCAAGGTTGGGGAAAAAAAACTAGGCTTGAGTACCTGCTCACAGAGCACTTTCCCAGGTGACCCAGCCTCCTCTTATCTCCCAGCACCCCCCACCACCTCTCTCTCTCTATATATATATATATATACACACAAACACACACACATATGTGTGTATATGTGTGTGTGTGTGTTTGTTTATAAATGGAGTCTCACTGTGTGACCCAAGCGGTCTCTAACTTGGGTTAGTGCTCCCCCTACCTCAGCTTCCCAAAGTGTTGGGATTACAGGTGTGAGCCACTGTACCTGGCCAACACACTCATCTGCTACATGGGTGAGCCAAACCTACCACCCTGTGGACTTGTACTTTCTCTCCTCCCTTTTGCCTTCCTCCCTGAGGATGCTAGTGAATTGGCTAGAGAGCCATAGGTAGTGCTTCTGTTCAGCTCAAGTCCATAGATTGTCCTCGGCCTCTCTGTGCAGACCCTGTGTTGGGCCTGAGGAGATGAGACAATCCCATGAGAAACAACTGGGAATAGATCCAAGAGGGGATCAAACCCAGCGTGAAGTGTGTCACCAGGATCCTTCCAGTGCTGAAATAGTGGACTGAGACAGCCAGGGACATCTCCACTGCAGCCTCCAAGTTAACATGGTCCCGGCTGAGCCCACCATCTTCTCCACGCGCCCATGGAGTGTGTGCCACTCACTGCTGTCTCCTCCTAGACTGTAAACGCTGTGAAGGGAAGGAAGGTGCCAAATTTGCATTGTTTCCTTAGTGTAGGGTATAAAGCTAGTGTGGAGCTGGCCTGCAGACGGGTGATGAATGAGGAAACTGAGGCCACAGACCCTGAGGCTGCAGGGCCTGTGGAGAGAAAGGGACCCAGCAGGCAGGCTAGTGGGGCACAGGGTGGGCTCAATCCTGTTGGGTATGGTGCTTACAAATGGTTGTAGGGCTTTCTGAGAAGTGAGGGAGGACTTCTTGCTTGATTAGCCTGTAGTCTAGCTCTAGAGTCAGAATCACAAGAGACCGATTGAATTGGCCATTTACATGGGGGAAATTGTAAATGGGAAAGATAAACGTTGGAAAATTAGGCACTGACCCATGGGCTCACCAGTGGGACAGGGAAATCTGAACCGAGCTCATGGAAAAACTATAACCAGAGCAGGCTGAGCTGCATAGTCCCAGAAAAGCAGATGGGGACAGCCATAAAACATGACCCCTTTGAGTCAGCCAGGCCAAGCTGCACACTATTTTTAGATGCCAGGATATTTTTAAAGCATTTCTCTTCCTTTAAGTGCTGCCCTTTGCCCTTGTGGGCAGTGTGATTGGGGCAAGTCACTTAACTTCCCTGGTCTTCCATCTCCCCATCTGTGGAATGGGGTTTTATCTCTCTTTCTCTCTCTCTTTCTGTCTACCAATACAAGTCTGCTTGGGTTAAGAGAGTTCTAGAGAATGTTTTTTGCTAGAACATCCTAGATACTCTGAGATTTTTGATTCCCACCTTCACTTCCCCTCTAAGCCCTAATCTGACCAGGGAACCATGTATAATTTTTCTCTGGGTGTCTCTGGCCAGTCCAGTGCTCACATGGATTTTTGTTTATTGCCATTCTGACATGGCTTCCGGGTTCCCATCCTAACTTTCAGACATAATGTCCTCTAGAGTAGGGCAAGACCTTAAAGATGATCTTATCCAACCCCCACTTTTATAGTTGGAGAAACTGAGATCTACCTAAGGGCAGATTTAGGACACGAGTGTGGATCTTCTGACTCCGAGGCTAGGACTCTGCCCAGCCATGGCCTGCCTCCCAGAGCCTAGAGCGTCCTGGGCAGAATAAGATGGGGAGGCAAGGAGGGAACTGTGGCTGGTGGTCCTTGGATCTCACTTCTTGGGATTTGATCAGTCTCTCGAGGGACCCTTCTGCATCTCATTTCCTCCCATCCATTTTAAGGGCAAGTTGCTTGTAAAACAGTAAAACTTATGTCATCATAGCTGGGAAGTTTGGAACGGGTTATGAAAATGTGTGGTGGGAGTAGGGAGATTGTTTTTCTTTTTCCATTTCTCTTTTGACTTTCTCTTCCAAGAGCTGAACTGGAATTATCTGGAGCCCAGAACTCCTCAAAAATGAATGCCAGCAAGGGCCCAATTGTGGAAAACTGTGAGGAGCGGGCATCACTCAGGCAGGCATTTCCGGGAAAGGTTGGGTGTACACCTTCACAGGAGTCTGAGTGGACTGTGGAATTCCAAGGCTACAGCCTCAGAAATATATCTGAGACATTTCTTAAGAAGAAAGAGAACATGGAAGAAGTGAAGGAGATAGACAACAGGAGAGACTCAAACTGAAGCTGGAGTTTGGGAAAGAGAGAGCCCCACAGGAGCAGGGAGGGGGCCGGGGCCAAGGTGGTGGAACAGTGTAATATTGGGGAAAGCGCTTTTGCCTGAGTGTCAGAAGACCTTGTCCAGCCCCTACTGCAAACTCTGCAAGACCACGAGCATCTCCTGACCCTTGCTGTCCTCATCCCCAAAATACAGAGGCTGCTCCCTGACCTGCTCAAATGGCTGTTAGTCCATGGAGATTCTGGAGTGATAGCATCATGTAATGGTCTAAACAAAGAAAAGGAAGCATTTTGGACATCATTGTTATTATTTGTGAAGGATGGTAAATCTTCATCTTTGGCCTTGGGAGAATCACAGCAGAGAGAGCCTGGCCTGGGCCGCCATAGAGCCCTGAATGGGCATCTTGCCCCAAGGCCCTGTCCTATGGATCCACTGTCCAGGACAGGTCAGTGGCATAGTCTCCCATGTGCAGAACCAAACGGTACAGCGCTTCTCACTGTATGGGCCCACCTGTCCACCATCTAACGGAGTCCTTGCCCCAAGCCTACAGAGCAGGTACGGCAGAGATCATTGATATGATCTTATGGTAAATTGCTCAAAGCCATGTAGTTACTAAATGGAAGAGGCAGACCTGGAGCCCACACTTGCAAATTCTGACCACTGGGCCCCTTGCCTCCCTAACAAGTGAGTACCAGCAAGTTGGCCTGTAGCCACAAACAGAGTAGGTGTCACTTGTTGACTCTTGCTGGCCTGTCTCCACACTTACCTTGTGCCAGGCCCTCTCCTAAGTGCTCCACAAGCACAGCAATGCACTTTAATCCTCACATCAACTCTAGGAAATCGGTGCTATTATCATCCCATGTTTTCTGGGCAAACAGAGGCACAGAAAGAGCAAATCAATTGCCTGGGGTCACACAGCCAGGAAGTGGTAGAGCTGGGATTGGAACCCAGGCAATCTGGCTCCAACACCCCATCTTCTTAAACACTAGCTATATGCACATTCCCTGGAGGAATTTCTTGGAATAAAGTGGCATGTGATGACTATCTTATTCTTTCCTCAGATCAGCTCATAGCAGGAAGGCCAGAGAACCCCAGGCCTGCGGTGGGAAAGGCAGTCCCTCTGAGTTCCAGCATGAGGTTTGTTTAAGTCTCTCTTGGTACTGGGGAATCTCATGTGCCATGGGCCAGTTGACAAGAGCACTCTTGCCTCCCAAGCTCCTCCAACTCCATATGCAGCACCATAATCTGCCTAATTCTGTGAGCCATAAACCAGGGTGTGATTCCTGATCCCCCAACCCTTTGCTCTCCTTCCCCATAGCCAATCCACCTGCGAGTCCCATCCATTCTGCACCACCTGGTGCAGAGCCAGCCTCTTGAATCTGTTTACCTCTTCCTGCTTCCCCTGCTGCCACCTCCTGGACTCACAGCCTCTGCTTCCCCTCTCACCCCGCTACGGTCCATTCTCCACACAGCTGCAGGAGGGATTTTCTTAAAATGTAAATCAAATCATGTCACTCTTCAGCTTAAAAACTCTTCATTGCACTTAAATAAAATCCAGATTTCTGGCCATGCCTAGAAGATCCTGTGCGACCCAGCCCATTAACCTCAGCAACTTCATCTGTGCCTCTTTGCCTCTCACTCATCAGGCTCCAACTAGGCCAGTTCCTTTCAGTTCCTGTAACATACCAAGCAACTTTCCTCCCCAGGGCCTTTGGACATGCTGTTCCCTCTGCCCACACAGTTATCTTTCACTGTTCCTGATGAGAATCCTCATAAATGCCATGTTTTCAGGTCTTCTCTGGCTGGCCTCTTGTTGGTTTTCTTCATATTTCTTTTTATGGTTCGGGATTATTTTAGTTAGTTTTCCATTTTTCTAACCTTTCTCTTTAGAATGTAAAATCTTCAAAGAGAAGGATTCCTATTGAATCACCTAGCATCAACTGGCACATGGTAGATATGCATAAGTACTGTTGGATGAATGGATGGATAAATGAATCCTGGATAACCAAAAGGGAGTCTATGGAAACTTCCCTTTGCCAATTACCTTCTTCCCCTGCCCACCCCTGGCCAATCTCTCCACTCACAGACAGCTAGCTCCTCTCCTCCCTAAAATCCCTTGGGTGGGGGCACATTCACCCATTTTCCTGAAACAGCCTCATCATTCCTAGCCCTGGTCAAGCTTTCATTAGCTTGTTTGATCTATATGACCAGCTCATCTGGTTTGGCTGTGTCCCAACTCAAATCTTGTTTGGAATTGTAGTTCCCATAATCCCCATGTGTCATGGGGGGGACCCGGTGGGAGGTAATTTAATCATGGCGGTAGTTACCATCATGCTGTTCTCTTGATAGCGAGTGAGTTCTCATGAGATCTGATGGTTTTATAAAGGGCTTTCCCCCCTTTTGCTCAGCACTTCTTGCCATCATGTGAAGAAGGACATGTTTGGCTTCCCCTTCCACTGTGATCGTAAGCTTCCTGCGGCCTCCCCAGCCATGCAAAGCTGTGAGTTAATTAAACCTTTTTCCTTTTTAAATTACCCAGTCTTGGGCAGTTCTTCATAACAGTGTGAGAACGGACTAATACAACAGCCTTTAAGGAATATTTCCATTTTACAGGTGGGAAAGTGAGGAAAAGTCATGTCATTTGCCAAGGCAATAGGGATAAGAAGTGAAGGAGGCAAGCAGGACTCTAATCCAGGCAACCTGAGCCTGGAGCAAATGCCCACGCCATGGCCCATGTCCACTTTCTGTGACAAGCACATGGGTGTGTCCCTCCAAGGTACAAGACTGTTGAGTGACTTGGCATCTCACACAGTAGTGTTTCCCAAACTTGCCTGGTTTATAAGAATCACCTAGGGCGCTTAATAGAAATACAGATTCCAGATTCCCAGGTCCCTTGCCAAGGGGCTCTGTCTCAGTAGGGGTGAGGTGGGGACCTGGGAATCTGTATTTTTAAGAATTGCCACAGGTAATTCTGATGATCATGAAAGTTTGGAATACACTGGTCTAGAAGATAAAACCTCTACCACACAGCCTAGCCTACAAGGCCTTTGCTGTGGCAGCTCCTGTTCACTTCTCTGGACTCATCCATCCATGACACCCCCTGGGCCAATGCTCCATTCTTTCTATGCCTGTCTACTCACTGTTGCCAGAAAACCCATATGGCATCCAGACCCTGTGCCTTTGCTTCTGCTGTGTCCCCCACTGCAATACTCTCCCATCTTCTCTCTCTTGCCTCTTCCTCCTTCCCAGATGGTTCTGCTGAAATGTCCTATTCCTCAAGGATATTGTATCTAGATTGGACCCCTAGGGCAAGGTTGCGACTGGGGCTTAGAATTTCAGAACTTCAGAGCTGGAAGAGACAGGGAGACCTTGCCATCTAACCTCTTTATTTGACAAGTGAGGAAACTGAGTCCCAGAGAGAGGAATGGACCTACCTGAGGTCACAGAGTGCTATGGCAGAGCCAGCAGTGGGTGTATCTGGGGACCCACCTAACCCCTACTTAATTCAGTTAATTTTTCAGACTTCCTTCTCAACTGAGTATTTCTAGAAAAATCCATTCTCTGGTCATGAAAATGCAGGGCAGACAGTGGACTTCTTAGTCACTCACTCAACCAACACTGAGTTCCCACTGTGGGCCAAAGGGTAATGTTGGCTTCACACCTTGGAGCTCATAGATCAGGGCAGGGACCAGGCACAGGGGTCACGAGCCACAGTCATTGTGGTTGCCATCATGTAATAATATGTGTAATGGATAATTTTAATTGAGTGATGACTCTATGCCAGCCTTTGAATCAATGTTTACTTCTCCCTATAGCCCCGCAAGGTAGATGCTATTACCATCTTCATGTCATGGCAGTGCCTGCTCTGACCTTCAAGTCAGGGCCCAATTTGGGGATCCATGGAGGGGAGCCTTCCCTCTGCTGGCTGGAGTAGGGAGAGCTTTTTGAAGAGGAGTGATGAGCTCACCTTGAAGGATGAGTAGCTTGGACTTGAAGATGTGAGTTGGGGAGGGCATTTCAGGTAGCAGGAAGAGATTTCAAAAGACTTGGAAGAGGGGACATGTATAGCATGGGAAGAGGTGAAGAGGGTGAAGCGGTGGTGGTGGGGATCCCAGCAAGAGGGCAGGGCCAGGTGGGAAGTCAGCCCTGCTTATCCCTGAGGGCAGGACTCCCGGCCTGTGTTATCTCCACAGCCATATTAACAGCACCATCAGCAAGGCCTGGGGTTGTCTCTGAACTTGGAAATTGGGGCCAGGGAGCCTAGTGAGGCTGGGTTCTTAGTTGCAAGGCCCTGGCAGCAGCGACTTTTCAGGGTTGTCTGACAGAGGTCTCCACTCGGGTGACTGTGCAAGGTGAGGAGAAGCAGGCATTCCTGTGTGCTGGCCAGATAGGGCTCTGTAAACGCCTGTGGAATGTGCGTGCGTGTGTGCATGGTGTGGGTCTTCAGGGGGTTGTGCAAGCTGTTAAGTGTGGGATCTCTGTGTGTGTGCATGCGTGTGCATGCACGTGTGTTTCTAAGGGGTGTGCTGCCTGTTCGGCTCTGTGAACCTGTGTGTCTGTGAGTCTCTGCAGGCGGGTGCATGCATGTGTGTGGCGTACGTGAAGCTGTGGGTGTGGGGCCGTCCTGTGTGTAGTTGCTCCCCTCAGCTGGTGTTAAACACTCTTTGGACAGCTCAGTAGGTAAACATTCAATAATGTAATTTGGAAACCCGTCCCCAGGGCTCTGCTGTGTGGCCAGGCAGCTGGCCGGTGGTGGCTGGATTAAGATATTAGCGCATTAATGTCGTATCAAAGCCCAGTACCCTCAGCCTCGGGAGTGTCTGCTGACAGCCCCACCATGCCCAGGGCTTCATGGGCCGGCCGCCCCCGCCACATCCCTCTTGGAATCACAAGGAGGCCTTGTGTTCAGAGCCCACTCTGAGAGCTGCAGGGCTCTGCAGACATGAGCTCATGCCTGCCGGTCCCTTCAGGAGGAGGTGGGTGGCCTGCCCAACCACCAGGCCTCTTTCCCATCGCAGGGGCCAGGCCATGGGAGCAGTGGAAGCTGGCCTTTGGGTCTGAGCTGGTCTTTTGACCTGGCCAGAGTAGATTCTTATGTGTTTGTTGAATGAACGAATGACTGAGTCTCTTTCTAGGAACTTTCTTAAAATTCCTCAATAGCATGGGCCAAGTCCCTCTCACCTTGATACTCCCAGTGCCCTAGCAGTGCTTGGTACTCAGTTATTGTGTATTGAATAATAGACTGCTGGACTGCTGACTGCTAGAAGGGTACTGGACTGGAAGTCAGGAGACCTGGATTTGAGGCTTGATTATTACCTTTAATCTGCTTGGTGGCTGGGGATGGAGTGGGGGGTGGGGCAAGGCAGAGGGCCCTTTACCTAACTGGGGACACTGGGGACACCTAACTGGGGACACACGACGTAAACAGTGATTCTGATTCTAGCCTTTAGTGTCACACTCTGTGGGTATGCAGGTGGTGGCTGGGTCTGACTCCTTTTCCCTGGGAACCGAACATGTGGAAGGTTGAAAATATTGGCGGAAATCATCGTAAGGGGAGGTCCTCAGGACTGACAAGAAGAAAAGGGGCCAATGTGCAGATTTCTACCGAGTAGATGGGCTGGGGAAGGGAGGGGCACAGTGCTCAGATAGATGACTGGGGTGTCTGAGGCTAGGGCCATCTCAAAGAAAATTTAGCCTGATCCTCCATTGTATAGCTCTGCAAACTGAGGCCCAGAGGAGAGAAGGGGTGTGACCAAGGTTGCTCTCCCAGAAAAGCAGTGTCCATACTAGGACCGGGACCATCTCTGAGCAGAGGGAGTCTGCTGTTCCTGGCATCTGAGGCTGCAGGGAAGAGGCTAAATAAGGAAAGGGAGAGGGTAGAGAGTGAGGCTGGGCACTAAACCTCAGGCTGGTGAGAAACTTTACCTTTTCATCCATTTACCTGGGGCCTGCCCTGACCTCAGGTAGTCAAGAAGCATTTTCTGGCAATTAGACTGCTAAACAATGGCCAGTATTGTCAGTAATAACAGTAATAGGCCAACAGGATTAGTGACGGTAATAAAAACTACCTTTGATAAAGGCCTCACTGTATGCTGGGTGTTATGTTAAGTGCTCTACACATTTTGTCATATTAATCCCCACAAAAACCCTATTCTCACAAAAATCTCAGAAAGGGACAGTTATTTGCCTCAGATAACAGTGCTGGTAAGCCAAGGACTTCTTTACCACTAGATAATACTGTGATCCCTTGAGGTCTTGGGCTTCCTGCCTCCGGCACCTGAGCGGGGGCTGGTGGCCCCTTTAGGGGAGATGTGGAGGGGTCCTGGTTTTGAGGCCATTGAAAAATGGGGGAAAATATCAGACCTGATGACTTGTGAGTCTATCATTCTATTCCTGGAAGAGCTTCTGGCTGCTGTGAATCTATGCTCTATATGAAAGTCAAGGAGTTTCAAGACTTATGTTAACTTCTACCAGCCATCATGATTGTTTGCTCCTCTGACCTTGAAGGAGGTTGCTGATAAAAATAAGGAAACTGTCCCACAGCCCCATGTCTGCTTCCCAGACCAAGGAGGAGTCATATCCACCAGCAAATGAGGGACAGAGTGGAAAGGACACACTTTCTGCCTGTGGGGACTCTTGCTTCTTGGCGTCCTAGTTTTTCAGAGTTGGGGATTCTTTGGAGATCATTGGCTTGAGGCTCGCCTGCTGTAACAGAGCAAGTTAATAGAAGAGTCATACTATGGAATCATCTCATCGATTCATTTTTACCCCACTCAGCTCAGCTTACTTTAGCTCAACTCAGCTTAAATCAATGCAGTGGAACTCAACTCATCACTCAGCATGGTACACATGGAGCTCAACCAACTCATCCAACCCAAACTAAACAAAAGGAGCAGAGCTCAATCCAAACCGATTAATCAAATTCTACTCAGCCCTCAACTCATCGCAACTCGACTCACATTCCAGGCAGGAGAGACAACATGAGCAGAGACATGAAGGCAAGAACGCTTGCTTGGGGGAAAACAGGAGCATAGTGGGCCAGGGCAGCCTGACAGAACAGCACAGTGGAGCCAGAAGCACCAAAATGGCACAGATTGGGAGGAACCTGGGGGTTCTCACTGCCATGCTGTCCTGCAGGGTCAGGCAGACAGTTTTGTCTACCTCCACACTTGCCTGCCTCTCAGCTGATGCTGTGAGTTCCTCGAAGGAGCTCAACTCCGCAGAAAGAGGGGGTACCCCAGAGCTCTGCTGAGGAGCTGCGAGCAGCAGCAGTTGCCTACTAGGCCTCTGCTGTGGTCTTGGGGAGGATGCTGGGAGGGGAGGTCTAGCCGCTGCCCCTCCCACACAGGTTTTCCTGGGGAGCCACTGAGATTCTCCATAGTGTGGCAGAATCTGGAAGAAGAGGTTGCCTTCCTTTTCCAGGAGCTCCAGAAAGGAAGGGGGCAACCACCCCACGCTGCATGGCTTTGGTCCCGGCCATGCCACTTGTTAGCTCTGTGTATGGCCCATGGCAGGGCACATAGCATCTCTTAGTCTCCATATCTGTCAGTGGAGCCCTCATATGTTATCGTGAATGTCTAATGAGGTGGCACCTCCTAGATTTCAGGTGCTGTAGCTTGAACTTAGCTCATGCACGGCACTTGGCATCTAGGAGCTGAGGACAAACAGCAGAGTGCCCTACCTAACTTCCTCCTCACCAGGTGGGAAGAAGGCCAGGCACCACGCTATGGGGAACGACAACCTGGGTGACTATCCCAGCTCTGCTACTTACATCAACCAGTGATCTTGGAACAATTACCCACCCTCTCCTGAGCTTCAGTTTTCTCAAGTGAAGCCAATTCAGCATTTATCTTATGGCATTGACAGGACAGTTGAAAGCACTTGACACAGATCCTGACACTTAGCAAACATTCAATACATGCTTTCATTATTACCCACCTTCTCCCATTTGAGATAGAAATCAAAAATAAGAAAAAGCTCATTTTCCTCTGCTTTGGGCCGTGACATCTCCACCTGTCTAGTGGGTGTGCCTAGCACACTGCAAGGTCCCTTGCTTCTGATATTCTAGGATTTCTAGTCTATGCAGGGCATGAGTCTCAGGGCCAAGTAAAGGCAAGGGGACATGGGGTTGGGGGCAGTTTTCCAATATGCTGGGGTGAGCCCCAGAGTGTCCCTGAACCACAACCTCTGCAGGGCCCCGAGCCCGCCCCTCTGTCCTCCCCTGGGGCTGTCATGGGAACAGTGCAAACCGATGTGCAGCAGCTTGTGATAAATATGCATGAATGGGCTGTGGCCGCGGCCCCTCCTCAAGTCCATTTGGGGCACCTCAGTGAGCTAATTGAGGGTGGCCATTGTCCCTGTGCTCCCAGTGCCTGGGCCCCGTTTTCACATTCAAGTGCCTGGCCTCGGTTTAAAGTGGCCGAGTGGCGGGTGCTATTTTATGCAACAAAAGCCCCTCGAGAGGCTGGACAGAGAACTCCGTGGGCTGGCCCATTGCCTGAGCCCATTCCTGTCCTGGGCCAGGGGGATGGGGGGCCACACCAGACCACCTGATCGCAATTGAGGTGGAGGCGGCAGGCTGGGCACAATGGGTGCTCGAGAGGCCGCTCAGCCGCTGGGATGAATAGAGGGGACGCTTTCCTTCAGCCCCCATTAGAACCTGGTATAATTTCCCCCTGAATGGCAGTGGTGAGGGGTGGGCTCTCCAGGATGAGAAGGGGAAGGGGAGAAAGCCAGAGGCCCTTTGAGACCCACCCAAAAGGCCCTGCTCCTTTGCCCCCCTCTGCTACCAGGAAAATGTCCACTTAGCTTGATGATGCAAGTGGTCTTCATCAAAGGCAGAGAACTTCAGGACCACGGGTGGAGGGGGAGAGTGCGGTCATGCCTTGGGGTGTCTCACCTCCACCCACAACTCCATGGTGGGGGCTCTCAGCTGAAATATAAAGAAGAAGAGAACAGCAAGACACCACCCCCCAACATACACACACTCAGTGGGGGCCCCTTTCGAATGCAGGGGCCAAAGACTGGATGGTCCAGGGCATTAGCTCTGTGTCTGAGCTATCAATGGCACTAGCAGAGAGGAGAGGGCAGGAAGAAAGGGGGCTGCTGCACCCTAACTCCATCCACCGATGGGGAGCACATGTGGAGAGGGCAGCAGCGCCGAGGTCCCAGCACCTCTGTCCTGGGTGCTCCTCAATTCTCACAAGCCCACAGGGGGAGAAGGGGTCAGTTTGGTGTGATGGAAAGGCTGAGCTCAAACAGCTGTAACGACTTGCCCAAGAGCAGGCACCAGAAGGCAATGGGGCACAGTGGTGAGGACACAGCGTGTTGGAGGCATTGGCTCTGACCATGAACCCCATAGGGCATGTGGTCAGAGCCAAGGACAGAACCCTGGGGAACTGAATATGCAGAAAAGGTGTGTATTCAAAGAATAACAAGCAGAGAAAGCAGAAAAGGAAGTGGCCCGTGAAGAGGACAGTGGGAGAACTGGAGTGAGCACTGTCCCAGAAACCAAGAGAAGAGAGAATTTCAAGAAAAAGGGAGTAACCAACAGTTTCAAATTCAGCAGAAGCTCAGGCAAGATGAGGACCGGAAAGTGTCCATTTAGCACAAGGAGGTTCCCAGCAGCCTTGGTGAGCACTGGCTCCTGGCAGCTGATAGGTACCAGCCAGACTGGGGTGGGTGGAGGGGTGAGTGTGGTGTGAACGGTTTGAGAAGGGCTTCGAGAGGTAGGGCCAGAAAAGAGGGGCCTGTGGAGGAATAAGCGAGGGGCTGGGGGGATTTGAACCTGCTCAGAGGCAGAGGGGAGGGGCTTCTCAGCTCTTGGGCCATAAGGCAGTGCCATAGGCTGTAGTGGTTAAGAGCTCAGATGCTAGAGTTAGGCTGCCTCAATTCAGATCTTGGCTCTACCATTCTCCAGCGATAGTCCTTGGGGTTCCTCTCTGAGCCTCAGCTTCTGAAGCTTCATCATGGTATTGTCATGATGAAATGAATCTATGTCACCCCTTAGCACAGTGCCGGGATGTAGCCAACACTCAATAAAAGTTAACTCCGTTATTATCTTACTTTTATTATTATTCTCTGCATACCAAAGCTAAAGATTTCAAGCCACGTGGCACTGGCTGTGAATTCCACCTTTGCTACTAGCTGTGTAACTCTGGAGCAGCTCAGTGCATTCATTTCTTTCTTAAGGTGGGACAGCCGTACCTGTCTCACAGAGCTGCTGAGGGGTCACCCAAATCCAGTGGTCCTGCAACTCCCCCAGACTTTTCACCTGTTCTGTCATTTTCTTCATCATCAGCGTGTGAAGTGGTATCTTTATTGCTCCCATTTGACAGATGAGGATACTGAGGCTTACACAGGGACCTGATTTGCTCCAAGTGACAGAATGACATCTGGCAAAGCCACAGTTAGAATCCAGAGGTGTCTGGCCCTAACCTCTACTTTCCACTATTTCAGGCTTTGGAGAGGAGACACTGTCTGAGGACCACCCCAGTTTCAACCTGTCATGGAAACAAGGCTGGACCACAGCAAAGCCCAGGGAAGAAGTAGCATAGAGAGCTCAGAAGGCTTCCGGGGGGAGGTGGCTTGTGGGGTTATGGCATGGTTGGAAATAGTGTTCCCATCCTTGGGCATAGGATAGGAAAAAGAAGGAAGTGGCTCTGATGACAGAGAGCTAAAGGGCCAGATGGGAAAGGACCATCTGTAAGGATGGCCACCACACATCCCACTCTGTGCTGGTGGGAAGATTCTAGCTTGGGCATGGACAAGTCTCTTCCTTCTTTGACATCTCACCATCCTGTCCCTCCCTGTCTTCCTTTCCCTGCCCTTTACTCCATCCAGCCACTGTGTCAAGTTCTTCACTAGGCGCTTGGGATGAAGACATGAATCAGAGTCCCTGCTCTGAGGGTTTCACAGTCTGGGGGACAGGGCAGGGTGCAATAGAAAAAGGATATTAGTAGAAATCATTATGCAAGATAGTATTGTTTGATTGCCCACAGGAATAGAGAGCTCACTGCCCCATGAGTTCACCTTGCTTTCTGCTTTTCTCTTTTGCAGAGGCATATCCCAGGCCCAGAGAAAGTGTGGTTTTGCTAAGAACACATGAACCTTCACATCAGAGTCAAGACCTGGCCTCAGGGGCTCAGTGGGACTCCACTCAAATCTGCCTCTGGGCCTTTGGCAGCTTCCCAGAGCCAAGGAGAGACAGCAGGGGGACAGTGAATGGTAGAAATGTTTTTTGTCATGAGAGGCAGTACACTGGGGGAGTTAAGAGCACAGATGGTAATGCCAGACTGCCTGGGTTCAAATCCCAGCTCTGCCATTTACCAACTACTCAACCCATCTGTGCCTCTGTTTCTTCATCTGTAAAATGGGGATAGTCGTAGCAGACATCTCCTGGGGCTATGGTGAAGGTTACAGGAATTAAGATACATAAGGTGCAGCCAGGCACTGCAGTTGTTCCTCTGTAGCCATGGTTTTGCTTTCCATGGTTCAAGTTGCCTGTGGTTAACTGTGGTCCAAGAACAGGTGGGTACAGTACAATATTTTGAGAGAGACAGCGCACATTTACATAACTTTTATTATGATATATTTTTATAATTATTCTATTTTATTAGTATTGTTGTGAATCTCTTACTGTGCCTAATTTATAAGTTAAACTTTATCATAGGTATGTATGTATGTATAGGGAAAAACATAGCATACATAGGGTTTGGTGATCCGTGGTTTCAGGCATCTGGGGCGGGGGATCTTGGAGTGCCTTCTTCCAGGATCAGTGGGGACTGCTGTACTTGACTCTCAGGCAGCAGGTGCCAGTGCAAATGGCCAGGCTTGGTCTCAGATAGGCCTGATTTTATACTCTCTGCCTAATTGTACAGTGTGGCTGATCCCTCCGTGAACCTCAGTACTTCATCTATTAAATGGGACCATAGTAGTACCTGCCCCCCAGGCCTGTGGTGCAGATGGGTTGAGATGACAAGGCATGTGGACCGGGAGAGTGTCACATGCGTTACCTGCCTGCCACATCTCAGGTGCTGTCCTGGGGGTCAAGTGGTACCTGACAGCCACTCAGTGGAGACTTTCAGGGCCCAAACCTTTCTGCCGACGTGGTATTGCCCACTGTGCTTAATGTGGAGTTAAGTAGAGGAAGCCAAAAAGGCCAGGTGCACACACTCCCCCTGAACCCTGGCTTTTCCAGCTGGATGCTTCCACCTAGGGCACTGAATCTGGAGCTAGTGATGCAAAGAAGCAGAGATGATTAAAATTTATCCCAGCAGGAGCAGACAGGCTGCCTGAACCTGGCTGTTTCTGGGGAACGACCCTGGCTATGATACTTGTCCCTGGTTCCTGCCTGTTTTCTGAGCCTGGTTCTTCATTCAGGATTCCCTTTAATCCTGTGGACCATCCAAAAGCGTCCTAGTACATCCTTCTCCTCTTCTTCCTTTTCTACATCCTTTTCCTCCTCTGCCTCCCCTCTTCTTCTTCCTTGCCTTCCTCATCTTCCTCATGGTTGTTGCCATCCTCCTCCTCCTTCTCTTCATCCCTTTTCTCCTTCTCCCTCCACCTCCTGTTCCTTCCTTTTCTTTCTCCTTCTCCTCCTTCTTCTTTAAGTTAGTCAGAGTTGATTTCTGTTACTTGCAACTAAGAACCATGACTGATCCATTTGGAGATTTACTCATTGCCAGAGCTAATCTGAGGTACTGATTCATATTTAGATGTGAGCGGTTGATAAAGCCAGGAGGGCCTCTAGAGATTACAAAGTGTAGCTTTCTCATTGTGAGAAAATGGGGGAAATGGAGGTCCTAGGAAGTGAGGCAATTAACCTAGGATCACACAAAATTAATATCAGGGCTGTAGCTTGAATGCCAGCTGAGGGTACCATGAGTGGAAATTCTCCTGGAGACATTTTTTGAGGCCTTTTACACCTTCTATGTTGCACCAAGAACCCTCCATGGCTGTATTTAAGTTAATGGTGGCTATTTTTGGCACAGAAATACACCAGGGGAGGCATCATTGTATTGAGGCTTTGTCTTCTCGTCTCCCCACCCGTTAGGCAGTGGCCGCATGAAGGGCCAGCCCTGAACTCTGGAGCTTCCCTCCCTGTCCCGCGCCCCTCTGCCTTCATTTCCCCTGGATGGGATGGCTGATGGCTCTTAGAAATGCCAAGAATCACAATAATTTGAGCACATTATTGCTGCCTCTGATTTCTTTCCATCATGCTTTTCCGTGGCTGGTAATTTCCCCCCCAGCCCTGGGCTCCTGTCCTTTCTCTGCCACTGACTCCTTGTGTGACCTTGGCTAAGTCACTTGCTTCTCTGTGCCCCAGTTTCCTCCCCAGTAAAATCAGACCTGTCAGCTCTCAGAGTCACCTACCGTTCCGCTCTGCATATTTTGAGGTCAAAATATGGACTGGACTCATGATAAATGGTGACAAAAATCCCACAAATGGGAGATTTTAAAAGTTTTTATAAAAATCTCAATGATAAGAAAAAATTCCAGAGAAAGGAGGAAACTGCGAATGTTTTGGAGAAGAAAATGAGGGGAGGTGAGGGTGGGTGGAGAGCATGGTCTCCTCACCTTGTAGAATTGTCACAGGCCGATGAAGCAGCTATGATCTGTGTGGGGCACATTCACCCTGAGGCTGGGGTAAGGTAGGTTACAGGCAGGCAGATGCCAGTTCTACATGGGGAAGAGCTTAGCAGTCAGGGCTACTCCACAACAAAGCTAAAGCCCTTCAGGTAGTGAGGTACCCGCCAACAGAGGTGTGCAAGCAGGGAGTGATGCTGCCTGAGATGCTGCAAGGAGATTGAACAAGATATCTCTATATGCCTTTTATCAGAACCAAGAATCCTCTTAGTCACTGAGAGTGTTTTCAGTGTGCAGGGTAGAATGAAACCACCTGGAAATACTTGGCAACTAACTGCCAGGCGAAAGGCTGCCTGCTGTGCCAGCCCAGGAGGAATGTCCATGAGGGATCCATGGCAGACCACAACCTTGGCGAGACCAGATTTTTCCATCACAACTGACAGGCGTTGCTAGGATGGAGGAACGTCGGTGGCTGTTCACAAGAAACTAGGCCACTGGGATTTATAGGAGTACAGAGGGGCGGTCCTGGGTCTGTATCACCCACAGGTGGGGGCCTGGCCAAGTGGGTGAGCTGTATGTACTCAGCAGGGCCCCTGCCTGACCATTGGCCAGTCAGTCAGCAAGTATTTTATTGAGCAACTATTATGTGCTGGGCACTGTGCCAGGGCTGAGGCTACCACAGTGAATGAGATGAGCTGGGCCTTGCTTTTAGAGTCTGGCAAGCAGACACAGAAGTACAATAATAATGGATAACCCTTACCTGGCAGAAAGTGTCTACTTTCTGCCAGGCCCTATTCTAAATGCTTGCATTAGTCGGGATAGGACAGTTTTGCTGTAGAAACAAATGCCACCCAAATCTTGGTGGCTTAAAATAACAAGGCCTTATTTCTGGTTCATGGCATGTGTGCATATGGGTTAGCAGGAGGTGCTTGGCACATCTCAGTTAGAGACCAAGGCTGAGGCAGAGACAGAACAAGGGGGCATGGCAAATGTCTTTTAAGCTCCCTCTGGAAGTGGCACATATAACTCAAATCATTGGCCAAAGCTAGTCACATGGCCACCATATGACTTCAAAGGCAGTGGGGACATCAGTTCTACGGGCGGATGAGGATAGCTGTGAACAGTGGCTACCACAGGGCTTCATGTCCATTATCAATGTAAACTTCACACAACCCTCTGGAGTAGGGAATTGTGTTATCCCCATTTTACTGGTGAGGAAACTGAGGTGCAGGGAGGTTGTGGGATGGTCCTAAGGACACAGAGCTGGTGGATGGCAGAGCTGAGAGGTGAGCCAGGCAGTCTGGCCCCAAGTCCATACCCTTAACTGCTGTGCCTCACTGCCACTCACTGAAACAGGAAGGATACAGAAGTATGATTGCAGTGGCAAAGGGAGGGGGGCAAGGGGCTGAGGGAGCTGAGTGCAGGGGACCCCGGCACAGTGTGGGGTCCACGACGGCCTCTGAGGAAGTAACCTTTGTCCTGAGCCGGGAAGAAGGAATATGTGAGAAGAGGGCAGCTTCCGGGTGAAGGAGGAGCACTGTGGTGGCCCAGGGAGGGAGGCAACATGGCGTATGAAGCCCGGGCTTAGTGGGTGAGGTGCCTGGGTCGGTAATGAATAAGCCAGCCATTGTCAGGGGGTCACCTGCAGGGATTCAGGGGAGCTGGAGCTGGGGCCTGCAAGAGCCCAAAGATGACTCCATCCTGGGGGCATCGCAGAGAGCTTCCTGGAGGAGGTGAGATCTAAACTGGATAAGGGGTAGGGGAGGACAACCATGTTCCTCTCAGAGGGAGCACCATGAACACAAGCCAGGAGGAAGGAGGAAGTGTGGGGGGCCCAGGGAATTGCGGTTGGCTCACCTGCCTGGGGCAGAGGGTGGGAAGTGTGAGGGTGGGCAGAAAAGGACTGTACTAGAGAGGATCTCTGCTTCTCGTCATCCTGGTTGCTGGGAGTTTGGGCTGAAAGTGTAGAGGCAGGACTGTTTGATCTGAGATATTGATTGAGAACCTACTGTCTGCCAGGCCTTGGACCTGGGGTTTGGGCTGGCTAGAGTGGGCTGCTTCTGGCTGCCACATGCCCTGTTCTTATCTGACTTCCTTGTGGGTAACTGTCTGGCTTCAGGGTGCCAGGAACGCCACTCATGCCCTTCCGTCTGTCTGCGAGGGCCCCCAGACCCTTTTTCTTGGCAGGCAAACTAGGAGCACACCCAATATTCCATCCCAGAATGAAGCCTGGGTCCTTGAGAGGGCAGCTGTCCACTCTTTGTCTCTGGATGGGACTGGACTGCTCCTGTGTGCTGTGGGCTTGCCCATCTCCAGGCCTTCTCCTAGGCTGGCCCCCTCCCAGCAGAGCTTCCAGGCCCATCCTGATCCTCAGGTGAGGTGGGCCTTCACAAGTGGGACACTCTCTACTCTATTGGGAAAAGGAGACAAATCACCTCAATTTAAGTCAACTCATCTCAACTGCACACCTAACATGTGCTCTGGCCCTTGCTAAGTGCTCAGAAGTGACTGCTTATGGCCACCTTTACCCTATTCTCCACCCAAAGCTTGCATGTATAGTGTGTCCAGAGAAAATCCAGTCCTTGTTAGTTGTGTAAGAGTCCCACGTGGGAAAACCCAGAGCCACTCTTATCCCCATTCTCCCTCCAGCATCCTAAAAAGTCAGTCACGAAGTACCATCCACGCTGCCTCCGAAGCAGGTCTCAGATCCATGGCTGCATCTCCACTCCCTCTCCTGAGTACAGGTTGTCAGCATCTCTCTTACAGAGTCTGCTGGAGCCTCTTAACTGGTCTCCCACACACATCACAGCCAGGGAGACCCTTCTAACATGGAGATTTAATCATGGCTTAATTATAAACATCTCCTACTTAAAATCCTCTGATACTTCCCCATTGACCTCGGGATAAAGTCCAAACTCATAAGCTTGGTATGTGGGGCTCTGTCTCTTCTTATCCTTCCAGACTCAACTCCAGCCACTCCTCCTCCAGGAAGCCTTCTCAGATCACTCAATATTCGGAGATTTCTGCCACTTCCTCCATCCTTCCTGTCTGTCCTACCAGTTCTGTTCCAAATCGATTTAGCTGTTTACCCCTCCCTCACCTTTCACTCTTCTTCAACAGATGTTTTTGGCCAGGTCAATAGATACTAGAGACTGGTGAATGGCTGACTGACTGAATGAATAGATGCATCTCACTCCTTACAGGGCAGGAATCCAAGAGACATTCCTAGAGGAAGTGAAGACCGAACCAAGACTTAAAAAGGAACTGATATTTTCTAGGAGAGAGGAGTTTCACGTAGAAGGGACAGCATGTTCAAAGTTGGAAAGCGTAGGAAATGTTGCACTTTTAGAAGTGCGTGTGGCTGGAATGTGGAGTGGGAGGGGAGAGGTGGCAAGAGATGAGACTGGGAGAGGGCAGGTGAGCCAGGGCCTGAACACTGAGAGTCTTGCAGCCCTTCATCTTGACTCCAGAGTGGAAGGTTTTAAGCAGGGACATGACCTAAGCTCGTTTGGGCTTTAGATAGATGACTCTATCTAATATGATAATTCAGGTGAGTGGACAAATTCTAGACATTTAGGAGGTGGCCCTGGCAAGTCTTGGTGACTGATAAGATGGTTGGGGGTGGGGGTGGGGGTGGAGTGAGTGGGAGGAGGGGAGAATGAATATCATCACTGTGGAAATCCTAGTCCCCTGGGCTCTGACCACAGTCCACAGTGGGTCCCATTGAGTGCCTGGACACCATCCGTGGGGCTCTCAGCTTGGAGCTCCATGTGTCACTTACACTGAACACAGACCCCATGTCTTCTCTGGCCCTTGAGGCTGGTCCAAGGGCTTCACATGCCAGAGAGCCTTGGCTGAGATTCACAAAGCTTGAGGGGTGAAGTCTGAGACTCAGTGTATACATCCCTGTCTGCCCCTAGACACATCAGGGTGGGGCGGGGTGGGAGGGGGAAGGTGTCAGGGGCCAACATCTTGGTGATTAGAGGGACATGCAGGCTGAGCTCTCCTGAGGGCTTGGAGAGTAGGGAATGGATCAGAGTCAGATTTCACAAGCACTAATTGAGCTATTGCTATGTGCCAAGCACTGTGCTAGTTGCTGGGGGAGCCATAGCAACACAAGTCTCTGCCCTTGGAGAGCACCCAGTTTCGATAAGTAAAATGTGCTGAAGGGTGTCTGCCTTTTAGCTGCCCCAGCTGTAGGTGAAGGAGGCCGAAGGAGGCCAGAGGATAGAAGAGAGGGCTCAGGACAGTCAGGGGGGCAGCTGTGGCTCTGGCTCTGCACAGGACTCTGCTTTTAGACTGGGGATCTGTGACTGGCTTTGGACTGCTGGGGGGGTTAGCTGCAGGTCGTCATCCCCCTTCTTCATGGCAGCCCTATCAAAGACCTCCTTCCCCTTTGCTCCACTAGCCAGCCCACGGCATCTGCCCTCTGGAGCTCACCCTGTATGGACTAGGGCTTTATTCCCAAACCTCCAGGCTCCCTGCCACTCCTGATAGCTCTGCCACTGGATCTTAATCTATTTCTGTCATTCATATACTCATTCATTTATTCATTCAACACATTCTGAGTGTCCTTCCTTATGGGCATTTGAGCAGGCACTAGAGTAGGGTAGTAAACAAAGTTCTCAAGACCTGGTGTTCATGGAACTCACAGTCCAAGAAGGAGCAGACAATAAGTAGCCAATTCTCATAGAGTGTGAGTGGAGCTGAGAAAGCCCGGAGGAGGGGCTCCCAGCAGAGTGGGAGATCCAGAGCCAGCTTCTCAGGGCGAGGCCGAGGATGGGCAAGCGTTACCTAAGTGACTTGTGAGGATGAGGGCTTCAGGCAGAGGGAACAGCTTTCCAAAAGGCATAGCGGTGAGAGAGCATGGACTTTCAAGGCACTGAAGGGAGTGTGTGACTGGGGCGTTATCAACTCTTCCTGGCTCTCCCCTTCTGAGCACATGGGAGGGTGGCCCTCCTGGCTCGTTTGTGGGTGAATGGTTCCACGTGACCAGTTCCAGCCGATGCATGTGAGAAGTGGCATGTGCCATTTCCACATTTCCAGACCTAAGTAATTTTTTCTTTTTTCTTTTTCTTTTCTTTTTTTTTTTTCGAGACAGAGTCTTCCTCTGTCGCCCAGGCCGGAGTGCAGTGGTGCAATCTCTGCTCACTGCAACCTCCACCTCCCCGGGTTCAAGTGATCCTGCCTCAGCCTCCCGAGTAGCTGGGATTACAGGCGTGCACCATCATGCCCCACTAATTTTTTGTATTTTTAGTAGAGAAGGGGTTTTATCATGTTGACCAGGCTGGTCTCCAACTCCTGATCTCAGGTGATCCACCTGCCTCGGCCTCCCAAAGTGCCGGGATTACAGGCATGAGCCACCAAGCCCAGCCCAGGCTTAAGTGTTAATTGCCAATGCACCACCTTCCAAGGCAGCCTTTCCTTCCATCACAGTGACTGACAACTTTCAAGATGGCAGTTGCTCCAGTAGCCCAGGACCTGAGTGAGCCCCCATCAACTCTTAATGGCCATGTGTGAGTGAGAAACATTGATAGTTTAACTTTGAGAATTCTGAGATATTAGTTACCACGGCATATCCTATCCCATCTGGACTAGCACAGTGATGATGTGGGGAGTATTTCCTATGAAGAATTAATGTAACGGTTTTGAGCAGAGAGAGCCCAGGTAAGTTCTGTGTTTTAGGAAGATGGCCCTGGCTGCTGGGTGGAGGATGAATGGGCAGGTGGGGGGTCTGGACATCATTCCAGTACATGCTGCGGTGAGGCAGGCATGAAATGGTGAGGCCTGAACGAGGGCATTGTAGTGAGGCTGGAAAGATGTGAATGGATTTGAGGAATCGGTGGAAGAAAGGATGGATGGGGCTTTAGATTTTGGAAACTGGATGTGAGAGGAGAGGGCAAGAGAGGTGTCAGGGAGGAGTCCCTGGGTTCAGGGTGGGGCACCTGGTGGATGGTGGTGCTTTCTCTGAGATAGGGAGCACTGAGGAGGAGCCACTTCAGGGTGATGAAGAGTCCTGATTGGGACGTGCTGGGTCTCAGAGCCTTGAGACATCAAGGAGAGGGTGTCTGGCAGGCATTTGGATACATGGGTCTCCACTCAAGGCGGAAGCGCAGGCCGAACAGAGTCAGGATCGGAAGCACAGAGCAGTGGCCTGGGGCAGTTCCTGGGGCAGAGGAGGAAAGGAAGTGGAGAGGTCCTGACTACCAGCAAGGGGAGCCCATCCCCCTTGTGACCCCACCCAGCACTCTGGGGCAGAGACCCTTGCCCAGAGGCACTCCTTGTCCAAGGGTAGGAGCCTCCCTTCTGTCCTGAGGGCTCTCCCAGTCCCTGGAGGCTCAGGCACCTGTGTGGGTCTCCAGGCTTCCCAGGCCCCACTACCACCTCTTCAGCAAATCAACACTTCCAAGCGTGGAGACAAGTTCAGCATTTGGGATTCCCTATACCAAGGGGAGAGGCTTGGAGAGTCTAAAGTTTCTAGAGCTCTCTGCTGTTAAGAGTCTGTGCTTCCAGACGTCTCAGGCAGTTGGATGCACGGATCTGCAGATCCTGTTATTCTAAGACCAAGTGACTAGGGCCCACAGTAACCCCTTCCACCTCAGGATGCTGGTGGTGGAACAGATAGAGTCCCCGGTTTTGGCCTTGCCCGTGCTGGCTATGCCGTGTGTTAATGTGGCCCAGCGTGTGAGTTCATCTCAGCAGGTTCCCTGAGCGCGGCAGATGCCGCCTTTGCCGACTCACCACCAAAGGTGCCTTGAGTCCTCTGGGGAGTGTGGGTGCTTAGAGGGCCAGGTCTCATGTGGGGACGGTATGAGCTTCAGCCCTTTCCAAGTCTTGGAGTCCGGAAGCCACCAGGAACCAAAAGGATCTTTGCAAATCATTGTTTTGCAGCAGTTTCTTCTCCAGGGCAGCCAAAATCTGGCTGGGGTAAGAGCCTAGAATTTGACCTGAGGCTGCTTCCCAGGAGGAGGTGGCCGGAGCTTCCAAGGGAGAGGGCAGGGGGGTGGGCCAGGACTCTGGCCCTGGGCCCCTGCTGTCTTCTGACTCTCCATCTGGTGCTCGGGCCATATTAATGATTTAAGGAACAATTATTGTAAGACCGAATTTCTTTTTGCAAACGCAAATGAAATGTGTTCCATCCTGCAATGAATTCCAGATGGTGGGAGCTCTCAGTGAGGGAGCTGGCTCCTCCGAGGATGGCCTTCCCCTACAGAGTGACAGCAGGCCGAGGACGAGCCAGCATCTCCTCAGCACTCCAGGCTTTACAAGTTACCCGACCCCTTTCCAGTTTGTTTAAAACCTTTTTCTTTTTCTGTGCAGATGTTCCTCTGGGTGAGCAATCTTTATAGTTTTGAAAAGATTATATCAGTTTTCCATGATATTGTGTTACTGTATTTCTTGGGCTCCCCCTTTTTTTAATAGCACTAGAAAGGCCAATTCCTTAATCAGACATTACTAATGGAATGCAGAGAGGGAGGGTGGAAAGCCAGGCGAACTGGGAGAACTAAGCCCTGGGCTCAGAGTAATGCAGAAGGAAAACAGACTTCCAACGGACTCCTTCCAGAGGCAGCTGTTATGGTCAGAAAGCTGAGAAAACTGCTTGGGCCGTGCATTTTTCGATGATTATCAAAGGTGTTAAAATAGAGACAGAGGCACATGTTTGGCTCGAGGGTGGGAGAGGCTGCCACACAGTTTTGCAGGCTTCAGCTGTCTTGAATCAAAACTATCACTTTGATACTGGAAAATTATTATGAAAATGTTAGTTTTGGGCCTTGGAGCACAAAGCAAAGATTGCTTGGAAGGCTGGGGGCTCTTCATTTAGCATTTGTGTCAGGTCCAAAAATAACCTCTCTCAACTGTTGGATTTCACCTTTATCCAGGCTTAGAGGCAGCTCCATTCTGCCCCGCAGCTCTTCGATTAAGGGACCGACAGAGACATGAGTGAGCTGGAGGCCACCTAGTTTTCAAGCTCGGCAAAGTTGGAGGATGGGGAGGTCAGGGAAAGCTTCCTGGGCAAGAGGGATTAACTCCTGATATTGGGAGAGAAAAACAATTTATACAGGGAAAGAAGGCAAGAAAGGGGAACTGACATTTTTTGAAGGCCTGTTCCATAGCAGGAATCAGCCTCCTGTTTTAAGGTGGGGGTTCGAGTAGTCACACCACATCCAGGACACCTGGTGAAAGAGTTGAGGTTCCGTTGCACTTAACCCACTCCACTGGCCATGAGGGAGAGAAGGGGAGAGAGGAAAGGAAAGCTGGAAGCCCGTGGCCCTGCGGGGTGGGGAATAAATGATCCGAGGTCATCTCAGTTGCAATATGAGAGGGTGGGGTTGGGGCAGCCGTGACCCTAGGGAAGGCTGGCCGAGGAGGACTTTATTCTATTAGATACTGGGAGATTTAAACAACCACTGTTCAAATTTCAAATTGGTTTTTTTATGCTTCAAGTTTTTTTGCTGGGCTCTCTTCCCAGAAAGGAAAGGGAAGAGATCTAGACATTTACTGACCTCCTACCACATGTGAGGCTCCGGGAACCGGGGACCAGGAAGACATAAACCCTGCCCTCACAAGCTTCACAGTCCACCTGGAGAGGCAAGAGAAGGATGGGGCTGCAGGAGCCCAGAGGAGAGGCTCCTCCCTGAGATCGGAGGAGACTTCCTGGAGGAGGACTAGGGTACCTGCTCTGAGCTCTGGAGGACAGGGAAGAGATGGCTGAGCTAAGCCTTCAAGGATGGCAGGCATTTGCCCAGGAAAGAGGCTGGAGCAGTCTGTGAGACAGAGGGACTATGGGCAGGCCAGTGCGGCCACAGCTCCAGGGGAACAGTGAGAGTGGTCCTGAGTATCACATGGCAGTGGAAGGAGTTAAATCTGGGCTGAACCAACAGAGAGATCATGAGAGAAAGAAGGGGATCACAGCCCTTGCAGACTCCAAGCTGCTTGGACTATATTGAGGTGGGGTTTGTGACTCTGGCTGGGAGAGACACTCTGCAAGGGAGATGGAGAGGGACTGGGGTTCCGTCCTGGCAATGACGATGGCAGGAGCTGGGCAGCTGTGCCAGGAGTTGCTCAGACACAGGGCAGAGCTACTGCCTTTAAGTATTGGTAGGCATGTTCTGGGGCAGAGAAAACAGGTACGCTGTGGGGATGTAGCTCCCAGGAAGGGCTGGGACAAATTAAGGGCAATCATCAGCACTGTGAGCTTTGCACAGTGGTCAGTTGTCTACATGGTGTTCTCAGATGTGCCACCGTGCTTCGTTCCCCTTCACTCCCAGACCTTCTTTCCACTGGACAAATTTTGGCACCTTGAGCCTCGTACCTGTGCTCCTTTGGTGTGACTTTTGCCTCCTTTCTCTGCCCTAACATTTTATCTCCATCCTTGAGGCTGTTCATTCCCACAGGGCCAGGTTCTTGATAGAGTGCTCATTCTGGGGAATAATCTCATCTAACTTCAGGTCAGAGGACAAGCTACTGGGCCATGTTCCACTGATGTGTTGCATGATGCCTGGTAAGCCCATTCACCTCCCTGGGCCTGGGCTTCCTGAACTGGGTCAGGGAATTGAAGACCTCTGTATCTGCCTCCCTCCCCAAGGGCTGGAAGGGCCAAATGAGGTCAAGGATGGCAGTAAGCACATTCTGATTGTTAAGGAGGCAGCCCTGGGACTGGGAAGGACCTGCTTATATACTAGATCCTGGCACTTACTGGCCAGATGACTTTGGGCCAATTCCTTCATCTCTGAAGCCTCAGATCCTAGAAGTTCTTGCAGATGGGAGGTGAAGTTTTATCCATGATCACAAACTCCCACTGGCATAATCTTTTAAAGCTGTAAGTAGAGTTGTACGAAGCCCCTGTTGAACACAGTTGGGGGCTTCCTGCCTGCTCTGTTCTCTGTCTACTTTGCCAGCTTCACCTCATGCTACTTCCCCCTCTCTTTTTGCTCTCTGCCCATGAGAAGGAGATGAGTCAAGTGCTTCCCTGCCTCAGGGCCTTGGCACATGCTGTTCTTGTGCATGACACACTCTGCCCCAAACCCTTCTTCTGGCTTACTCTTACTCAGCATTCAGGTCTCAGCTCAGATATCATTTCTCCAGACAGGCTTCCTTCACCCCTACCCCTTTGAATGCTCTGTAGCATGCACACATGCACCTAGCATGTCCTTTTCAAAGCATTAACCCAATTTGTAAATTGTATATTTGTTTGTGTGTAGACTTGTTTTGCCTGTCTATCATGTCTGTTTTGTTCACCATCATATTCCCAGTACCTCATCCAATACTTGACCCACAATGAATGCCCAATAAGTATTTGTTTAATTGAATGAAGGAACTATCCAGTAAACTAGGAGGTCATTATTAATGTGCCCATGTTGCTTATAGGAAAACTGAGGCTCAGACAGAAAAGGTAATTGCCCAATTTCTCCTCACAAGGGAGTATAGTTTAGACATTAATAAATCCTCAGAGCCTGTATTGGGAATTAGGAGGAAGGGGAAAATAATCAGAGGTGGGAACTGTCCCAGCAGCAATCTATGGCCTTACCCTACAGCCCCTCAGTGTCTCCAAGTTCAGGCCAGTTGGGGGCTGAACTTGGTGGGCAGCCTGAAGCTATCGTGCGTCCAGGCCGCCTACAGGTGCAACCCACATGAGCAGGTGAAAATGCAGAGGTGCTGACAGCTCTCAACCCTGCACGCCCTGGGGCATCTGGTTTGGATTTGGTCAGGGTTTTTACTAGTTGTTTTAGAGACACTTAAGCCTGCACATTACACCTTGAGCCCACCACATGGCTCCTCCAGGGCCTCACTGAGCCACCCAGGGGCAGGGAAAGGGCATCCCACAGACCTGCCATAGGGAGAATAAGAGGTCCCTGCCAAGACCCCATTGGGAACCAGGCAATGAGCAATCTCCCCTGGCCTCTGACAGTGCCATAGACCATGCTACCAAGAGATGTAGGAGAGGCACGCAGAGTCCAGCCTCTGAGCCTCCTGGGCCTTTGCCATTTTATCCCAGCGTCCAGCATCTTCTCTTTTCCATTGTCCCATTGTGACCTGGACACCCTGACGTATTTACTTTCTGTGAACATGCCCCATGCTCTGGCCTCTCTGCTTTTGCTTATGTGCTTGTCCTTGTCAGAAGTGCCCTTGCTGATGCGGGACAAAGTACTGCGAACCCTCTTCCATTAGTCTGGCATTCTACAGAGGCCAGAACCAGGACAGGATGAGGATATTCCAGATTGTATTGATTCCAGAGCCATATAAGCAGTCTTCCCATCAGAGCCACCCAGCAATGAGCTGACTTGTCTCAGCTTTGTCCAGGACCTGGGAAATCCTCCATTAGCAGGAAACGAGACCAGTCAAGAAGGTCTGCCTCCAGTTTGGCCTTTCCTTATCCTATCAGGGGTCCCTGTGTCCTTGGTCTTTATTTCGGAGCCACTTCATGCCTCAGCAGAGCTCCTGCCATTTGCCCCTTTCTCATCCTTCGGGCCAGTTTCCTCTCGCTGGTATGTGTCCTGGTTGCCACCCCCTCACTGACATTGTACTGGAAATGTCTTTTCTTCTCCAAACTTGCCTCCCGTGCAGGGTGGGCTGGCCTGGTTGAAATAAAGCATGACGTACAGAGACCTCCAGCAACCTGTGCTGGCTCTGTGTAGCCCTAAGGTTCTGGGTTTCCAAGGTCCCGTGATTCTAGATTTTACTTATCTAATATCTTGTGATTCTAGATTCCAGGACCTGAAAAATTCATGATGCTACAGTTTGTAGGATTCTCTGACTCTAGACTGTCCTGTACTTTCAAGTCTCCAGGGTCCCACATAGGGCCTGACACCTTGTAAATGTTTAATGTTTGCCTGTATGATTCTCTGAGTTGATTACTTGGAAATTCTACGCATTTCCAAATTTCCAGGACTCCCCAGATCTGTAGTTGGTCATTTCATTTAGCATCAACAGGGACCAATCTTTCCATTTTCCAATTGATTGTTGCAGAGACAGCTTAAAAGAGGTTACAATGAGTCAGTGTTTGGGGAGTGGGAATTTGGAGTTGGGGGGGTGGCATGTAACATAGATGGCCCAGTTTTTTAGCTCATTTCCTCTATTTAGAGGTGGGTGGTTGGGTGGAGTCTTGGGGGTCAGCTTTTATTGGGGCAGGCTTGTATACTTGATAGGGTATGGAGGGAGTCAGGATTGATGGCCCAGCATGCATCTCAGGACAGCCTGTGTCTCAGGCAGGGAGGAGCTCTAACAAGTCACAGGCTGGAGCCAGCACAGGTCTTGGGAGATCCTCTAGGTAGTTGCTGTGCCCCCTTGGGACTCTTGTGAAGGAGATGGGAGCTTTCTGGGTCTTTAGCCCCTCACAGGTTGGACTCTCTGGGCATTTGAGGACAAAAGGACTTTCAGTGCTTCCCCTGAAGAAAAAACACGAGTGGCTTCTAGGCTATCCTTCTACTCCTTTTTAAAATAAATTTTCAACTTTTGTGGGTACATAGTAGGTATTTATATATTTATGGGGCATATGAGATATTTTGATATGTCTTTTATTCTTATGCACCAAAGGTGAGCCTACCCCAGACAGATCAAATTTCCTCTTAAGGTGGAAGGTGGGTCTGGTTTGGTTTGAGGCTGAACACCTGAGCGTGAAGGCAGTGCATGGGGAGGACCCATCTCTGGGAAAGAATCCCCTGGGGGCAAGAGTGAGGGGGGTCAGCATCCTGAGGACAACAGAGGGACCCTGCCCAATACTCATGGCAGAAGCCCTTAGGAGGAAGATTCTAGCCTGAAAGTAAGAGTGATCCAATCTTGGATACATACAGGGAATATGCAAGAGACTGCAGAAGCCCCAGGCCCAGGTGCTTTTGAAGGGAAATTGGTGACATGACTTCAATGGTCCCTTTCTGTTGAGGGAGTCTACAAATTCAGGGTGCCAGCGCAAAAAGGGGCCCTTAAGATAAATCTCTCATTGTGCATATGCAGAAACTGAGGACCCAATGAGGAAATAACTCACTGTGTGAGTAGATTGCAGAGCTGAGACAAGATGCCCCAGACTTTGTTTCAGATCAATGTTAGCATTTTTATTATTAGCAGAGTATTGAGTTTACATTTGTAACCCTCTTGGCCTCTGGAATAGAGTGGTTCTTAGTTAAAAACCTTTAGAGCAAGAAGGACTTGGTTGGGTTCAAGGACCAGCTAGACCACTTGGAACGATGGACTTGGGCAAGTTAATTGTTCCAAGCTTCAGTTTTTCATGTATAAAATGATAATAATAAGACTGCCATGGAAGCTTTCATGGCCCCCAGTCCTCAAACTATTTGTGGTGAAAGACTTTTTTATTTTCAGTCTTTTGCTGACCACTGATATTTCCGTAAAATACAATCAATGTTGTCATGGCAATGCCAACTATCTGTAAACATTTCTAATTGCTCTCTCTCAACTTCTGTGAACTCATCACAAACCGGTAACCAGTCAGGGGCTGGCTGGCACCAGGCCCTGGAGCACACTTGGAGTGGGCTGATCTAGGCTGTGTGTACTCAAGCACTTCTCGAGTAAGTTCAGGGCGGAGGAGTGAATCAGCATGAATCACAATATTGTCATGTATTAAGCACCTGCTCAGCGCCTGGTGGGCCACATACATTATTTCATGTAAAATCCCTTCCGCCTGCCTGGGTGGCATGATGACTGCATTCTGCAGGCTTCTCTCTGTTTCCGTGTTCCTTCCCCTGAGAGAAATGCCCTGGATGATGATCACATTTTATTCTCTGCTCTGCTCTAGAGTTGGCCCTGCAAGGGTTATTCAGGTTGAGAAAGTGAACATTTCCTGTTGCCTCCATGGCCCTGGTAAGCAGCTCTGGTCCCCATCTGGGGCAGAGAAAACCAGCCAGCACCTCCCCCAGCTCCTTTGTGGGGGTTCCAGACTTCAAAGGGACTCACAGGGACTTGACCCTTGGGTGATTGGGCACAGGACTCAAATCCATGCCTTGCTCTGCCACTCTGAGTGCACATGGGAAGGGAGATTTATGGTGGCAATCTGGGGGAAGGGATAGTTTATCTTCTAAATGAAAACTTGGGAAGCCTCTGCTTGGGACCCAGACCTCACAAGGATCTCATTAAAGGCCTATTAGTCAAACTAATTCCTGACATGACATCGGTTTGCATTAGACAAACATCTCTGACTTTTCAAACACCCTCTTGGGAGCCAAGACTAGATTGTGTGACATCTATTGATACATTATTGGGGAAATGGCTGACACAACATCGGGCTATCTGACGCCAGGGAGCTCGAGTGCTGGGAAATTAGGAGGGCTGGTTTTATATGGTTGGCAGGTGTTCATCTCATAAAACCTGTGGGACCCCATAGCTCTGCAAGGTGATTGCTCTCGTTGGTTTATCGATTAAGTAAATGATTAAAGATCTAATAGGGCCCTCGGTAGTGTCTGTGCTGGGCCATGAGGCTGCTCATCTCTGTGTCTCTATGAGCACACCAGGGCCCAGCACTCAGCAGGTGTTCAGGAGTGAGGCAGAAGGAAGGATCAGTGACAGCAGCCTGGCCTGCAAGCGAATAAACAGTCCCTGCCCTCAAGGAAAGCAGAGGCCAGAGGGTGGGTGCACACATAAACAGTGATGCAGTGAACAAGTGCCATGGCTGGGTGAGCAAGGAGCGGTGAGAGCTTGGGAGGGAGGAAGACTGTGCTTTCAAAGGCAGGGCTGCGCTCCACACAGTGCTGAGTGTAAAATATGTCTGCCTCAGGCATCAGGGATTTGGACATTGCTCCAGGCGTGGCTATGAGCTGCACTGAGCCTTTTATGTTCATTCTTTAATAACAGGCATCTGTTCATGAGGCCATAGGTGAGAGTCAGGGCTCAGTTGTGACAAGGATCTGGACTCAGTCTATAAAAGAATTAAACTTCAGACTGAAACTGGGCCCAGTCTGAGTTGGGCCTAGGGCTTAGTTCAGGGCTCAGTTTGCTGTCCAAAATCAGGGCTGAGTCTAGAAGAGAATCGGACTCGGACTATGATCAGGGTCAGGGCTCAGTCAACAGCCAGGGTCAGGGCAACATCTGTTTTCCCTTCTGAAAGCTCTCAGAGGCAGGGGACCAGTTCTTAACCATCTTTCTTCTCATAATCTTGTTGCACAGTGAGTGTTCAGTTAGTGTTTATCAAATCGAACTCTGCCGACTTAAATCAAGAATGATCACAGACTTCGCACAATTCTGCTGTGGCAAAGGAAACAGACAAAGGGCATTTTCTGAGTGACCCCACACAGAGAGCTGCCCCACAGCCTTTATAGGTAGTGAGCTTCTCATTACTAGAGGTGTGCAAGCACTGTCCTCACAGTCCCACATCAAGCTGAGGGAAGAGGGGATTCCTACTCTGGCAGGGGATGAGCCACAGTTCAGAGGTTTGGATTATGGGCATTTAGCTCCTGGACACTGACCAGCATGATAAAGAATCTGCGCAGATAGCAGCTTCCCAAGGCACAGCCAGGGACCAGTCCCAAGCTTCTGATTGCTCCCCATGTCTTCAGCTCGCCGGGGTCAGCCTCATTCATCAGCAATGCTGCCTGTCATTGGTGCTCTGACAGGCCTCTGGCCACCAGGGTCTGCTGCTTGGTGAAAGCCCTTATTAAAATTAATCTCATTTTTACGACGGCACTATCTATCTTCTGTCCAGTGGGAACTCGGGGTCACTGTATTTTTGTTTACTGTCAGGCTACTTCCTTTGGCCATAAATTGCTTCCCTTCCCAGCTGAGCTGGAGCCCTAGAGAACAACCCAATTCTGGTGTGTTTGTGTGTCTGTGTGTGTGTGTGTGTGTGTGTGTGTGTGTGTGTGTGTGTGTTTTCAAAGCCAACCCTGCTTGGCTGCCTCATTTCTCTGGCCTCTGCTGCTACCCTCCATCTGCTCTCTATTTGAGGAATCTGAAGATTTCAGCTTTTCCTGTCTCTTGGCGGCAGCCACCTACACTCTATCCTCTGTTCCCTCTTCTTGTTTAGAGAGTCTGTTCAAGGCTCTGCATGTTCAAGAGATAGTGCTGAGCATTTGTCACAACACAGACTTGCACTAAGGGAACCAGGGAGCACAGTCCAGCAGGAGAGACCAACGGGATGCACAGGGAGTGCTGCTGTTCCTTCTGCCTACAGTGCTTTCTCCCACTACCTTCCTCCAGGGAACTCCTACTCATCCTTCAAAACCCGGCTTCAACTGTGCGCCTGCTCTGGAGGCTTTTTTTTTTTTTTTTTTTTTTTTTGAGACAGTCTCACTCTTTCGCCAGGCTGGAGTTCTGTGGCCCAATCTCTGCTCACTGCAACCTCCAACTCCCTGGTTCAAGCGATTCTCCTGCCTCAGCCTCCGAGTAGCTGGGATTACAGGCAAGTGACACTATGCCCAGCTAATTTTTGTATTTTTAGTAGAGATGGGATTTCACTATGTTGGCCAGGCTGGTCTTGATCTTCTGACCTCATGGTCTGCCCACCTTGGCCTCCCAGTGCTGGGATTACCAGGTGAGCCACTGCGCCCCGCCCTCTGGAGGTCTTTTTGGATCCTCTTCCAAGGCTGAGTTACTTGTTATGTCCTCTGTGATTGTACAGAGCACATCCCGTACTATTTTGTAATTATTGGTTTAATGTATTGCTCCTTGAAAGTGGCGAACATTTCTGTATTTGTTTCCTAGAAATGCCATAACAAAATACCACAAATTGGGTGGCTTAAAACAACAGAAATTTATTCTGTCACAGTTCTGGAGTCTAGACGTCTGAGATTAACATGTCGGCAGGGCCGTGCTCCCTCTCAAGCTTCTCGGGGAGAAGCCTCTTTCAGCTTCTGGTGGCCCCAGGCATTCCTTGGATTTTGGCAGCACCTCTGCCTCTGTGCGTTTGTATCTCTTCTTATACTGACACCACCCTACTCCACTATGGCCTCATTTAATGTTACTAATTATATCTGCAATGACTCTATTTCTAAACAAGGTCACATTTTGAGGTACTTGGGGTTAGGACTTCAACTTGTCTTTTTGAGGCACACAGTTCAGCCCATCACAATCTCTCATTCATGATTATATTCCCAACATCTGGCACAACCCTTGGCTTGGAGCAGGTGCTCAGATCACATCGAACAAACGAACACTTTCCTAAATGATTAAACAATTATATAAAATACAATAGCAAGATATGTAAGCCCCAGTGAAAGACAGAAGTGAGTGTTCCATGCACCCAGTGGGAGGGGGGCTCATTCCACCTGGGGCTTCTGGGATGGCACTTCCACGAGGCTTTGAGGAATAAGTAGAGGTTCAACTCATGCAAAAGTTGAGACAAGGCACAAAAGGACCAAAATCATGGACACAAAGTGAGGACTATTCTCATTGACCTGAGGACCAGCTGAAGCTTGGACAGTAGACTTTATTTTGGGCCACACAGCTAGGAAGTGGCAGAAGTAGCACTGAGACCCGTGACAATCTGTCACTTTCTCTGTTATTATGTTTCTCTCTTGTGTTAAAAACAAGTTCCCTCTGTGGCCCCTGAAAGACCTGTGGCTCTTTTCTTGAAAGATCTTACTTGTCTTAAATAGGCAAGTCTCTGAAGCTTCTCTCCGAGACTTTTATAATTTATGTTGTTATTGTGGGTCTGTGGACAGATGTTAATTTTCACTTTGCAAGCCCATTTTTCAGATTGGCTTGTGGAAGCAGAGCGTGCTTTGGTGGCTGGTCCTTTCAGATCACCATGGAGTGTAGGGAACTGGACAGGCCATAGAGAGTGGCTACTTACCTGCTCCCACAAAATACCTCACATCCAATAATTCCTCTGGCATTTCTTTTAAAGCATATATTCAGGGGAATATGGCAGGCATGGAAAGCCCGCCCATTAACCTCTTTCTCTGCATCAAAGTCTTATGAGTGATTAACCCCACCAATGAAGCCTATCCATGGGGTTGTGTGAAGGGAAGAACTGGGTCCCAAATGACAAGCAGCCAAGAGTGGGGGTGTACAACCTGAACCCCAAAGACACATCCTGGGTTTGAATCTTGGTTTGGCCATTCATTAGCCAAAGGCTGTGCCTCAGTTTACCATCTGTCAGTGAGAATTATGGTGGCATCCACCCCATGAGGATTTTTGTGAGAATAAAATGAGTTGGTAGATGTGAAGTGCTCAGAGCAGCACCTGTTACAGAGCAGGCACAGACAGAAGTGGTAGCTGTTGCTATTGTTATTGTAATGAATAGAGCTTCATGTATGGAGTGCGGAGAGAACTGGGTTGGAAGGTTTGGGTTTCTAACATATTATCTATGATGATAGTAACTTTGGCTAAAGACGTTTAGCAAAATCCAGCATTATATCAACATCATTTTCATTGCACAAGAAGGCTGCTGCATGCTGGAAGGAGCTATTGAGAGAGAGTGGGAGGACAGTGTTTCAAGGCAGAATCTTAGTGAACGAATGCCTTGAGGCAGCAGGGTGAGGGTGCTTAGGGCTGGGAGAAAACCAGAGACTTAGGAAGCAATCATGAAACACAGACGAAACTAGAGAAAACATCAGTTTGTGCCTATTCCACATATTTATTTCAGTCTTGCTCATTTAAAAAATCTTGCTTTATATATATGTATAACTGAGATTAATCTTATCTTTTAAAATATGCTGTTATTTGAGTCCAAAAAATGGCCCATAACCAGCCTCTGGGGAAAACCAGAGGACTCTTTAAGGACAGCTTTTTCTTCATCAACCCCACATGAAGTCAGCTTCCAGATGCCTGAGTCCCCCTTTCCAGCCGCTCATATCTGTCCCCTTTCTCCATCCAGCCTGCCCTGGCCCTGCTGCCTCAGTATCCCTCACTTGGAGCCCTGCTGGAGCTCCTCCAGCTGGGGCAGGTTGGGCTTCCATCCCTTCAGCCTCTCCTCCCTGTGCCAAATGGCTCTGTTGCTTCAGGGCTGGGCTGGCAGAGATTGGCATCTGAGGCCCCCCAGGATTTGGCCCCAACCTCTGTTTCCAAACCTCTTTCCCACCACTCCTCGAACATATCCTCTCCTCTAGCCAAACTGGACAGCTTGTATGGGAAAAGAAAGGAAAAACCATTAGGCCTCATATGCAAAACCACAGTTAAAAAAAAAAAGTTCGTGTCTCTATAAAGTTTGTGATTTCTTTCTTCACCATGTTTCCTGAATGACTTCCCAGCTCTCTCCCCAGTTTATCTACTGAACCTCCCCTCCCTTGGCTCCCACCAGTTGTCCCAGCTCCACTCTGCCAGCCATTTCCCCTCGCCAGCCCTGCCAGAGAAACTTATGTCCACTCAGAGCCTCTACAACTCTTTATTTTTCCATTTCCTTTGACTTTGATCATTTTCTGCCTTTTATTATTTTTTCTATAGTTTCTCTACCAAGCTCTGAAGTCCCTGAATGAATAAGCTGTCATTCATTCACTCACTTACTCATTCACGCATTCATTCATTCATTCCACTGGACGTCCAAAATGCCAGGTCTTTTCCTACACTGTGATGACACCAAGATGAATAAGACAGGTCCTTGTTTCTAAGGATTTCAATTCTCAATTAAAAAGTTGAATAAAAAAGCCAGTGATTCTTAGCCTTTTGGGGTATTTGTCCCCTTAGAGAATTTGATAAATGTTTTCACCAGTGAAGATATGCACAAAAAATATTGTCTACTACTCGGGATGTTTCCAGATCTTCAGAAGCCATGGGTACCAGGGTTAACAGAGATGAGGAGAGCACCTAATAAGTGTCGGTTCCTGCAGAAGGTGCCTTGTTTGTATTGCCTCTAAATCATCACATCCACCAGTCTCTCCCGCTACCCACTGCAGACTGACACATTGGTGGCTCGGGATGAGCAAACATAGGCATGTATGAGGGGCACAGCTCCCCCTGGCCATGCAGCCAGTGCCCAGGTCACTTGGACCTTCTCTTCCCTGCCCTGTTGAGGGATGGGTGGAATGGAGGCTGCCAAGAAATTGCCCTCCAGATCAGAGGCTGTTTCTTTTTGCTGGGGGACTCTGTGTTCTCAGAGGCAATGGTTTCGTGTTTCTCTAAGAAACGGTTTCCTATTTTAGACTTGTCACTGGAACAGGATGGCCTTTGGCCAGCCAGCCTCACTGTGGGGAGGCAACTATGTTTTGGAGTGGAGCTGTCCCAGGCCTATCACACGAGAGCCTCCGTCTGGGCCTCCCTGACATTTATGCCTGTGCCTCTGCCTATTACAGCCCAGGAGCAATGGGAGAGGGTGAGGAGAGGTGCCCAGACTTACCCTTTCTGGAGCCATGGAAGTAAGGAGGAGTGGGGAAGAGAGGACTCAAGTCTCGAAGGAGCTGCGGCTGAGAGTTCTCACTGTAGCACAGACATGGGTCCTGGGACTTTGAATGCAGCCATCTTGGGTCATGTTTGCATGGAAGAACAATCTAGAAGTCCCTCCTTGGTCGCTCTCCCTTTTTTTTCCCCTCCAGCAGAAGATTTGTGGTATCTGGGAAAAAAAGAAAGGAAAAACTATTAGGTCTTGAATGTAAAACCACGGGACTTTTAAAAAAAGTGTTTATTTTTCTGCAAAGTTTGTTTTTCTTCCGATGGGAGCCAAGACGCTCTCTAATGCTGGTCTTTGCTGGCAGCGGGGAGCAATGGAAAAGATTGCTCTATATGGAAGAAGTCTGCTGATTGGGAAACAGCAGGCCCAAGCGGAGCGGATCTGATTCACACGTCTTCCTGCGAGTGGCTCATGCGGGGCAGGAGGAGGTCGTGTCTGAGGAGACAGGGGACCAAGAAGAATAGGAGGGCAACACATGGCCCCCTTCCCTGGGAAGAGAGCTATCGTGACTGCAGGGCAAAAATGATGCTACCAGTTCCTGAATACCTACTATGTGCCAAGCACTGAACTAGGTGCTTCACATTTATATAATTTGCTCCCCACCAGAAACCCGTGAAGTTGGTATTGTTACTATTTCACAAATGGCAACACTGAGGCTAGAGAATGTAAGTCATGAAGATTCCACAGCAGCCAAGTGGTACAGCTGGGACCTGAACCTAGGTGTAGCCAGATTCCCATACCTGTGCTTTAGAGTTCTGTTATTTAGTGTCTCTCAAGTGACACTTGAGAGACATTAAATATGCAAGTTACTCAACCTTTCTGAGCCTTGGTTTTCTGATATATAAAATGGATACTGCAGAGTTTTTCTGAGGATCCAATGAGAAGATAGGTGTAAAGCAACTTAGAGTAGGGCCTGTAAATCGTTACTGTGTAAGAGTTTGCTCTAATAAAAGTAATTATTAGTGCTACATTCTAACAGACTTGTGCTTGACAACATGGTATTGAGGGACAGATGAAGAAGGACATTGGTCTTTGTCCTCAGGTTGTGCATAGTCTGGTTGCACAGACAAGCCCCACCTATTTGGTCATTAAGTCCTTCATTCACACATGTGTACCCCCTCCCCAGCATGTGCCAGGCCTCAGGTCATTGCAGGGCTCCCAGGTGAGAGTCAGATGTAGTCGTTGCCCTGGGGGAGGACACAGCTTGTTGGGCAGAACAGATGGGTCCACAGAGGAGGACGACACAGCGTGATGCCCTGTGATGAAGGGCATGCTGTGATCTGCCCTCCCCTCTACCCTGGCTTCCACCTCGGCTCTTGCCTGGGCTGTCCCCTCTTCCTAGAGTGCCCCTCTGCCTGGCTAATTCCTCCATCTTTCAGCACTGACTCAGGTGCCATGTCCTCCAAGAAGATTTTCCCAACCCGGGCTTCACCCCCAACCCCCATCTCCAAGCTCCTGGTGCTCCCCTCTCCCAGTCTTGTGGTCATCTACTCCTCCGTCATTCCCATGCCGGGTGGGGACTCCGGTGCCTCACCCTGACCCTAGCACATGCTCAGGGAGTTTTTGCTGAACTTCTGTGACTCTCATTTTTTCCCCTCAAGGTAAGTGTGGCTTTGTCAATCATGCCAAAGGAAGTGCCAGAACGGTGTGACTTCAGGCTCTGGTTGGAGGAAGAAGGGATGTGTTGGGTGGGTGGAAAAGGTTTTTGGCCACAGCAGTTGCAGCAAGCCTGCATGGTGAGCATGCTTGCTGGAGTTGGACAAACATGGGCCAGAGACCAGGCTCTGACACTTTCATTAATGCCCTTATGAGTGACTTATTTAATCTTAGTTTCCACATCTGGAAAAAGGGTGCCAATAATACCTACTTCACAGACTTGTCAGGAGTTTAAATGAGTTAATTAATATAAAGTTATTGTACCCTGTGCCTATCCATGGTCAGAGTACAATAAATATCAGTGCTGTCACTGTCATTACCATGGCGATGATGACAGTGGTCAACCAATGCTAGCTGGACTGAGCCTTGGCAATGACCAACAAGTTATCTCTTTAAGACTGATTTCCTTGAAGAGTGCTAAGAGAGCCATTGAGACATCATCCTCTGTGCTGGAGGAAAGAGAAATGTGTGTCGCTGTGTAACAGTCATATTTTAAATGTCACAGCTCCTGCGTGGGGCTCCTCCTACAAGAAGCTTTCGCTGACCGTGCCTGCTTGGTCTGTTCTCTCCTCTTTGAGCTCTCACAGCACGTAGCCCCAAGCTGCCCATTCAGCACTTGATTATAGACTGTCTGGCTTGCCCTCTAATTGCTTTCTCTGTGTATGGGCTTGTCTGCCAGGCTAAATCACAAGATCTGTAAGAATAATGATTGCCTCTCATTTACGTCTCTCCAAACACCTAGTTCAGTACTTTCTGCACGGTAGAAATTTAATAAGTAACATGTTGATTTGACCTCCTTAGAAACATTTGGTGTAGTACCTGTCATAAAAGAAACATTAAGATCCCACTAGAAATAGGGCAGAAATGGCCATGTAAATGGCCAAGAAATATGAAAAAAATTAATTTGGCCTATTAGAAATCAAAGAAATGTAAATTAAATTGAGATCCCATTTTCCTTATTTGTAGACACTCATTTAAAATGATAAAAGTGCTAGGGAGGTGGGTTGGGGCTCTCTCAAATGTTGTTGGTGGGAGGGTAATCCAATTCTTTCTATGACAATTTGCAGTATTTAGCAAAAGTCTAAAAAAAAGCCTGTACCTATTGACTCAGTAATTCCACTTCTATAAATCTTTCCCAGGAAATACTAAGAGATATAGACAAATATTTATGTACAAGGATGATCATCACACTGCAATTTTTAATAGTGAATTTTGAAAGATGGGCTAAGTAAATTATGGCATAGGATGGAGTATCAAGGAGCCAATAAAACAATGGTTTTATTTGAAAAGATGCTGAACTCTTCCACAGTGAAAGAGATGAAAGTTAAGGCACTTTTTAACTACAAAAATAAAAAATAATAATTTATGAAACACACCGTAGAAAGACAAGCATTTAAACAGACTGTGAGGATATTCATCCTCAATGACAATTTTGCAAAAGACATCACATTTTAAAAATGCACATATCTTTTGTACCCCTAAGAATCTAGTCCATAGATATGACTTCCCTTATATGCACAGATATATGAATATGGTTATTTATTGTATATTATTTAAAATAGCAAAAAATTGAAAATAGCTGAAATACAAATCTCCTGCCTCGCCTCCCATTGGCAGCATCCAACCAGAGGACAAGGAAGCCACCGGATTAATTAAAAAATGAGATAGACCTTTATTTAAGGAAAGCGTGTGAAGTATGTCAAATGAAAAACAAAACAAAAGGTGTAAGGCAAGAACTGAAAGGCATATTATTAAGTGAATGAAATCACGATTGATATATATAATATGCTTCAATTTATACAAAATCAACAGACAATATTTAGATGAGGATAGATGTAAATGTTAGTGTAGTTTTCTGAGAGGCAATGTGTGTAAGTATATTTAAGAGCACAGATTCTGTAGCCAGGTTACTTGGGTTTAAATCCCAGCTCTTCCACTTATGAGCTGTGTGACTATGGGCAAGTCATTTAATCTCTTTGTCTTTCAATTGCTTCATCTATAAAATACTATACATGTCAGCAATTATTATTTTTAAACAAATAACTTTTGAGGGTGCTCAACTTTGAGCAGTAAACTTGGGAGCCTGCCAAAACCAGGGAAGAAGCCTCGTTTTCCCTGTATAACTTTGAAATGGCTAATTATTAGTGCACATGAAATTTTTATCCATGCACATGTTGTGCATGGATAAAACAGTCAGGGCCCCAGCAGGAAACAGATGGCCCAATCAACCTGGATAATTTGACAAGAGGTTATCAAAAGGGCTTTTTAGGAAAGTGTAGGCAGGGAGTAGGGATAGTACTCTAACACTAGCAACCACAGGTAGCTGTTAGCACCCCTGGGCCTTCGGGGCTAGGGGAGGACACGGTTAGTGAAACTGGAAAGAGAGCTGTGTGGAGAGGGCCTCCTGAGGGGGGCTGTGGCTTTGGGTAGAGGGAGGCAGCCAGTCTACAGCAGCCCCAGCAGGAACGGAGCCCTGGGAATAAAAACTCCAGCTGCTCTCTGTCTCCTGCCATGCCTCCCTTTGGCATAACCAACCAGAGGGCAGAGGAGCTGGTGGAGGCCGTCCATACACGTGAGCCCACTGAGGCCTGGGAGAAGGGAAGAGAGCATCCCAGCACATGCGGGTAATTCAAATGACATAATTCCTAGGCTGGGAGAATGAAATGGCTCCATACATATGAAATCCTGGAACGGTGTTGACATAGTGAACGTTCAACAAATGTTAATAACCATGAGTACTAGCATTATTCTCCATGTATCAGAGCAAATAGAAGACATCCTACGCACATGTATTATTAATATTTTCAGCTGGGTGCAGTGGCTCATGCCTGTAATCCCAGCACTTTGGGAGGCCGAGGCGGGTGGATCACGAGGTCAAGAGATCGAGACCATCCTGGCCAACATGGTGAAACCCCATCTCTATTAAAAATATAAAAATTAGCTGGGCGTGGTGGCAGGCGCCTGTAGTCCCAGCTACTCAGGAGGCTGAGGCAGGAGAATTGCTTGAACCCGGGAGGCGGAGGTTGCAGTGAGCCGAGATCACGCCATTGCACCCCAGCCTGGGTGACAGAGTGAGACGCTGTCTCAAAAAAAAAAAAATTATATATATATATATATTTTTTCATAACAGTTTTTAAAAAATTTTTGCCTTTGAGCCTTTGAAGAATTTCTAAGGACATGGGAAAAGTCTTATGGTGTGACATTAAGAGAAAAAAATAAAATTCCATATAGCCTAGGACTTCAAATTTATGAAGATAAGCAAGCAAACCATGTCCTACAGGATAAGAGACTTGGAAATAGCTACAAAATACCAGCCATGGTTGGTTGTGAGTAGTGGGATTATGGGTGATTTTTAAATGTTCATCTTCGTACTTTTCTATAATTTTTTTAAAAGAGATGGGATCTTGCTGTGTTGCCCAGGCTGGAGTGCACTGGCTATTCACTGTTCACAGGTGCGATCATAGTGCACTGAACCCTGAACTCCTGGCCTCAAGGGATCCTCACACCTCAGCCTCCTGAGTAGCTGGGACTACAGGTGTGCACCACTGTGCCCAGCTTGTACTTTTCCATGTTTTATGAGTTTTCTGTAACAAATATATTTTGCTTTTACGAAAGAAAGAAAGAAAACAAGAAACAACCAACACCTTTTTATGGTTCTTCATGGATCAATAATAACAGAGGTTTGACTCACAACAGGGTCATTACTAACCCTGTTTTGATATGAGGAAACTAAGGCACAAAGAGGTAAGTGACTTGCTAAAGGTTTACATGGATAGGAAATGGCCAAACCAAGGTTCAAATTAAGGAGCCTGCTTCTTGAGGCTGCTCTCTGAATTACTTTCGTCACTTTGCCACCTCCCTTAGTCAGTAAAGCTCAGATTTTACCTGATGCTGTTCACTGTTCCAGCCTCACTCTGCCTACCCTGACTGCTGTCCCACCTATGTTACAGGGATGCTTTCCTCCCAGATGTCACCATTGCCACACCAGTCCTTAAGACAGGCTGTTTCCTCTGCCAGGAACATCTTTGTCACCTTGTTACCTGCCTTACATGTCTTCATTCTTCAAGAACCAAGCCCAATGCCTCTTGCTTCACGGTGCATTCCTGACCTCCTTTGGCTAGGTTAGGTGCCTCTCCTGAGCTCCTGGAGCCCTGGGGCTTAACTTTCCCTGCATTTAACTCCCCCTTTTAAGATTATTGTTTGTTACTATTATTATCTCTGTTGTTGCCATTTAAAGTATTACCTTTCTTCCATCAATTTAGAGTTGCAAGCTGGAGGCCTGTGGGCCAGATTAGGCCTGCAGATGCTTAGACTATGCAGGTTAAAGATAGTTAAATTGTTAACATTTAAGCATTGGAAGATCTTGCGTAAGTGTCCTGATTTTTGGCTTCTCTTTAAAACTCTGCCTGGCAACACTGGGTACACATTCCTCAATGGCAGCAATTAGAAAGAGCTGAATAGAGGCTGTTTCCTTTAGATGAAGTCCATTTGCCATCATTTCCACTACTCCCTGTACCAAGCTAGTTTCACATATTTACTTACTGGCCTGCCTTCTAAGGTAAAGAGAGGTCTTTATGAGCAGCGTCTCAGTTATTTTTTGCTGCGTAACAAACCACACAAACCTCAATGTCTGAAAACAACAACCACGTATCTAGCTCACGATTCTGTGAGTTAGTAGTTTGATCTGGGCTCAGCTGAGTAGCTCCTCTGCTGGCGTTAGCTGGGCTCACTCAAGCATTTGTGGTTGCTTGGCTGTTGGCTGGGGTAATGAGGTGGCATGATTTTCATCATTCAGCAGGCTAACCTGGGCTTCTTCATATGGTGGTGGTTGCAGGGTTCTCAAGAGCAGCAAAAGGCCTCGCTGAAGAGGTGACATTTGAGGAAAGCCTTGATGGAAGTGAAGCTATGGGAATGGAGGAGAAAGCCCCCAAAGGAGTGGATTCTTATCTGGGGTCTGTGAGCAGAATTCTGGAGTCTGGGAGCATCTGGAAACTGGATGGATGTGTGTGTGTGTGAGTGTGGATAAGCTCAGTGTACATGTGCTTTTCAAGACATGCCTCCAAGTCGCATAATGTCCCATTGGTCAAAGCAAGTCATGAGGGCAGTCCAGAGTCAAGGGGTTAAAAAACATATTTCATTTCTTGGTTGGAAGGTTTGCAAAATGACATTGCAAAGTTGCAAGAATGAGGAGAGTTTGTGGTCATTTTTGCAGTGTACTGTGGGAAAAGATCTTATTTATCTGTGTGCCTGACACACAGGAAGGTAATCAGTAAATGTTTGTTTAATTAAATGGAAATGAATGCAAATGAACCTATCTCCCTCTGGTTTTGAAATCTCTTCAATAGACTCTTCTTGTCGGCCTTCATTAGCTCACCTTGCATCTTCAAAGGCCCCTGATGCTGAGAAGAAGCAGGGAGGATGGGCCTCTCAGGACCCTGAGGACAAAGGCCCTGGTTAGGGCAGATATTGGAGGAAGGCACCATTCCAGGCAGGGTTGTTGGCAGTGAGATTCTGTCGGATCTGTGGCCACTCTAGGCAAATGCCAGTGAAGCCACAATCGAAATGCTAGTTTGTTGATTGGTCCCCTGTGATTCTGAAATTGTGGTGAGAAGTTCCCAACATATCTAAAGATGACATTGTTTTGGGCGGGGATGTAGTAGAATCCTCTTGCTAAATGGCTGTACCTGCCATGTAACCTGACCTTGCCCTTGACACGGCCCATGGCCCACTGCTGAGACCACAGCCACCCCCGAGGCAGAGCTGGAGACAGAGGTACAGATGGTGACAAAGTGGCTCCAGGCTGGTGATACATGATGACCTGGTTTTCCACTCATGGAGCAGCCAGCTGCTAAGTCCTGGGCCAGGAATTGGAAGATGTGAGTTCTCATCTCAGCCCAGCAGATAACTTGCTCTCTGCAAGCAAACTCAGACTTCTGCAGTAACACAGGAAGGTGGGGATAGGATGAAATGTTCTTATGTTTTGTTTGTTTGTTTGTTTTGAGACAGAGTTTCACTCCTGTCACCCAGGCTAGAGTGCAATGACGCGATCTTGGCTCACTGCAACCTCCGCCTCCTGGGTTCAAGCAATTCTCCTGCCTCAGCCTCCTGAATAGATGGGACTACAGGTGCCTGCCACCACACCCAGCTAATTTTTGTGTTTTTAGTAGAGATGGGGTTTCGCCTTGTTGCCCAGGCTGGTCTTGAACTCCTGACCTCAGGTGATCCACCCGCCTCGGCCTCCCAAAGTGGTGGGATTACAAGCATAAGCCACCGCACCCGGCCAGAATGCAATGTTCTCTAAGCGCCCTTCCAGTGCTGAGACTTGAAGAGTTTGTACACACACACACACACACACACACACACACACCCAGCTTCAAGATGCTTCCAGACTCCAGAATTCTGCTCACAGATCCCAGATTAGAATTCCAATCTCTTTGGGGCTTTCCTATCCACTCCCGTGGCTTCTGTTACCTCCTTCACGATTTGGCTCAAATGTCACCTTCTCAGTGAGGCTTACCCCAACATCCCATTTAAAACTTTCGTCCCCTCCCCTTTGCTGCCCTCCCCTCATCCTGCTCTACTTTTTCTTTTGGTCATCACATTTATAACCTAATATGCCACATGATTTACTTATGCATTATGTTTGTTGTTATTGTATGTCCCCCCCCTGCAGAATGCAAGTGCCACTGGGCTGAATCTTTATTTGATTTGCTGATGTATCAGTGCCTAGAAAGTGCCTGGCACAACACTAAATGGCACAAAGGTATTGAATGAATTAATCAATCTCTGTGCCCATTAAGTGCCCCAGTCCACTCCTTCAGCTCCCTTCTGTGGCCTGAGTACCACACCCATAGACTTAACTGCCCACTGGGCTTGCCCAACATCCACGCCAGGACCTGGTTTTACCCTCACTGCCTTCCTTCTGGTGGTGGCCATCATTCCCATTTTATAGGGGAAGAAACTGAGGCCCAGTGAGAAGTGGAGGCTTGTCCACAATGCACAGCTTCTTTGCTGGACTCACCCCTACACTCAGTCACATTTTGAGGCTGTTCTGAGGTGAGCAGGGTAACCCTGATTCACCTGATCCACCTGCCTAATGCTTTTCCCACAGGTCAGGATGAAAGAGACCCTCAGAGGAAATGATCCTAGCCAGAGCAGACCAGACAGAGCCAGATCCACAATAGCAGTCACTGGAATAAAGGACATCTAGTCTAGGTCAGCCTGACATCTCTTCCCTCCAGACACTCCCTCTTCCTATGGGGAGACAGCTCCTCTCCTGCTCCATGAGACAGGTGCCTAGTCAGTCTGTCCTCTCTGTTCATGGAGTCCTTTAGAATACCCCATCTTTTTGAGCACAGAGATTGGCTCAGGGGTGGGCACGTGACCAAAGCTAGACTATGCATTAAATCCTTCCTTAGGATTTAATATATGGATACCAGGAAAGAGAAAGTCTGGAGTCATCAAGCTAGGATAATGTAAGAGTGGAGCTGTCAGAGATCATTCCTCCCCATCCCTCCACTCTCCACCCCAAGGCATGAAGGACAGTTGTCTAGAGACAGGAAGCCTGTCTACAGCAGAAGGTATTAATAACATGATGCAGAGAGCCTGAAAGAGAGGCAGAGTGGAAGCAGGTGCACACACGAGAGATCCGACAATTGTCCTTTGGTCCTGATGCTAGTGCCACTCCTGGACTTTCTAATAAAGTGAGGTAATAAATCCTCTTTTTGGCTCAATCAGTTTAAGTTGGGTTACTGTCAATTACAACTGAGAGTGCCCTGTGGAATGCTCCAGGTCAGGTTAGGAGGAAATCAACCAAGGAAACTCAATCCAACAAAACCCAAATGAATGGAACTAAATCAGTGCAATTCAACTCAATGATTCCAATCCAAATAAAACCCATACCAATGGAACTTAGCAAGTGGTCTCTCTTGTCTCCTGGGCTTCAGTGTCTGAGTCAGTGTAGCATTGAAAGAGCCCTATCGGTAGTCAGAGGCCTTTTTCTCCAGGCTTGTTCCTGGCCTAACAATAAGCCTTGGGTGAGCTGCTGTAGCTCTATGAAGCCTAATTTCTTTTTTCTTTTTTTTTTTTTTTTGAGATGGTGTCTTGATCTGTCACTCAGGCTGGAGTGCAGTGTCGTGATCTTGGCTCCCGGGTTCAAGTGATTCTCCTGCCTCAGCCTCCCAAGTAGCTGGGATTACAGGCACATACCACCATACCCGGCTAATTTTTTGTATTTTTAGTAGAGACGGGGTTTTACCATGTTGGCCCGGCTGGTCTTGAACTCTTGACCTCAAGTGATCTGCCTGTCTCAGCCTCCCAAACTGCTGGCATTATAGGCATGAGCCACTGCACCCGGCTGATGGCGCCTAATTAATAATCTGCCACATGTGGTTAATATACACCCAACCTGAGAATATCCAGTGAGATAAGAGACGGGGCAAAAATGGTCAAAGTTGAGTGGGTTCCTACTGTGGTTTGAATATTTGTGTCTCCTCCAAAATTCATGTTGAAACATCTCCAATGCAGTAGAATTAAGAGGTGGGGCCTTTTGGAGGTGATTAGGTCCTGAGGGCTTTTCCCTTGTTAATAGGATTAAGGCCTTTTATAAAAGAGGCTTCATACAGCAATTGCCCCTTCTGCACTTTGCCCTTCTTGTCTTCAGCCGTGGGATGACACAGCATTTGTCCCCTCCAGAGGGTGTCATCTTGGAAGTAGAGAACAACCCTCACCAGACACCAAACCTTCTGGTGCCTTGATCTTGGACTTCCCAGCCTCCAGAACTGTGAGAAATAAATTTCTATTGTTTATAAATTACCCAGTCTCAGATATTTTGTTATGGCAGCACAAATGGACTAAGACAGTTTCCTAGCATGTATGGTAATGACCCTGAGGTCCTATTCCTCATTCTAATGCTCCCTGCTACTCCCACAAGGGGTCTACCTGGCACTCACCTGGAGGAGAAGGCTGAGAAACCCTCAGAATGAGTTCTCTTGAACTATGGCAGGAGGCAGCATCAGGTAGCTCTGAGCACAGGCCCCTCTGAAGTAGGACTGCCTGCATCTGTTTCTTGACTCCAGCACTTCTTAGCTGAGTGACCTGGGGCAAACTACTTACTCCTAAACTTCAGCTCCTTCTCATGTAAAATGAAGCTGGTAAGTGTTAACTGCTTCCTAGGATTGTAAGGGTTTCATGAAATAATGTCTATAAGACATTCATAGCCCTGTGTCCGACACATGGAAAGTACTCAATCAGTGTTTTGACTATCATTATTGCTATTGACATTTACACAGCATTTTTCATTTCCTAATTTTATGCATAATTATATGCATAATTTCAGTTAATTATGATCTTACCCGTGTGAAGGAGAGTTTAAAATCCCATTATATGTAGAAAGACACTGAGGTTTGGAGAACAAAGGGACTTATCCAAGGTCACGGAGTTGGTGAGCGACAGAGTTTAGCACCAAATTCAGCGCATGTATCACCATGACTTTAACCAACACTTCGCTGTTTCAGATTTCTGCTCTGAGACAGAACACATCCATCCTCTGCTCTGAGACATCACAACTTGAAGGGAGGGCATGACTGAATCAACAAGCTTTTAGTAAAGACCCTCCAGGTGCCCAGCCTGGTACTGGGGTCAGGGTGGAGGTGAGAGAAGGAGGAGGTGGAGGGAGGTCCCTCAAGGTGAACCTCACTTGGGGACATCCCTACATCCTTCAAAGCCCACCTCTGGGAATCCTTTGCTAGGGAGGGAAAGGGAAAAGGCTAAGTCTTGTTGAGCACCTACTATGTACCAGGCATGTACCTGTGTTATCTTATTTGGCCCTCAAAATATCTTGGCAGGATCCCCCTGCTTTACTGATAAAAAATCTGAGGATGGAGAGTTTAAGGAACTTACCAGCAGTCCCAGCTAGAATGTGGTAGAGCTAGGACATGCCACCATGTCTACCTGATACTGACCCATGCTCTTCTTTTTGTTCCAACAACAGTTCCTTCAGCCGCAGCCCGAGGTCACTTAACGCTTGCACATCTCTGCTGTTGCACTGAGTGCATCATATTAATTTTTACTTGCTCCTTCTGTAGACTAAACTCCTTGAGGGCCAGCACTATATTAGTCATCTTTGTATCTCTACTACCTAGTATAGGGTTGGGTACAGAGTGGGAGAAGAAGAAAGTTTTGACAACAATGAGTTTGAGGGTTCTGGGAGGGGGCTTGTTCATGGTATGAAGTTTGAGTTTTAAGAGTCAGATAAGACATCTGGAAGATGGAACCACTGGAGTGTAGGAAGAAGATTAATTTTTTTTTTTGTTTAGCCTTTTATCTAATATAACACACTACAGAAAAGTGCAGAAATGAAGATGCGCTCTGATGATCACAAAGTCTATGCATCAGCACACCAGAAGCTTTGCTTATGCCCCTCCCCAGTCTATTCTCGCCTTCTCCCAAGGGTCACCACTACCTGACAATATCATAAATTTGTTTTGGCCATTTTAGAACTTTATGTAAAGCCAGGTGTGGTGGCTCACTCCTGTAATCCTCACACTTTGGGGGGCCGAGGTGGGTGGATCACTTGAGGCCAGGAGTTTGTGACCAGCCGGGCCAACATGGTGAAACCCCATCTCTACTGCAAATATGAAAATTAGCCAGGCATTGTGGTAGGTGCCTGTAATCCCAGCTACTCGGGAGGCTGAGGCACGAGAATCGCTTGAACCCAGGAGGCGGAGGTTGCAGTGAGCGAGATCGTGCCATTGCACTCCAGACTGGGTGACAGAGTGAGATTCTGTCTCAAAATAAATATAAATAAATAAATAAACACGTAAATAAAATCATGTATGTAAATAGAATCATATTTTTTCATTTCTTGCTGCTTTTAGGCAGCATTTTGTTTGTGAGACTTACACATATTGCTGTATGTAACTGCGGTTTATTATTTTCATTTCTGTATAATATGCGATTGTATGAATATGCTACAATGTATTAATTCATTCTACTGTCATTGGACATTTAAGTTGTTACTGGTTTGGAACTGTTACAAATACTATTGTTATGAATGTTCTTGAGCATGTTTTTTGCTTCACATGTCCATGTATTTATGCTGGACATAAATACCTGCCTATGAGTGAAATTTCTGAGTAATAGGGCATGTATATTCTCAGGTTTAGCAGATAATGCCAAACAGTGTCCCAAAGTGGTTATACCAATTTGAGCTCCCACAAGCAATACATAAGAGTTCTAATTCAAATCCTCTCCAACACTCATTACTATTAGTTTTGTTTGTTATAAATTTTAGCCATTTTGATGGGTGTGTACTATTCTCATTGTGGTTTTAATTTGCATTTTCCTGAGGACCAATAAGGTTGAATACCTTTTCATATATTTATTGACCATTTGGATTTCCTCTTCTGTGAGTTGGCTTTTGAAATCTCTTTTTAACTTTTTAATTGGTTCACCCTTTTCTTGTTGGCTACTAGAATTCTTTAAATATTCTGAATCAATTTCTTTGTCAGTTATACATGTTGCAGATATCTTCTTCCACTCTTTAGCTTGCCTTTTTGCTCTCTTAATCAAGTCTTATAATGAACAGAAGTTCTGGATTTTAATGTAATCCAATTCATTAAAGCTTTCTATTTATGACTAGAACTTTTGTGTCCTCTTTAAGAAATCTTTCCCTATGCCTAGTTCATGATGATATTCTTCTATGTTGTCTTTATTGCTTCTTGTTTCACTTTAGATCTATAATTTGTTTTTAATTGATTTTGTATGGTGTGAGGAAGGAATCGGTTTTAATCCCCTCCCTCCCTGCATATTATACACATTTGACTGAGTACCATTCGTGAAAAAGTTCATTCTTTCTCTAATGATCTGTGGTGTCATCTTTCTCTTTAAAGAAGCCCCCATATAAGCACGAGTCTTTCTGAACTTTGTTCTGTTGATCTATTTCCCTATCCTTGTGGCCAATTAGCAAAATAATTTCTGTAGGGTACTGTCTCTTTGTAATACATTTTTGTATCCACAGAATAAGTCTTCTAATCTTACTATTCTTCCTGAAGTGAATCTTGGATGTTTTTAGCTCTTTGCATTCTATGTAATTTTAGAATCAGCTTGTGAACTTTCATAAAGCAATTGCTGGGAATTTTATTAAAATTCCATTGACTCTATAGATCAAATTGAGGAGAACTGATATCTTTGCAACACTGAGTTTTTAATACGTGAATTTGTTATGTCCTTCCATAGGGTTTCTTTAATTTCTCTCAACAATGTTTTATAGTTTTTGATGTAGAGATTGTACATGCCTTTAATTAGATTTATTTATAGGTAATAAACATTGTTTAGTACTATAATATCTGTCACCTTTGAAGTGTTTGGTAAAGAGATACAGAAATAAAATTGAATTTTAGATTATTGATCTTATATCCATCAACCTTACTAAAACTTTACCTTAAAGTTTACATAGTCTGATATTAGTATAGTTACACCAATTTTTAAAATTATAGTTCGCATGTTATCTTAGTCTATTTTGTGCTGCCATCATAGAATACCACAGAAAGAGTAATTTACAAAGAACAGAAATTTGTTTATCACAATTCTGGAGGCAGGAAGTCCAAAGTGAAGGCACTGGCATCTGGTATCTGATGAGGGTCTGCTTTCTGCTTCCAAGATGGCGCCTTGAATGCTGAGTCCCATGGAGGAGAGGAACGCTGTGCTCACATGGCAGAACGCAAAAGGGGAGAAAGGGCTGAACTCCCTCATTAAGCCCTTTTATAAGGGCACATACTCCTATTCATGAAGGAGGAGCCCTCATGGCCTAATCACCTCTTAAAGGCCCCACCTCAATACTATCACACTGGCAACATATTCAAATCATAGCACATGTTATGTCCTTTTGCATCCTTCTATTTTCAATCTTTCTGTATATTTATATTTTAGGTGCATTTCTTATAAGCAGCATATAATTGATTTCATTTTAAAATATGGGCTAACAATTTTTGTTTTTTAATTAGAATACTTAGGTCATTAATATTTTAATGTAATTATTAAATTATTTAGGTTTAAATCTTCATTTCATCATTGACTTTCTATTTGTCCTTCCTGTTCTACATTCCCCTTTTTCCTTTTCTTGCTTTCTTTTGCCTGTATTATTTTTATTCTTTTACTAATATTTATTTAGAGATTATAAAATGTATTCTTAACTTATTGAACATTACATAATATATAAATTGATACTTTTACTTCTTCCTGAAAGTGCTAATTCCTTAGAACAATTTAACTACATTTATCTTTTCTGAACTGTAATAGGATTCTTTCATATTTTTAAATTATTTATATTTCTAACCCACACAAGATATTGCTGTTGTTATTTTACATCATCAATATTCCTTTTTATTTGCCCATACACTCATACTTTTTATTGTACTTTCTTTCTTTCAGCCTCTCCAACTTTCTATCTGGGATATTTTTCCTTTGAGAACTTTCTTAATATTTCTTATAGTTCAGATTTTCTGGTTATAATTCTTTTATTTCTTAAATTTTGTCTAAAAATGATTTTACCATCAATTTTTGATGGATATTTTCCCTGGGAATAGAATTTGAGATTAAGATTATTTTCTTCCAACTGTTTGATGTTATTCTACTGTGTAGTTTTGTTTCTGTTGAGAAGTAAGCTTTCAATCTACTTATTACTCTTTTGAAAGTAATGTCTTTTTTTTTTTTTTAATTTGGTTGCTTGTAAGATTTTTTTTCATCTTTGATCTTCAGCAGTTTAATTGTAATATGATATGGTTTACTTTGAGTTAAACCTTCTTGGGTTTTTCAAAGTTTATTGATTCTGTGGTTTGGTGTCTTTTGGCAATTTTAGAAAGTTCTCATTTATCATCTTTTTATATAATGTTTCTGTTCCATTCTTTCTCATTTTTCTCTCTGGGATTCACATTATAGGTATGTTAGGCCTGTCTTATATTCTGTTTTGTATTTCACATTCCTTTGCTCTCTGTATGTCATTCTGGTTATTTCCTTCTAATCTATCTTCTAACTCACTAATTCTATCCTCAACTACATCCAATTTGCCATTAAACTGATCCATTGATTCACTAAGTTCTTAATTTCAGAGATTTTAATTTTCAGTTCTAAAATTTCCAATTAATTATTTTTTTGTTTTATTTTCTCTGCTGAAATCCTCCAAATGTTACTTAATTTCTTAAACATATTAATGACGTTTTAAAAATATTTTAAATTGACACATAATAATTGTACATATTTATGGGACACATAGTGATGCTATGGTACATATAATATATAGTGATCAGATCAGGGTAATAAGCTTATCCATCATCTCAAACACTTACCATTTTTTTGTGTGTGAACATTCAATATCTTCCTTCTAGCTATTTGAAACTATATATTATTGACTATAGTCATTCTACAGAACTGTCTAACAGTAGAACTTATTTCTCTTATAACAATGGTTATTTTAAAATCTATGTCTGATTAACTAAATTATCTGGCTTCCCTGTAGGTCTGTTTTGTCATATCTTATATAGTTTTTTAAATTTGCAGTCTTATGTGCCTAGATATTTTAAGTTGTTTTCTAAACATTGTCTATGAAAAATTATAGAGATAATTTTGAGGCCTGGGCTGATATTATATTTGTCCAGAGATGATTTACCTTTTCTTAATAGTGGTTGTGGGTACTATCTGTGCTAGATCACTTTAATACAATCAGTGATTAAAATCATTTAAAACTAGGCCACAGTCCCTCATAGGGCAGTCTATTTCCTGCTCACCCTTTTCTCTTAGGATGTAGTCACCAGGATCTCCACCAAAAGCCTTAAGTGTTACTAGAATCCTTCCTTCTTGGCTGACTTTGAACTCCAGCTTTTGTTTCCTTGGTTTCGTGAATCTGTTGAAAGTTCTGTTCAGTTTCTCAGCCTCTCAATGGGTCTTCTCTGAAATCAGCAGATACACCTAGTCAAAAAGCAACCTTAAATGCTAAGTCTCTCTGTCTGAGTTTCTTTTTCTTTCAGTTTTGTTCCTATAATTCTTCACTGCCTTTTTAGCTCTCCAATGTCTTCAAACAGATGTGTTTTATTATTGTTCAGCTTTTCTATAGTACCTAACAGGAGATTCTGGTCTGAATTAATCAGTCTGCCAATACTAGAAGTCACACTGAATTATATGTAATAACAATGGTAACAAAATTAATGGCAACAGTGGTGTAGTGGCAAATATTTAAACTTGTCCCTCAAGAAATGTGTATATATGTATAATATACATATATATGTTTATTATACATTTTACTGATACAAAGAATGTGTAGCACACAATTTACAAATAATTAAATGTACAGTGTATTTATTTTATTGTTGATTGCATATTGCCAATTAATTCTTACAGAATGCTTCTGTTGATTTTTTTTATCCATAGCCAGCTAATGCTTATAGTTGATGAATGATGTAGTTCTTACAGAAACCTTGGTTGATAATTTTGTTTACATTAACAAGAAAGATGAAAGTATATCAACAAAGATATTATGTCACAATTTCACTCATTCATCAATGATGTTAACAAATTTCTTGCTGAATTGCACAATAGTTTTGAATGCTAAAGAGAATTTTTTCAAATTTTTGTGGTACAGACATGACATACTTTTAAGTTTACATTGCATTATTACATTTTCTCCACCATTTTCTTAAATCTAGACATTCAACAAAACAGTAACTCAAACCCTGATTGGTAGCCTTTGCAAATTTTGGGTATAATTACTCCTATCATAGCTAATTCCAAGCTACGAATCTGACATCACTAAACAGACTTGAGATGGTATGCACAGTAGCATATCATTATGTAGTATCTATCTATGCCACACAGATACAACAGCTGTTAAGAGTATAAATACCAGTAAAGTGTAAATCATTAGAAAATGATGAGTTTTGAATGTTACCATTGTTTTTAATATAATGCCTTTAATTGTAAGTTTATATATTTTAAGTTTTAATAATAGCTGGCTTATACAATTCCTGAACATTTAATAATCTTTGTTTTACAAGAGGAAATAAGCTGACTCCAACACTCACTTGACCACCCACTTCCGTATTTCCTCTGTGTCAGACACCATGACAAATTTCATACATTCATTATCTCATTTAATCATAACAACTGTGCAAGGGAAGTTCTGTTATGCTCTCTTTTTTGAAGGTATATACTCCGAGATTCAGAAGTTGAATAGTTTGTTCAAGGACACACAATTCAAATCCATATCTGTCTGACTCTTAATTACCAATAATAATTATCAGGATCATCAATACCTTTTACTGAATAGTAACTGTGTAGGGCTTTACCTAGGTTAGTTCTTGTAGTCCACTTAATTCTTTCAACCACCACCTTTGTTCTCTGCAGTCAATGCAGTCAACACTTCTGGAAATAAAAAGGACATTCTCCTGCAGGAGGCAGCACTAGAAAGGTGGGGTGGGAACAAGTAGAGTGGCAGTCAGATGGCAAGGCAGGCTCAGTCTCCCTCACATGGTCTCAGCTCCTTGGGCTTCTGTGGATGGTCCACAGGGAGTCTCTGAGGCTCTCTTTGTCCCTGTCCTCCTGACTGCATGCCCACTGAAAAGTGTTGGTGGGCCTTTCTGGACGGCAGGTCTGAGCACCACCCATGGGAAGCACTGGCTCTCAGGCAGGGCTATCCAAGAGAGCCCCAGGAGGTGACAGCAGAGGTGCAGGACCCTGGCAGGGAGGCCGCGACTCCTGCCTCTCCTCCTCATACCACACCCACACCAATCTGTCTGCAAATCCTGTGCACTCTACCTTTGAAACATCTAGAACCTGACAGTTTCTTACCACCTCCACAGCTAGCACCCTGGTTGGTCCAAGTCACCACCATCTCTTGTCACACCTATGGCAGTCACCTCCTAAATAAAGTAAGTCGTTTCACATCACTCCTCTGCTCAAAGCCCTCGCTGATTCCTTATTTCACTCAGAGCCCGAACCAGCACCTACATGGGCCTGCGGGACCCGCAAGGCCTGGCCCCTCTTCCAGTCCTGCCCTCATCTCCCACTGGGCCTTGTGTCCCCTCCCCTCTGGCCCACTCTTCTTGCTCTCCATGGACGTGCCAGGCCCGTTTTCCCTAGCGTCCTCACAGCTCGCTCCTCCACACTCTCAAGGCCTCTCTGCTGGGTCTTCCCTGAACTGGGCTGGTGTGAGCACCCTGCTTAAAATCACCAGCCTCCTAGCACTCTCTCCTCCTCCCCTGCCGCTTGTATTCACAGCTCCCATTCCCGCCTGCCATGCCATACATTGCAAGCCTTTGTTTCTTATTCTCTTTCTCCTCTCACTAGGAAGCAAGCTCCGTGAGGGTACATTTCTTCCGTTGTGTTCACTGTGGTATCCCCAGCAACAGGAGGACTGCCTGGCACTTAGTAGAGGCTCAATAAATAGTTACTGAGTGGATTCCTGTCCTAGTGGAGGCTGGACTTCCTAGCTTTCAAACTGGAGTCTGATGCTATGAAAAACACAGTGGTCCTTGGCCTCAGAGAAAGTGGGATCCTTTCCTTTCTTCTCTTCCTCCCCATCAGCTCAGCCAGGATTCCTGATAGCTCCCGCTTCACCAGCCCTCCATCATCACCACCACTGCAGCCCCCCCACAAAAGGGCTCTTTCCTCCACCTCCCTGGGCTCCCCTCACAGCCACCCACACCAGGCCTTCGACACAGTCCCCCTCCCTTGGGGACCCAACGGACCTGTGCTCTCATCCCCTACCTGTACTTCTGAGGACTTGCTGCTATCCAGGAAGTGGGTGAGCAGGCAGGTTTGCGTGACAGGGCCTGAGATTTGAATGGCCCATACATTTGTTCTAAATGAAGGTGGAACCAACCCACGTCTTTCACTGGGGTCACAGAGATTTGGTTTTTTCACCTCAGTGTCCTGTGTGGACTGTGACAGCCTCCTCCACATTGGCCTCTCCGCCCACAGCTCTTCTTTTCTCTGTCTCCTGGCCTCTTCCTTCACTTCTTCCTAGGCCCTCACTCCCTGTCTGTCTCATCTTTCGGCTCTGTCTGGAGCTCTCCCTTGCTGTCTCTCCGGCCTTCTTGCTGCCTCTCCATGGCCCCAGCCCACGCCGCCGTCGCTTACTGCACGTGTTTACCGTCCCTTCTCCCTCCTTGCTCTGTCTTTCCCTGTCTCTGAGGCTCTCCATCACCATGTGCTTTTGTTCTTGGGCACTTCCTCTGTTCCTTCCCTGCCCAGACTCTGTCTCTGTGTCATTCTCAGTCTTTTTGACTTTTGAGCTCTCTGTGCCTGTGTCTACATCTCTGCCTCTCTTCCCCCCTCTCTGCATCCCTGTATCTCTGTTTCTGTGGCCACTCTGCAGCCTCTGAGACCAAGAGGGTCTGGTGTAGAAGGGGCAGAGAGCCAGGCCAGGCTTCCCTCCCAGCCCACGAGAGCTCTGTGGCCCTCTCAGAACCTTTATGAGGCCGTTCTGCCCGGCAGAATGTGCTTGGGCTGAGGCCTGGAGCTAAGGAAATCCATTTGTCATTTCTGATGGAAACGGCCCCTTCCCAGGAGGCCCCGGCCTCCCCGTCGCCTGCCGGTGAACTCTGTGAGCACCTGAGGGAGAGCTCCTTGCCGGGAAGAGGGTTCCACGCAGGAGCAGCTTTCCAAGGAAAACATCGCCCTTGACAGATCATGTGTCGGGAGAGAGTTGGTCCCACACACCATAAATTGCCAGCCTGACCTTCCCCCGCAGGGCCCCGCGGTTCCCGAGCTGAGGTTCTCCTGCTGGGCCAGGCTGGGTCAGCACCGCCGGACTCGACGCACAGAGAGGGAGGCCTGGGTGCAAGTGGAGCTCGAGGACGCCCAGCAGCCAGGCTAAGACGCCCCAGCCCAGGAGCCGCAGGGGAAACTGGAGCCACATTAAGGGGGCTCCCTGGGGCTTTGTAGTTTGCAAAGTATGCTCATAGCCAGCACCTCCTCTGTTCTCAAATCAGGGGCCTTCCTGCCCCCATTTTAGGGAAAGTGGTATTAAGATTCAGATTCTGATAGGTCCACAGAAATTAGGGACAAAACTGAGAATGTCTGGCTTAAAATCCCATCCTTCCTCCCCTCCTGGTCCCTATTTATTATCAGAGAAAATCTTGGAGGAGAAAGGTGTTAGCTTAGGCCTGAATGTTGAGCAACATCATTCATTCATTTATACACCAAATATTTACTAGGTATCTACTCTGTGCTAGGTGCTCAGGAGACACAGGGTTGAATCTTACTTGATTTTTGCCTTCAAGAAGATCATAGTCGGCCGGGCACAGTGGCTCATGCCTGTAATCCCAGCACTTTGGGAGGCCAAGGCGGGCAGATCACCTGAGGTCAGGAGTTCGAGACCAGCCTGGCTAACATGGTGAAACCCTGTCTCTAATAAAAATACAAAAATTAGCCAGGCATGGTGGCTCATGCCTATAATCGCAGCTACTTGGGAGGCTGAGGCAGGAGAATCACTTGAGCCTGGGAGGTGGAGTTGCAGTGAGCCGAGATAGCACCACTGCACTCCAGCCTGGGTAACAGAGTGAGACTCCATATCAAAAAAAAAAAAAAAAAAAGAAAGCAGCTCACAGTCTATGGGTTGACACACTCAAGGTAAAAAGCGAATAGGGCTGTACGGGGGAAATACCAGTAGGAACTGGAGGAATCTAAAGGAGAATCTGGGGAAATATAAAGTCCCCTTCTAGACGGGACTGGGGCAGTTAGGGAAGACTTCCTGGAGGAAGTGGTCTGTAAGTTGCTCTTAGAGGAAGGGTATTGCAGGCAGCTGGAACAGGCAGGGTGGTGTGGAGGTGCAGAGACCTGAAAGCAAACTGTGTTCAGAAAGCAGGGGGCAGCTAACTTGGCTGGAAGGAGGGGCACAGTGAGAAGCAGAGGAAAGGAAAGGAAAGGGTAGTGAGGGGTAGGTCACGGGGCAGGCCCTGAGGAGGGAAGGTTGGATTTCATTCCGAAGACCAAGATGTCATGGGAGGGTTGAAGCATGGTGGGGGTGTTACAGGCTTAGATTTGCATTCAAGTGGTGGAATCTATGGAGGGGGTTGGCAGGAATGCTGGTCAGGAAGATTTTAGTGACCTGGTGCAGGGACTAAGATAGCTTAGAATCCTGTCTCGGCCACAGAGCAGCTGTAGAACAAGTTAACTTCTCTATGCCTCAGTTTCTTGATCTGTAAAAAGGGACTGATAATGGTACCTTCCTCTCAGAGCTGTCCTTGGGATTAGATGAACTCATGCAAAGACCGACACTGGCTATTAACACTGTCATGGGTGTGAATCTTAGTCCACACATTCAAGTATGCACGACACAGTGAGTCCCTGTATTGCTTAAAAAAGAAGTTGGCGTTTGAGTCCCCACTTCGCAGAGCTAGTAGGAAAGGTGACCTTAGTCACTCGCGATACAGGATTTTGCACTATGCTAAGGTGGGGAGGGGGCTGCTGTGGTTGTCAGTCAGCTGAAGTCACAGTGACATTAGAGCTGTCCCTCACCCCGTCACATGGCCCCATCTGGCCTGGCAGCTCTAGGAGGCTCCTGCGCTGTATTGGGGGTGTGTCTGTCTAGACATACCTCCCACAGATGCATTATCCCCGGAGCAGTCAGTCCTCTCCACTTAGGGGATCCACAGATCTTGCTCTGTTCCTCCGCACAGCCTGGGTCTGTGGAAAACCCTGCCTCTTCCTGTGTCTCCAAGCTGGTTCGTCTCATTTCTCTGTTTTAGCAACTCTGCACAGCCCTGCTTCTCTTTTCCATCTCCTCTGCAGGCCCTCTCAGTGCTCTTGGGCTTAAGCTTTTGGAAAGAAGCCAGGAGCCTTTGCTGACCACATTTTTTCTGCCACACACCTCCCATGGGGCAACAAGCATAGAGTCAGTCTTTGCTGGAGTGAGCGGGAGGGCAAGAAGAAACTACAAGGGGAGGAATGAAACATAACAATTATCTTCACATACCATCCACTATCACTGTCATAGTCATCATCTCAACAAGAGGAACAAAACCAGGAGCAGGGAACAAGCGCCCCGAGAGGGGACACATTACGTAGGCAAAGGTCTGACCGCTGAACTGAGCGTACTCTGTATAGGGGAGTGGGTCAGGGACAGGGACAGGTCCAAGGGGAGCCACTGCTGGCTCAGTTTCTCAGTTTTTCCCCTCCACCACCCCTCAAGGCTGGGCCTATGCTAGCTGGGCCCAACCTCACTTCAGAAAGCGCTTTCTGTGAGTCCACCTCATGGAGGGCCAGCAGCTCCAGCTCTGACGCCTTCCAAGAACTCAGCTGGGGCAGAGACCCCATCACTGCCCCAGCCACAGAACATTCCTGGAAGAGGAGGGTGGACACATGTGAGTGCAAGGACATACTTGACACACAGAGACCCAGACTTGAGTTCACATGCACCATCACTGACATGTTTAGACCCATAAAGACAGGCGCACACTCATTTTCATGTGAGCACATGGATATGCCCAGATGCACACTTGTGTGGAAAGCTCACAGACACACACACAGCACCATCCATGCTTACACTCCCGCACCTACCACACCTCTGTTCACACCTGACTATGTGCCCACTGGCAGGTACATCTGCTCTTACAGATAGATATACTCGGAAACACATATTCACACTGTATCACAGATCCTTGCATGCTCCGACATGTATAAGCATCACACACATTTACGTATATTCAATCAACAGATATTTACCTACAGCCTACTTCTGGGTGGGATGAAATGCTACGCTCAGGAGAACAAGGAGTAAAGAAGACAGTGTCCCTCAGGGAGTGTATGTCAGCTCAGGCTGCCACAACAGTGCCACAGACTGGCTCAAATGACAGAAATACATATTCTCAAAGTTCTGGAGGATAGAAGTCCACGATCAAGGTGTTGGTAGGGTTGGTTCCTTCCGCAGCCTCTCTCCTTGGCTTATAGATAGCCGTCTTCTCCCTGTGTCTTCAGAGGGTCCTGCCTCAGGTCTGTCTGTGCTAATCTTTTCTTATAAGGATCAGGGCCCAGACTCATGACCTCATTTAACCATAATTCCCTCTTTAAAGACCCCACCTCTGAATACAGTCACATCTGAGGCCCTAGCGGTTGGAACTTCAGCATGGAAATTTGAAGACACAATTCAGTTAACAAGGAGCTTGCCTCGAATAGGGCGGATGGGCACAACAGGTGGAAATAACGATTCAGCTGTGATGAGGGTCTGAATAAACAGCACAGGGTTGAGAGAGGCACAGGGAGAGTGGAGTCGTGCCTTTGGACAGGGCAGTTGGGTAGGAGCCTCTGCAGAGCTCAGGCCCCCTGCCCTGCCCTGGGCTGAAGGCTGAATGCACTGTGAGGCAGGGGGGGTTCGTGAATCTGTTCACCTTCCTGTCTCCAGGCTCCACACAGGCTGTGGCCCAGAGCAGAGTTCAGTGAGTGTGTTGGGTGGACGGGTGGATGATGGAGGGTGAGTGATTGTGGGGCTCCCTGCAGTTGAGGAGACTGGGCTGTCATGCAGGAAAGCCCTGCAGAGGTGTGCGAGGCTCATCCTGTGCCTGAGTGTCTGGGTGATCGGACAGGGTGTGGACAGCCTGGTGGGAACCCAGAGCCTGAGCCTCGGAGAAAAGCAGGAGAGAGGGAAGGATGGAGATGCTGAGGGCTGCCCTGAATGCCAGCCTGGGTCTGCTGTGTGACTTTCCGCAAGTTACCTTACCTTTCTGAGCCAGTTTCCTCATCTGTAAAATGAGAGATAAAACAGAAGCTGCCTCACAGAATTGCTGTGAGGATTCAATGAGATCATGCATGTAAAATGCTTAGCACGTTGCCTGGCACATAATACATGCTCAATACATGCAAGTGGCACCATGAGTGACTCAGGTGTGTGCCATGTGTGTACTCTTGTTTGTTTTCCTGAAGGAATACTGTGGCTAATAATGGTATTCCTTCTGGAAAACAAACATGGCACACGCCTGAGTCATTCATGGGCCCATTTCTCCCTCACCACACACACATCCTCCAATCACCAAGCTCCTGTCAACTCTGCCTCCTGCATGGGGCTTCAGTCTGGTCATGCCCCTCCACCCCTCTTGGTGATGGCCTTATCTATCGTCTCTCCCCTGGACATCCCACCAGCCTCTTCCCTGGTTTCTCAGCCTCCAGCCTCTTGCTCATCAGTCCAGCCTCCTCACCGGCTTCCAGAGAAACTTTCTAAGCTGCAAATCTGATACATGACCCTCAGGCGTAAAATCCTCCAGAGCTCAGTGCCACCCATGTGATAAAGGGCACTTGAGGCCTTTCAGGCTATAGCCTTGAATTCTAGCCTCATCTCCAGCCACGGTCAATGTGCCCCATACACTACAGGCATATGGGACCACTTCCCATGCCCCAACTATCTCAGGCTTTCTCAGACCTCTGTGCCTTTGCACTTACTGCTCCCTCTGTTGCTTTATTTGCACTTACTGCTCCCTCCCATCTTCTCAGCCTTGACTCTCTTACTCATCCTTTCAAGATGGAGCCTGAGGGTCAGGAAGTCAGTGAAGCTGCCCCTATCACCCCAGCCAGAGTCAACTCAGCCGTCTGGGCTACTGGGGAACCGGGCCCAATCCCTGGGACAGCCCTTCAGCTGCTGCACGGCCACGGTCTGGAGCCCCTTAAGAGCAGGAGCGTGCCTTGCTCTTCTGAATGCCCCTGGCACCTGCACAGGGCCTGGCTTAGTAGGTTCTCAGAACGTTTTCTGAATGGCCAAATGAAGGCTTGACCCTGCGAGGCCCATACTGTTCTCTCAGTTTCACAGATAAAGAAACAGGGGTTCAAAAAAGCTAAGCCATCTTCCCAAGCTTACATAACCAGGCTGAATCGTATGCAGGCATCTTTCTACACACCATTTTCTCTGCCTGTAATTCTCTCTTCTCTCTTTTTCCTGGCTCATTCTTTAGACTCAGCTTAGGTATCACTGCCTCGAGGAAGCCCTCCAGGGTCTTTCTTCTGGGCTCACCCAGCACTTCTCTCCCAACACTGCAGAGTAGACTGTTTTTCCCACTGGATTGTGAACACAGGGACCAGGACTGCCTCTAGGGTGTGTGAGGCCTCTGTCTCTGGAAACAATTTGTCACTTAAAATCAGTATGTCAGCGCCATTCTGGAGGCCCCATTTCATGGGATTCTATAAAAGAAGTACTACACTGGCCAGTGGAAGTGATCCATTTGCCAGACTGCTCTACTGGGACCAGGGCCTGGCCATGCAGTCCCAGGTAAAGCCTATAGGAGTTAATCCTAGAGTTCCTTAGGGCATCTGGTCAACCCCCGGTGTGAAGGAGAGGGTTGGAAAGAGCCCCGAAGGGGAGAAATGGACCAGGGCCTATACAGGTCTCAGTCTGGGCTCACAGCATCCCATCTGTAAGATACTGCAAGCCCTAGTCACCTGATACTGTCACCGGATCCAAGTACCCACAAATAATACTCAAACCTGGCTCAGACGTCACCAGCAGGGATCAGCAAAGACTAGCACATTCTAGGCCTCAGTTTCGCCACTTGTAAAATAAGGCTGTTAGGTTGAATAGTCTCTGAGGATTTTAGGATTGCTCCAGGAAATCAGTGAAGGATCGTTATTGATTGCCCCCAAATATTTCTTGGTATTTACTGCAAATCCCAAGTCCCAGGCAATGGAGAGGGATTTAGAAAATGTTGAGGTTGGCACTCAAAGTGTGAGGCTGCTTGAGAAGTAAGGCAGGAGCAGTGTCCCTGCACACCCAGGTCAAAGAGCAGTATTGACAGAGGCCTTTTCCATTCCATTCACCACTGGGGCAACGTAGTCATGGGCCATGCATATGGCCTGGGAGGTGTATACAACCCAAACCCAAGATGAGCCTATGGAGTAATGAAGCTGCTAAATGTGTGGGTGGCCCTAGCAGAAGAATAGTCTCTAGATCAAGGGAGGTCAGTATCTGCTATCCTTGCTGACCAGCCCACATCTAGAATTAGGCATTCCGTGATGAGCTTCTTGTTTCAAGAGGAACATGGAGGAATTATATACTATGTCTAGCTCTTAGAAGGGTCATTACATAGAAACAAAAGCAAAATTAATATTGTGAGACGCCAGAGGGCGGAGCAAGGGTAGACGATGCAAGTAGGGAGATTTCAGCTAGATTTGAGAAAGTCTATTCTAATAATCCCAGCCGCTCAGAAATGGACTCAGCTGCCTGGGGAGATAGTGAGGTCTCTGCCCCCAGAGGTGTGCAAACAGTGGGTGGATGGGCTACCTCTGAGAGGCTGCAGGGCAGGTCCCTGCCCCGGGAGCAGTTCTGTTAGACTCCCTTTAAGGTCCTTTACAACTCTAAGATTCTGAGACTAAATCATCATTGAGAATCTGTCTTGTGCTGGATGCCGTGGAGGTGAAAAGAGAAAAGAGACAGGACCCCAGCCCCCAAAGTGCTCTCATTCAGGTGGGCAAGACAGACAGGACATTGTCATTTATAATTGAGTGGCAACTGTCATGATTGGGGGTAGTGAAAGTACTGAGGGCTGTGAAAGCCTAGAGGAAGGGGCCACCTTGCACCATGACCACAAGCATGTCCTTGGGGCTGGTGATGGTGGCCCTTAGAACAGCACTATCCAATAGAACTCTCTACAGAGATGGAAATGTGTTATATCTGTGCTGTTCAATATGGTAGCCCTTGAATTGTGGCTGGTTGGACTGAATTTTACATTTTACTTAATTTAATAGCTGTATGTGGCAAGTGCCTACTATATTGGGCAGCACAGACAGAAGACATTTCTACCATTGCAGAAAGTTCTATTGGACATCACTGCTCTAACGAGTTAAAATAGGCAGCTCTGTGATCCCAAGGCGCCTTCCTTTCCTCCCCTCACCGTGTCAGTACCACAGAGAGTGAGGCCTGCAGACACGGGTGTCAGAGCACCGCACGGGCCAGCTTCCTGTGTGACACTGAATCAATCCCTCCACCTCTCTGGGCTACAGCATCAATAAAATGAGGCATCAAACTATAAGGCTTTACAAAATAATAACAATAAAGACTCTGAGGGTCTAGAACTAGGAGAAAAAGGAAGCTTCACTTTTTCTCCTTGTTCTTCCCTTTCCCCTCTATTGACCCCAACCTTCCACCACCCAGACCACAGCTCCCAAAGACCCCAAGAACTTTTGTATTTACCGCTTAGCACTTGCTATACGGGTCTATGACCTTCTTTAGAAACTTTTTCTTTACGAGTTTATTTTGGCTTGTGCTGAGCATTCATAAAATTCCTAGGGAACTGGAGGTTTAAACCTTGGGCTTGTAAAAGGAGTAGGTGGGAGGGAGTGGGAACCCGGCAGAGAAGGGAGAGGACTGCAGCCAGCCCTTGGAAGTTGGAAGACAAGACTAAGTTTTCCACTCTCCACTCAAGGCCTCGCCTTCTGTGAGTCCTGGGTCTTTTAGGTCATGAAAGGGGAGAAGAAGAGAAGGAGAAAGAGAAAGAGGGGTGGGGCGGGAGGTGGGTGGAAGGAATTAGAGGCATGAAGGGCTGGGATTTTCCCACTGAGTGAGCAGAGCAGGGCCCATTTCTGATAAGCGGTCTCTCTGTCTCCTCTTGGGTTTTTCTTGTCATTCATCTCTTCTCCAGCCAAGCTGCTCCTCAGCAGGTTGGAGGTGCTGGTGAATGGCTCAGAGAGCGCAGGGCATGTGAAACAAATTAGGTCTCTGTTACAGCCACCCAGAGGCGGGTGATGGATGGGGGCCTGTGTTCACGGCAAAGCTAATTGGCAACACACAGAGACATCCAAGAAAGTATATTATTTTGCCAGACTTCAGAGTCATTGGACTTTTTTTCTTATTGTAGAACATTATACAGCCAGAGATAAGCACAGTGAAAGTTTTAAATCTAATAAAAGCTTTTGACTGCGGAGTAAAAATAACATACACAGAGAAGTTTGATTTGGATTCAGGTTTTATTAATGTTCTTTCATTGCAAAATGTTTCCAATTATAAAACAATTCGGAGAGCTCTGCATTAATAAACTTGCCTGTCTTTCAGAAGGGCCAGAGATTTTGAAATGCCTGGTGGACAAACACACACATACACAAACACACATGCACAGTGTTACCAGAGGGTTATTACAACAATATCTAAAATGTTCCAAATTCAGACTTGTGTGGCTCAGACCTGGGTAGAAGTGAAAAACCTCATGACTGAGCTTAGAGAAAAAGCACCTGAAGTTTCCTTAGCATCACCTGTTCCAAGTACTCACAAATAATACTCAAACCCGGCTCAGATGTCACCAGCAGGGATCAGCAAAGACTAGCATATTCTAGGCCTCAGTTTCCCCATTTGTAAAATAAGGCTGTTAGGTTGAATAGTATCTGAGGATTTTAGGATAGCTCCAGGAAATCAGTGAAGGATCATTATTGATTGCCCCCAAATATTTCTTCCTCTTTGCTTTAGAAAAAGTTAACTAAATCTGAATTTGATCAGCAATGGGAAAAAGGACCAAATCATAGTTCTAACCTGACAAACCAGGAGCTGAAGCTTGTGCCAAGTTGTTTGTAAAGAATAACTAGTAGCATGACTAACTCCAAGTGGAAGTTTGCAGAATAACCAGCCATCTTCATAAAATAGGAGAGGGATATCAGATTGTTTTAAACCAGTAGTTTTCAAAGGAACTTCATGTTTGCAAAGTGACTGGTAAATTAATGTTTCTTGGTGAATTGCGGACAAGTTGTTTCTCAAATAACTGGCCATTTTCAATTCAAGTACTTGCTTAACTATATCCAACTGTTTTGTTTTCTGCCCCCACATAACTGAAGTTTTAACCCTGGGGAGGAAATACAATTCTAACTCCGGGCTTTTTTTAGGTGGCTTCAGCTGTTTGGTCCAAGAGGCCTGGCTGGTGTGGGTCAATGAAGAGGAGGTAATATCTTCTTAGGAGACCTCGCACAGGCTCAGTCAGCCCAGGGCCAGGAATTTTTATCACAAACCTAAAGATAAGCACCTCCTTCCCCAAAGGCAGGAGCAAGATCTGTTCCGGCAGGGTGTCAGAGAGGGTTGGGCTCAGGTTTCACTGTCTGCAGATTTGGAAGCTGAATGTACTCCTTAACAGCATCCCCCACCCCATAACGTCCCTCTTTCCCATCCATCCTCCTAGTCCCAGTCCTGGCCCCTGATCTAGAGCTCCCCAGAGAAGAGCAAAGACAGAGTCACTCAGTCAAGACAGACACATGGAGACAGGTTTCCAGAGCTTTCACTCCCACGAGCCCTGTGCAGCCAGCTCAGCACCACCTTAAAGCCCACTGCTTTTCCAATGGATGAGAGAAGGGAATTTACTTGTCTTTTCTTTTCAGTGGCTCCAGATCATACTCCAACTAGCCCTTCCCCACACCTGCGCTGCCCCATACTGACTTCAGGGGTCTGGAGAAAGGACACGGTCACCAGTGTGAAGTACGGGCCTGGTTTCCCCGGGGAGAACAGAGTCAGCCTATCTCCCTGCCCAACCTCACCACCTGAGGACCTGTCCAGGCCCCGTGTCTACACCACACCCCACTAGCCCTTGGCTGGCTCGGCCTGGCAGTGACCACGGGCCCCGGGCTCTCTTCTCTCCACCTTCCCAGGGCCTGGATGGCCTTTGAGTAAACAGATAGCCCAGCGAGGTATGTGATCAATTAGCTTTGCTGAAAATGCAATCATTTTGTTATTCCAAGCTGATGAGAAGGCCTGCTCTCCCAGCCTCCACATGCCAATCAGCCCGTGTCACCGATATAATTTTCCACATAAACACAACCTTTGTGCAACATCTACTCTTGTAAATAGATGTAATTCCCAAACCAAATAACGCACTTGGAGGGGAAATGGATATTATGCATGCAAAAAGAAAAGCCGGCGATTTTTACACTTTCCAGGCAACAAAAGATTACCCCTAATTGCGAACGGGGGAGGGGGTGGCGGCGAAGCAGGGAGGTGGCCCGCTGCTGGGAAGCCAGGGAGGCCAGCTTCCAGGCAGATTTTTTTCTCTCTCTGCACATGTGTGAGCACAGACCACCAGGAACTGCTTAACCGGGGACTTGTCCTGTTTAGGCAACTGGGGAGAACGTGGTTGTTGTTGTTGATATCTTAAAGGAAACGGAGAGTTACTTAATTATAAGGTTTGGTCTCTCTTGCCAGGAGAGACCCCCTCCAAACCCTAAACTATACACATCCTGTTGCAGAACTTCCTCCTACATTCCTGGTAGGGAATGGCCTCGCTGGGTTGTGGAGTGTGTGAGTTCCTCTGAAATGCATTGGTGTGTCTTTCTCAATGTTCTGCTCATTTAAGTGAATCCATAAATTAGACCTTGAAAGCAGCGGAAGTTCTCGGGCAGCCAGGGAGTGAGAACGCTGCAGAACCCACTTATAATCCTGGCCAGGTTCTGGGCACGGGCTGCTCCCTGGGCTCTCTGAATGCTACGGAAATGAAGGCTGGGACGCCTCTCCCGAGCCCCTGGCCTCTCCTCATCCCCTGGCACAAGAGGGAGAAAGCTCTTTGGGGTCACTGTCAGCCCCCTCAGAGCCCCGAGCCAAAGGGAGAGAGCAGCCCGGCACAGGGAACGGCAGGATTGCTGAGCTGCCCCCGTGTGGTGCCAGGGGGCCCAGGGGCCCCACAGGCAACCCCACCCCGGGCCAGGCGGTGTGGCCCACATGAGAGCTGACAGCAGCCTCTGGATGTACTCCCGTGCATCTGGAAGGGGAGAGAATCACAGACGATGTAATTTCAACAAGGACGATTTCGGTCTTTTGCAAAGACCCTTCTATTAGCAGGTGAGTAATCACATCTTGGCCTCAAGAAGGCCTCGATGTTTCCTATAATGCTTCTGGGTCTTTATTTCATCAAGGTTCAAAACAGTGTGTGAGGCGTTAGAAAGGGAGTGTGGGTCTCTATATTGACAGCGAGCCAACACGGGCGAGCGGGAAGGAGCAAGCAGCGTAACCACGGCTCCAGCTCCTTTCCAGGTTCTGTCCCCAGGCCTGGGAGGGGTGGACGGCCCCTAATACTTCAGCTACAAAACATTCTCCTATCTGACCCCCACCCCTCCCCCTGCCCACGGAACTCAGCCTAAGAACCCTCCTCTCTGAGCGTCCATCCGTCCCTGGCTCCCAAAGCCCATCTGAAACTCATTAGCTGCTTGAAATGATTGTCATGGGAGCCCTTGATGGGGAACAAGAAAAGGAGAGGGATACTTTTAAAGGACAGCAATCGGGACCCAAATGCTGGCAGATGTTTGGAAACCTGGCTTTTGAGGAGGGGCCTCCCGGAGGCATGGGGCCAACTCCTCGGCCTGACCCTGGCCAGGCCCCCACCTCCCATGCCTTTGTCTTTCCAGGCAGCTCCTGGAGCACTGGCTGGGTAAAGCAGCTGTCTTCAGGTCTCCTTTGCCACTGAGGAAGAATCCATGGCCATGGGATGTGCTCCAATCTGATTAGGAGGACAGCTGTGGAGGTCCCTTGATTCTTTGTCACTTGCAGCTTAATTCCTGCATTTTGTAGATAAAATGACTTTGTGTTTGTAATAATGATATCATAAAATATGAGACATGTTGGAATCATGATAGCATATAATATTAACGTTTCAGAACTAAGACTCCTTGACATTTAATCTTCAAAATACAGAACATTGAATAAAAAAAAAAATTGTATTGTAGGGTCTTAGAAACCCAGTATGTTAGAATCTTAGATTGTGGGAATTCTTGAAAACTTGATTTAAAAAATCATATAAATGCTTTAGATTTTTAGTAGCATAAAACATTAGAATTCTAGAATTTTAGGATTATGAAATCAGAATTCTAGAATACTAGAATTATAGAGCATTATAAATATAAAAGAATAAATTTATAGAAATACAGAATCATGACCTCTTTCAATCACAGAACTTGAGAATGGTGGAATATTAAATTAAGGAAACAATGATAGAATCTTAGAATTACAGGAGGATATTAGCATCATGGAATGGTAGAATTAGAGAACCATAGTGTTTAGAATTAGAGAATCATAGCAGTTTATAATTACAGACTCATTGGATTATAAACTCTTAGAATCACAGAACCTTAGAATCACAGTGTCTGTTAGAGAAGTATCAGATCTATGAATTACAGAATTTTAGAATTATAGGCTTTTAGACATAGCCTTGAAGAATTTCAGAGGCAAAAAGGGATTTAGAGGCCATTTGGCCCTACTCCTTGCTCAGTCCTATTCACACACACACACACACACACACACACACACATGCGTGCAAGCGCGCGCGAAACCTCTCGGTAACCCTGTGCTTATGTCTAGACAACGCAGTCTAATTTTATCGTTCCTTACATCCCCTAGAGCCGCCGACCTCCTTTTCTGTCTCCCCTCTCTGCCTGCCTCTCATCATTACAAATTCCTACCAGCCCCCTGTTTTTCAAGGGAGAGCTTGCTTTTCGTTTTGCAAATCATCCAGCATCTTAATTCACCATGCCTGTGTCTTGCAGGACAAGGCTATTTCAGTGATTAACATATCAGGGAAACGAAGCCTTGGCTTCATTTGGGATATGGGAGGGAGAGCAGGAGGGACAGGCAGGGGTGTGTGTGTGGCCTCCTAGAAACAGCATCAAGCAGGCCCACATAGGAACCCATGCTGCCCATTCCCTCTTGGAAGGAGGTGGGAGCCACGACAGTGGCTGCAATCATGCAGCCTGGCCTATCTAGGTGAAAGGAGATTCGAAACTGTAAGCCATTTCATGCTTATTTATTTTATGATCCTCATGGGCTGGGTTTACACAGATCGGACAACATGTGGATTAGATAATTTGCTGGGAATTAACAGCCTCCGATGGTTATCAGTCTTGGGGATTAAAGCTGGGTTGATGACGATGGTTCAGTGATGAGTTGATGATGTTATCCATGTCCTCATCGGGGTTCAGAGAGACGTGGTGGCTCATCACCCAGTCATAAATCCCCACCGGGACAGCATAGTGGAAGAGGATGGTTAGGTATCAACTGGAGATTAACACTTGGGATTCTATTACATTTAGGAATAAACCAAAAGCAAAACAAAGTCGGCTTCAGAGTCAGCCTGGTAATTTAGAAAATATTGCCTTCGGAATGAATTCATCCCAAAGCTCTGTAGAAGAACTAGCCGAAGATAAACAATTTAAATATGAAACCTCCTGCTTTTTATTTAAGCACTATAAAGACAGAGTCTGTGCAGTGACCGCCAAAAGACGAGGCTATCTTCCTTGAATGATCTTTTCTCCAGCTCAGTTCCCATGCAGAATCTCCCAGCCCCAGGATCACGTAAAGCACCTCCTAGGGGAGGGAGCAGCCTGGGTTAGAAATGCTCAGAGATTGTGGCAATCTTCCCATAGATGAAGCATTGAAATCAACCGCTTTTGCTGCTTTCACATCTATTCTTTTATTATTATTATTATACTTTAAGTTCTGGGATACATGTGTAAAATGTGCAGGTTTGTTACATAGGAATACACGCGCCATGGTGGTTTGCTGCACCCATCAACCCGTCATCTATATTAGGTATTTATCCTAATGCTCTCCCTCCCCTAGCCACCCCCTCCACCCAACAGGCCCTTGTGTGTGATGGTCCCCTCCCTATGTCCACGTGTTCTCATTGTTCGACTCCCACTTATGAGTGAGAACATGTGGTCTTTGGTTTTCTGTTCCTGTGTTAGTTTGCTGAGAATGATGGTTCCCAGCTTCATCCATGTCCCTGCAAAGGACATGAACTCATCCTTTTTTATGGCTGCATAGTATTCCATGGTGTATATGTGCCACATTTTCGTCATCCAGTCTATCATTGATGGGCATTTGGGTTGGTTCCCAGTCTTAGCTATTGTGAATAGTGCTGCAATAAACATACATGTACATGTGTCTTTATAGTAGAATGATTTTTAATTCTTTGGGTGTATACCCAGTAATGGGATTGCTGGATCTAATGGGATTGCTGGATCAAATGGTATTGCTGGGTCAAATGGTATTTCTGGTTCTAGGTCCTTGAGGAATCGCCACACTGTCTTCCACAGTGGTTGAACTAATTTACACTCCCACTAACAGTGTAAAAGCATTCCTATTTCTCCACATCCTCTCCAACATCTGTTGTTTCCTGACTTTTTAATGATCGCCATTCTAACTGGCATAAGATAGTATCTCACAGATCTATTCTTTTTTTTTTTTTTTTTTGACAGAGTTTTGCTCTTGTTGCCCAGGCTGGAGTGCAGTGGCGCGATCTCAGCTCACTGCAACCTCCGCCTCCTGGGTTCAAGTGATTCTCCTGCCTCAGCCTCCTGAGTAGCTGGGATTACAGGCATGTACCACCATGCCCTGCTAATTTTGTATTTTCAGTAGAGACAGGGTTTCTCTATGTTGGTCAGGCTGGTCTCAAACTCCCAACCTGAGGTGATCCACTTGCCTTGGCCTCCCAAAGTGCTGAGATTACAGGCATGAGCCACTGTGCCTGGCCTGACACATCTATTCTTAATAAACCATTTAGTTTAGAAACTGCAAAGCCACACAGCTAACCAAATTGCAGTGCCCAACTGGTTCTAGGAATACCATTTCGATGTAGCCGAGATTTTTCCAACACCGAAATGCGTGCCGGAGAGGTAGAGGATAGTCAGGCCAAACCCGCCTGCCATGCTGTGTGCCTTTGGGCAAGTTAGAGCTCCTTTCTGGTCCCCAGCAGGCCCACCCACAGATAGGTAGTTGGATTAAATAATCTAAATGTGGGAGCAAAAATATTAGAAACAGAAAAATTACAATTTGGCTTTATTCCTTTTCGTGAGTTGAATTTCAAATTAGTTAGGTGAGTATTTCTATTTATTTTAGAGGCAGTTCAACCAAGATCTGCTATTTTCATGGCTCTGGGTTTTGATTTCAGATGTGAAACAACAAAACCATGACCCCAAACTTCCTAGACTGTTGGCTGCAGCCATTGTACACAGTTTTCAGTGGTGTGGCATATTGTTAACACAAATGACAAATGTCATTACCTCCTCAATTCTGAAAGAAGTAAGAAAAGAAATGGGGAGTGAAAACGAGCTAATGGAATAGCACACTAGGTGTCAAGAGGCCTCATTCTATGACTCTCAGTTTCCCCATCTGTAAAATGGGGAGCGGGTGGAGGCCGGAGAAATCTAGAGGTTGTCTTCCGGCTCTGAAACAAAGTTTGAGTTTCTGAGGCTTCAGCCCTGATTCTAAACAAGGGTGTTGGGTGTGTTGTGCTCTGTTGCATCCATCTGCAGCTCTGCAGGGGCCACCCCTACTGATTCTGGAGATGGGAGGGGTGGGGCTGAGGAAAATGGAGAGTCTTTACAAAGGGCACAATGGTAAATCCCCGATTTCTGGACAAGTCCCTTTCACTGTGAGCCTGAAAGGCCAAGGAGGGGTGGGCAGGGTGAATGGGCTTGGGGGTGGGTGGGTGAGTACCCTCTTGCCACAGCCCCATTGAAAGTTGGTGGACCTGTCAGCAATGAAAGGAAGTGAGTTAAAGAGGCAAGTGAGGGGGCTGTGCTAGGGGCTCAGCAATCCCCCGACACGGATGAGGGACAGAACCGCAGCCTCGGTCCAGCCCACGTGGACTGCCTGGCAAGGCTGCAGGGCACAACGGGTCCTCCATTGGGACTTTCTGCCCTCTTGATTTGAATCCCAGTTTTAAACCTGTGACAATATTGTGTGTCCTTTCATGGTGGATTTGGCCGGGATTTATGCCTGAAACTCATGGAACTGCAATTCTCTGGAAAAGCCGAGGCTGGTGGTGAGGTTGGGGAGTGGGGCTGGGGTGATTGCAGGGCTCGGACCAGTCCATTTCATCAAAATATCTAATCTGGAAAGCTACACACCAACCAGCTCCACATCCACAGCTGACCGTGGCCGACAAACAGCCTGTCAGTTGAGTCCAGCAACGGGTCAGTTTAGATGAGCAACGGGCCAGTCCAATCAAAGCAATCAGTTCAGTTATAAAAATGGTAGCGGGGAAAGGAACAACAGAAAAACAACAATACCAGCAGTTCCGTTTTTACAAAGTGACCGTGCAACTTTCTTGACTATGTACAGGGAAGCAACCAAGCGGTTCCCCAACACAAGCTCAGCCTTGTCCGGTCAATCACTTGGCAGGTCTGGAGGTAGAAGCATTCAGAAATGATCCTGTGGTCCAGTCTGACCCCCTGTCTCATGCCGTGGAACCTCAGAATTACGACATTGTCAGAACTGGTAGAGTGGGGCTTGGGATTCATGCAGCCTCACCCCTCCTCATCCCAGGGGTTACAAAGAGTCTAGGGTCCTTACCAAGATGCCATGGCACTTCAGGAGATTCCGCTTCTCTCTCTGAGCTGAATGTCCCTCAGTGGCAGCTAGTTCTTCCTTGTGTCTAACCAGAGTCTCTCTCGCTGCAGGAGCAGCTTGGATGCTCCTCCTCATGGCCAGTCTCCAGAGGTGAGTGTGCTGGGATCCTGGCCTGGGGGTGGGCTGGTGACCCCTCTTCCCTGAGGTAGCAGAGGCCTGGAGGGCCGTCTCTGTGTTTGGTGAATAAACATCAGAGTCCAGTTGCCGGCCTGTCACTCTGCAGCCTTTCAGCGTGTGAGAGGCCAGGTGGGCCAGAGGGAGTTCCCATGGGCGGCATATGAAGAGGCCGGGGTCTGCGGGGGCTGTGGGGGGCTGTGGGGACTGTGGGGGCTGCAGGGGCTGGGGCCCAGGCAGGTCTGCTTTGGATAGCCAGTAGAATCAGCTTTTGCAGGCCATGGAACTTCACACCTTTGAAAGGCTCCAGAGCGGCCCACAGAAAAAATAAACCGTTCCTCCCATCCGTGGCAGATCGGCCATCCTTAGGGGCTCCCGGTCATGCACATGGAAACCCTGTAAAAGGGCCCAGTGTTTCCTTTGCCACTCCCTGAAAGGATATGGGCTGAGTCTTGCCATGGCTGCTGGGGTCGGGCAAGAGTGCTTCATCCACACCAATGAGGCCTGGGGCCCAGCCCCACTCCCCTGGGACAGCCACCCCAGCCTCTGAGCCTTAGTTTACACATCTGGCAAGCAGGCATTAAAAAAAACCCACCTTAGGGTTTTGTGTGTGTGTGATGGCAGAATAAGGCATATATGTGTATGAACATACTTAGCACACAGTAGATGCATGATCAATGTCTTCCTCCTCCTGCTGTCTATGGAACCTAGAACAGGTCGGATTTCCTTTAGGAGCCACAGTTCACTTTCCCGGAAAGTGGGGTAGCATCTACGTGTGTCAGGATGAAATGAGACAAAGGGCTTAGCACAGGGCCTGGTACCAGAAGGTTCTGTTATAGTATAATTTCTTTTTTCTTTCTGTTCCTCCTCCCCTCTGGGTCTCGGGGACATCATCTTATAAATGGGAATGGTAATACTTTCTTGACCTACTAGGTCAAGAATGCTGAGGATAAACGCAATGCTACCAGCACTTGATGAGCTTCATTATGCTGCAGAACCATAGGAGAGACTAGATCTCAAAACACTTTGACAGCAAGAAGAAAGATTACAAGGCTTAGAGAGTCCTAGGAGTATTATGACAAGACTTAGATGAGGACATGGCTCTTGTCTCATCGAGTGATGGTTCAGGCAGGAATGTTGGGAGTCTTAAGGAGAAAGAAGGGTCCCTGCTTCTTGTTGGTACCAGGGAGGGCTTGCTGGAGGCATGGTTTGTCCAAAGCTATGGAGCTCTGTCTTTTCATGGGTCTAGTTTGTTGCAAATGCTTGAGGCCTAGGCTGCTGCTGGCTCCCAGCAAGTTGGGAGATGTCCCCAGAAGTGTCTGTGGTCTCTTGCCTGGGCTTTTCAGAGCTGCAAAGAGACAAACTAGGACCAAGGGGGTTAGAAGGAGCGAAAGTAAGAGCAGATCCCAGTGTGAGCTCTCCAGCCACAGAGCTGGCTGTCTCCAGTGGCAGTGAGCTCCCTGACACGGCAGGTGCCCAGCAGAGGCTGGAGGACCCTGTGACAGGTACTGAGGAGAGACTGTGGCAGTGGGTGAGGGGTAGGATTATCTGAGAGATAGGCTTGGAGTCAGGTACCCTGGGCTCCTCCTGTTCAAGCTTTGCAATTTACCCCTGTGACCTTGGATTAGTCTCCTACCTTTGCAAAGTTTGTTTCCTTATATGTAAATTGCCTGTAATTCCTACTTCCAAGAGTTGTTTTGGAGATTAAATGAGATAATGCACATAAGGTATTTAGTACAGTGTCAGAAACTTGGGGGCTCTCCCTGTCACAGCTTAGATTCTAAGATCTTACAGGCTGAAATTTGTAGGGGAAGGTTAAGATCCTATTCTTTGAGGATCTGGAATTATAGGAAATTGAATCCATTTATTTAACAGGTACTTATTTAAAGCTTATCCTATGCTGAATACTTTTATATGGGCTTTATAAATATTCATTGAGTCTTCACAACACTATGAGCTAGGTACTATTCTTACCCCCAGTTTATAGATAAATAAACTGAGGCAGAGAGAAGGTTAAGTAACTTGCCCATGGTCACACAGCTAAGGAAGTGATAGAGCTGAGATTGAAGTCTGGTTCCAGAGTCTATGCACGAAGATTCTAAAACCATGAGACTTTAAAACCATTCCATATTCCTAAGGTTACAGAGAATTTGAGATTATGGGACTTATATTAATAATTGCAAATGTCCAGGATGAAACAGTTCTAGGGCATACTTTTTCTGCAAAGGACCAGGTTGTAAATATTTTCCTTTGGCTTGGCAGGCCATAAGGTCTCTTGTCACATTACTCAACTCTGCTGTTGTAGCCATATCTAAACAAATGGGTTCCAATAAAACTTTATTTACAAAAGCAGGTGGCAGGTGGATTTGGCCCTTGTGTTATAGTTTGCTGATCCCTGTTCTTGATGCATTGTCTGCTCTGCTGAGCGCCTTGGTGGGGGCTCCCTTCAGGACTGAGCCCCAGAGGAGCCCAGCTGTGCCCCTCATTTGGAGATGCAGAGGGGTCTGCGGGGGCCAGGCTGGCTCCCAGGGTGCGGGTGCCTCTGAGTGTGGCTCTCCCTTTCTGTCCTAAAGAGGCTGTTGAAAAGGCTCCTCTCTCCAGCAGTGGCGCCTCATTACTCATGGTTGGAAAACAATGTTAATTTCCCCCAAGCGGGAAGCAGCTGCACTTGTGAGCCAGGGCTCATTTTGCTGCATGAATATTTATGGCATGTCCCCTAATTAAGCTCAGAAATAAAATTTATCCTGCTAACAGGGTCCACAGAAGACTGGAAGGCCATGTCAGGAACCAGCCTCTTATGCCTGTGAAGTAGGTTTGTCAATGAAACATTTGTTTCCAGAGCCACTTGGCCAGGGACAGTGTCCACAGTAGCATTTCCTGGAAGGTCAAGCACCCTTTGTGTAGTCACATGCTTGTGCAAGGGGACACCTACACTACCTTGCTGAGCAGTGATGGATGGCTATTGTCCCAGGCCTGCATGTGGTGACACAGAGGTGACTCTAGGCCAGAGCCCTTAGCAATACTTCTTTTCTTTTAGCCAGTGTGACTCAGGTATTTTCTGATTGGGTGTCAAAGGCCACTCCAGTATAAATAGCCCAGTGAGAAAGCGCCCTGGAGTGGGAACCAGGAAAGATGGGTTTGAGTTGCTCCCCTGACACTGATTCTAGCTGACCAGGGGCCGGCCTGCCTGCTCTCCCAGCCTCAGGCCCCCATTTCGTTAAAATGATGGCGGACTGTCAACATCATGTAGTTACTGGGAATCATGGGAGACCATGGAAGATAAAGTCTTTTGGGGAATGATTCTCACCATGATTTGGAATTTCCTTTACCTCCAGGCCCTCCCTCCCTTAAATCCCCAGAACCAAGGAAAGCCTAGGCCTAGGCCAGTAACCTTGAGGGCTTCCGGAAACCATAAATCTTGGCCTTTCCTTGAGGGGTCCTATCTCCAGAGAACTGCCTGGGCCCTCATATCCTCTTCCACAAAGCCAATAAACCAAGCAAACACCATAAAGCTCCTCACCCCACCTGAGCTTTCCCCCACGGTCAGAGTCGGACCTGGTCAAGAGTCATGAGTTTCAGAACATGGCTATAAAATTGCACGTGGCTCCTCCCCATTTCCTTTCCAGAATGGAACTTACCTTTGCTTTCTCTCTTCCATCCTCTTTTTGATAAGTTTCCTCTTTAATTTCTTTCCAGCACCTGAGAGATCCCATCTTGCGTTCCCAGCCTCACCTCCCAGTTGCTGGTGGGGGCTTGGAGAGGAGGATGCTTTCCTAAGGCAGGTCCGGGGGTGTAATCAACCAGGGGCCTTGGCAACTGGCACACCTTGTAAATTCAAAAGTCAACAAGATGTGGAAGCAAAGGAGACCCTGGGGCTGGAGAGGAGGAAGTGGGGAGGTGAGGGTGGGCCTTATCTTGTGAAGTCGGTCAGGGGTGGCTTCTGTGCCCTCTGCCTCCCCTGGTGGGGCCTGCCCCACCCCCTGGAGCCTGGAACTTCCTGCTCTCATTCTTCACCTTCACATCCTGAGCTCAGAACTGATCACAGCTACAGCCTGGACCCTGGAAGGGGCCCTAGAGGCTTTCTCTCCCACACCCTCTCACTACAGATAGGGAGGCTGAAAAAACTGGGAGGGCCTTGCCCTAGGTCAGTGTCAGAGTGGAAATAACACTGGGCTGGGGCCAGGAGACCGGGTCTCTGGTTCTTGCCTGGGCTGAGTCCAGACCTCAGTTGCAGACTGTAGCCTTACCTCTAACCCCTAGGTTACCATGAGATGGGAGGAAAGATCACAGCTTCTTAGGGCCCATCTCAACCACAGAACCATATGAACCACTTAATGGCTATTTGCATCCGGGACACACTCTTCACTGAAAAAGGATGCCATGATCTTACCAATTTGGAAGTTTGGTGCAGTGGGCTTATTAGAGCACTGTAGCAGAGGTGTGACATTCACAAAAGTCACTTTAACCTCTCTGGACTTGAGCTTCCTCATCTGTAAAATGAGGATAATAATCCCCCTCGCCCCCCTCCACCCACTGCCAACTATCCCCTCAGCTTCTGATGAGGGTCAAAGGAGATACTGATTCAGTCTTTTGTTAGATGAATGTGTTTACATGTGAAAGAATAAATATTAAAATTATACCTATTGTTTTGTTATTATTTGGTGTTTACTCTCCTTCCTGGCTAGCCAGAAAGAGCTGGTGTTTTTTGAAGACCTAAGCCCGGGAGCAAATTTTTCCTGGTCAAAGAGGCCAAGAGTGGGCCCAGGATCTCTGCCAGGACCTGCCAGGGCCCAGAAGATTTGGGGAGGGGAGCTGCAGCATTAGAGGGCTGAGACCCCTTTATCCTTGATTAGGTCCAAAGCTGTTGGGTGGAACTGTGGCACCTGCAGAGTTAACCGCGTCCATGGTGTATCATTGCGCTAAGACAGGCTTAGAGAGAGCTCAAGGGGCCTACATTTAAATACACACCTTTCTGTTTCCACAGCTCATGTATTTTAGGGAGGAAAATTTAATCCATATACTTTTAGTTCATTTGCATTAAAGTCATCACAAAGCTTTGTCTGAGCCATTTTGAGCTTGTGTGGCCTGTTGGAGAACCTTCACTGTCTTTCGAAGGCCTTTTCTTCCTCTCTAGGCAAACAGGAAATCATACTCTGCCCAGGAGCAACCAACCTGAAACCTTCAGCGCTGCCTGCCTCACCTGCCTTCTCACACCTGGAAATGACAGGCCGAGATCAAGTTCCTCTGGAGCCCAGGAAACTCTCATGCCTGACAATTAAATGCCTCCATGATTTGCCCCAAGCTATCTTGATAGCAGTTGTACCCTAACCACCAGGCAGGGTGATGTTCATGGAAACCTCTGTTCCTGCCATTCCCTCTCCCCTGGCTACATTTCCTCCTGACATTTTGCCCATTCTCTGAGGCCCAGCTGCGGCTCAACCTCAGCCTTCCCTTGATCATCCTTATGCAAGCAGTTGCATAAGCAGTTGCCGGCTCAGGATTCAGTACTAAGTGTCATTGGTAAACGTTTATTGGATGGATGAATGGAATGGTGGATGACAGGGGCTGGGATAATTTATCCTATATTTTCTTCTTGCTTCTCCCTCTTCTGAAATGTGTCTGGCCCAGGTTTTGGTACACACGGAGGTTTGAGGAATGCCTAAAGAATGAATGCACGTGCAGTGAATGGATGGCTGTAGAAATCCATTTATAGAGCACATGCTATGGGCTCTGCATGGGGCCAGATGCTGGTATCACAGCTGTGAAGAAGACATGCTTCCTGCCCTCATCTTTCACATTGTAGCTGAGAAGTCAGGCAGACACTGGGAGTTGCACAATCTATGATGTATTTAGTTACTCTTGTGATAAGTTTGAGGAGGGAGGAAAATGAATATGTGTATGAGTGAAGAAAGGAGTAAACAAATAGAATGAGGGAGGAAATGAATATGTACATGAATAAAAGAATACTGGGGAGAATAATTAATGGAATGATGGATGAAGATGAATTCATTGTGAAGGAAAAGACCCCAAGCCGTGTGACACAGTATTTGTGGACACAAGGCCTAGAGGCCACTAGGCCACTGTGGCCTGAAGTCAGCCCCTCTTTTGTTTCCCAGGGTGCAGGAGCAGCAGGTGGGTGGGGAGAGGTAAGGCCCTCTGCATCCTGAGGTTGGCAGCACTGCTACCATCTTAGCATCTCCCAAACTTTAGTCTCAGAAAGGGTGGGTGTTTGTGACTTTAACCTGGAGAATCTCAGGGCCTGCAGGGCTGGATTTTTCTTTTTTTTTGAGACAGTCTCACTCTGTTGCCCAGGCTGGAGTGCAGTGGTGTGATCTCGGCTCACTGCAACCTCCGCCTCCTGGGTTCAAGCAATTCTCCTGCCTTAGCCTCCTGAGTGGCTGGGACTACAGACGCACACCACCATGCCTGGCTGCTTTTTTTTTTTTTTTTTTTTTTTGAGATGGAGTCTCGCTCTGTCACCAGGCTGGAGTGCAGTGGTGCAATTTCGGCTCACTGCAACCTCGGCTCACTGCAACCTCCATCTCCTGGGTTCAAGCGATTCTATTGCCTCAGCCTCTTAAATAGCTGGGATTACAGGCATGCGCCACCACGCCCTGCTAATTTTTGTATTTTTAGTAGAGATGGGGTTTCACCATGTTGGCCAGGCTGATCTTGAACTCCTGACCTCAGGTGATCCACCCATCTCGGCCTCCCAAAGTGCTGGGATTACAGGAGTGAGCCACCCCACCTGGCCACAGGGTCTGAGTTTTGCTCAGCACATGGCATAATCCTCAAAGCTTTCACAATCATATCCACACCACACGTATCCTCCACTGGGAGAAATCAGCTGGAGAGGGAAGGGCCTGCCCAAGGCCCCAACACCAGAGTCCTGACCTCCAGGAGCCTGAGACAGACAAGGCCCATTTTGACTTAGCTCCTTTCGTCCCCCTCTGAGTTCTCCTAATCCTCTCCCTTTGTGCCCCCTCCAGCCCCACAGGCCCTACCCTCTCCTGGCACATGCTGGGCACGCTCCTGCCTTGGAGCCTTGGTGCTCCTAATTCCCTTTGCCTGGGATGCTCCCTCTAGATGTCTGCAGGGCTCACTCTTGCTTCCTTCCAGTCTTCTCTCAGAAGTTACCCTATTAGCGAGGCCTTCTGTGGCTACTGTATCCATAATTTTGTCACTGACCCCTTCCTTTGATATCCCATTCCCTTGCTTTGATGTTTCTTTATAGCACTTATCCTTATCTAACACTGTATGTTTTTCTTATTAGTTTATGATCTGTTTCTCCCATGATCTGTTTCTCCCACTAGGATGTAAACTCCAGGAGGGCAGAGATTTCATATTGCTTTGTTCACTACTGTATCCCAGCAGCTGGAATCCAGCCTGACACACAGTAGTTGCCCACCCCATATGCACTGAATGGATGAATGAAGCAAACTCTCAAACCCGGCCTCTCCTCTCCATCTAAAAGTCACTCTCATTGTCTTTCCTTGCTGGGACCCTGCAACAGCCTCTTACCTGATTCTCAGCCTCCTCTCGGACCCCTCAGCTTCCTCCCTGACGATCAGCCTCCTCCCTGACCCCTCAGCTTCCTCCCTGACGCTCAGCTTCCTCCCTGACCCTTCAGCTTCCTCCCTGACACTCAGCCTACTCCCTGATCCCCAGCCTCTTCCTTAACCCTCAGTTCCCTGCCTGACCCCAACCTCCTCCCTGACCCCCAGCCTCCTCCCTGACACTTGGCCTCCTCCCCTACTCCACAATCTCTTCTTTGGCTCAGAGCAATGTTTCCTCTATGGTAAATCTGACCATATTTTTTGACTTCTGGAAATTTCTTACTGTGTTCCCTTTCCTTTCTCTTGATTCTGTCTCTCCTGATCCTGTAAAACATAGATCTAAAATAACATACGTGCAGTGTCTGACCCACAGCGTGCACTTGTAAGTGGTAGTTCTCGCCACCCCTGATGACAGGGCCTCTGGACGGACGGTGCAATGAGGAGGGTGTGCTGGGTGTGGATGGCATGGGCAAGCAGCTGGGGGTGCAGTGGTGTAGAGTGAATGGACAGGGTGTGGCCAGGCCCTGCACACCAATTTTAGTAGGAGGATCCTGGGACGCCAGGTGAGAGGATTGGTTGGGATCAGATCCCAGAAGGTATTGACTGTAAAAGTGAGAGCTCTGCCCCATTCTGCAGGCAATGGGAAACCTCTGTGAGCTCCTTCAACAAACTCAACATGTTGCCAAGCACTGATTGTGAGTAAGTGCTATAATGGGCACTCTCATGGGCAGGCTTCAATAGTATCCTGTACCAATCCGTAGACATCTGTATTACTGTCCCCATTCTACATATGGGGAAACTAAAACACAAAAAGTTTGAATAATTTCCCCTAGGTAACCTTGGGAAACTAATACAGCGGGGAATTGAGCCCAGGCCCAGGAGACCCTAAATCTTTGTATCTTTTCACCATCCAGAGGCCTACTGCTCACCAGATGTGTGGATGAACAAACCTGAACAGCCTGGAGGCTGGTGATATCTACCCCCACAGCGCTTCTTCCTTGGTCCCCCAAGCAGGCTCCATAACTCCAAGACTTCACGCAGCCTTTTCTGAACTTGGAAGTCAAGAGAAAATTCACAGAACTTTGGAAAATACATTTTCTTTTAAGGAAGAATTTTTTGTTTTCATTTCAACAGCCCTGGCTGGTGATGAGGGGTGATGCGAGGTGCCCTGTTTTCCATCCTAACACCTATTTCCAGGTGGGGGCAGGGAGGGCTCCAACCTGAAATGTTATTTCAAAACCTTTCCGGGCCTTGCAGCTCCATTTCCAGGCCACATGCTGCAAAGCACGGCACGATTTCCCATTACGTGCTGTTGCCCTTTCTCGTCTGAGCACCTTTCAAAGTGGGAAGACCCAGCCTGCTGCAACACCCTCCCTCCTGTCCCCATAAATTAAGTCTCACTGCCTGATGTGAGGCTTAAATAAATAGCCTTGCCCGGCACCCGATGGCCACACTCCTGATAGATGGGCTTGCCAAGAGCAGCAAACTCAGCTCGCTCCTCCTTGCCCCTCCACAGAGAGAAGATGAAACTGGTGTTTTGCAAATGCTTCCTGCCTGCTTTCTGCCAGCCAAGGCACATTCCAAGAAGGAGCAGGCCAGCAAAGTCTTGTCATCTGACGGGGTGAGGACAGAGATGGATGATGCGCTCTTTGCCAGAGAAGGCCACGTTCAGACACTCCCAGATAGCCAGCTGCCACTTTATTAACAGCAAAGATCCCCATCTGAACGAGGCTGGGAAAGAAAATATTTATGCTTGCCTGTCAGGAGGACCTTCATTTTTCTTCTGGGGAGCCAGCCAGGGTGCTAGTCCAGGGATGGAGGAGTGTGACGTGCCTATGGGGTTGCCCCAGGCCCTTCTGCATCCCAGGGTTGATGGAGAGTCCAGAATGTTCCCAGGGCAGCTCTGGATGGGGTCGGGAGGTTTCAGAAGAGCTGGATATAGGGAGTTCAGGGCCTGAGAAAGCAGAACACACCCTGGCACCTGTTAACTGCAAACAAGAGGACCTGGGTGGGGGAGTGGGTGCTACAGTTAGAAATCAGTGGCAAATAGGCCATTAAATGATCTCATTATTAATTAAAAACACATAGCAGCATGCATCTGATAAGAAACTTTGTACTAAGGATAAAATAATTTTGTATTGGCAGAAAATATCAACACTGGAGCAGAGCTTATCATTTAAGCTGGGCATATATTAAAATCAGTTTATATTATTACTCTTCTCATGGTCATTATTTTGAACAAAAGTTGAAAACCAGTTCTTTAACGGTTTCAGAGATGCCTGTGAATCTGCACTTGGGAAGACCTTGCCACACTCTGGGAGACAGCTGTACCCAATTACAGTAAGTGAGTCATAAGGTGCTAGGCTGAACAAGTCCCGCGCCCTAGGGAATGGAGGCTTTGGCCTCACTGGAGTGCCAGGATTGTTCTCTTAGACCCTACTGAGGTTCCTCTCCCCCAGCTCTGAATGCTGGATTATTTATGATCCCGATGGAGCATGCACATTGGAGTCAGCAGACCTGAGTTCAAATCCCAGCTCTACCGCTTAGCAGCTGTGCAATCAACCCTGAACACCTTATTCATTTTAGCCTCCTGTTTTATAAAATGGAGCTAATAAATGTCTCCCTCTTGGGGCTGTCCTGAGAATAAAGTGAGAGGAAGTCTGTGAAATGCTCGCCACGGTAAGAGTTGCATACATAAGAGGCAGCAGTAATGGGAGCAGTGCGCACACATTCCACTATGTCTCTAGGAGTGTAGCAATAATTTTCATTGATGTGTGACTGAATATGAGCAAATGTGTGCAAGCACCATTCCTAGTGCATATCTGTTTAAGTCTGCTCAGGCTGCTATGACAAAATACTATAGACTGAGTGGCTTAAACAACAGACATTTATTTCTCATAGTTTTGGAGGCTGTGAAGTCCAAGATCAAGGTGCCAGCAACTTTGGTTTCTGGTGAGGACTTTTTCTGGCTTGTGTGTGGCCACTTTCTCCCTGTATCCTCAAGTGGGAGGGGAGAGAGAGAGAGCGCGCGCGCGCGAGAGAGAGATCTTATAAAAACACTAATCCCATCATAGGGTCCCACCCTCAAGACTTGATCTAAACCTAATTACCTCCCAAGGGCCCAACCCCAGATACCATCACATTGGGGGTTAGGGCTTTGACATGTGAATTTTAGGGGAGCACATTCAGTCCATAACAGTATCTACATCTGATATCTGTATAGTTCATATCTCTATCAGCTGGTGAACCTGTATATTGTATAGGTGTTATTGTCTACTTATGGAGGTATGGAGGTTTATAGATATTGTGTACACCTCTATGTATGGACCTTTCTACACATGAGAGTGTACCAGAGGTTAAAACCAAGGGCTCAGACTACAGGTGTGTGTAGCATGTGTACACGTGTGTATACAAGCATGGGAAGGGCATGACTTGGGCTACAGTAGGCAGCTACCCCTCAGCCCAGTATGGCAAGTCTCCTGCTCCCACCAGCCCATAGCACTGCCAAAGGGACCCAGGCAGAGGGACTCAGAGGTTCACTAGGACTGGGGATCTGTCAAGCCTGAGATCCTCAGCTGCAGGTACCTGAGGATTTGTCTGTGCTGTGGCAGAGCCCCTGCCCTTGAGGGTGCAGTTTGCCTGGGGAGGGGACATGGAGCCTGTCCTTGATATTATGGGAACTTTATTAGCTCATCTTCATCCAGTGTGGGACCCATCTTCATCTATTCAAATGGATCATTTTTCTCATTGAGAGCCTTCCAAGCTCCAGCTCAAATGACATTTGCTTAGCAATTGGCCTGTTTGAAAAAGCCGACATATTGGAGTTGAGGCATGCACAGGCTGCACCATCTTTCCAAGCTGGGGGTGCAGGGAGACAGACCCACGGGAGAGGGTAGAGGGAGGTGGGGGCATTCAGTTGGTCAAGAATCCCGCGGAAACAGGCAAACACATTATCCACTCCAACACAGGCAATTTTTTCCCCAGGGTAGCTAATTAGCAGGCAGCTGCACGGGCTCTCTACTTGACTTGCAGAATTAGAATGCTCAGCACAGAGATCTGTGTTTATGCTCAAAATCTGTTGTCCCTCTTCTCCAATCAGGAGAGGAGCTCTGTCAGCTCTGGAGCCAAGAGATTGCTCAACTGGCATTTCAGGGGCCTGATGGGCTCCTCCTCCAGAGAAACTTCTTCCCTGTTGGAGGCTTCAGAAAATGGCAAGCCCATCAATGAAGGCACAGGACACATCCACACAAGCACAAATATTTCCTCATTTACATAAACGTGACACAAAGGCACAGTCACACACATTTGCCCAGAAGCATAGGCACCCACCCCCAGAGACACATGTGTGTAGCATATGCACCTTCACAGCTTCTGGGAACATATGTGTAAGGGTACACACACAGAGAAATTGCTTAAATCTACAGAAACAAAAATTCTCAGAAACCAGCATCAGTGATTCTCAATTGGAATCTCAGAATCAGAGACGAGATCACATAAGAATGATAGGTATAAGATATCTGACACTGGATTCAGAAATTATATGAGAATCAGAATTCTCAAATCAGAATCACCAGGGAGCTTTGTATAAATACTCATATTGGGTTCCTCCAGAATCTGGTAAGTCATCAAGTGAGACATGGTAGTAGCCATGTGAATTTTGAAAGGCTCACTTGTGTAATGAAAACAGAACATTTTTATTATTAAAAATAAAATTAAATGGCTCATCCCTATTAAGGTGAAGAATAATTTGATTTGGTGAGAACTGTTATGATTTAAAAAAATTTTTCTAATTTTAGTTTTTTTGAGACAGGGTCGTGCTCTGTTGCCCAGGCTGGAGTACAGTGGCATAATCTTGGCTTAGTGCAACCTCTGCTTCCTGGGCTCAACTGATGCTCTCATTTCAGCCTCTCAAAAAGCTGGGACTACAGGCCCACACCACCACACCTGGTTAATTTTTGAATCTTTTTTGGTAGAGATGGGGTTTTGGCATGTTGTCCAGGCTGGTCTCAAACTACTGGGCTCAAGCAATCCTTCAGCCTCGGCCTCCCAAAATGCTAAGATTACAGGCCTGATCTACTGTTCCCAGTCGTGATTTTTTTTTTAAAGTGATGGCATTCTTGTTTTGTTGTTTCAAGAACAGAATAACTTGAAGCTGGAACTTCCCTGGTGGATGTCTTTATGTCATTTAAAACAGATAGGAACAGTGACAAATACAACTCGTCCAGGAGATTTTGTTTCCATTACAGGTGTTTCAGACTCACTGTCTAAATAGGGAGGGCCTCTGGTTCCACCTTTCCTGCTACAGATAGGGAAACTGAGGTCCAGGTAGGACGAGCTACTGCTTGAAGTCATAGAGCCATTAGTGATTTCTGTGAGTAAATGTATACAGAGCACACAGTAAGTGGTCAATAAATGTTAGCTACTATATTACTATTATTGTTATCATCATAAGTTATTATGATTAGCAGAGCAAGACTAAGACTCCAGAACTCCTTCTCCCTCTGGTTTATGGGCTCAAGATCTCTCTCCCAGTTGAGAAGACACTGAAGGTGAAGTAGAAATCTGGGCCCCCACCCAGTCCTATCTTCTGTAATTAAGCCTAGTGGATGTACTCCAGTTCTTCCAGTTTCCAGAGAAAAAGGCTAAGGAAGGTTGTTAGGAATAAGTGGGGGCGGGGAGAGGGGGCAGCATGATGAAACTTTGAAGGGAGGTCCTGTCTTGGTGAGGGGCTTCAAAAGGCAGCAGCCTACTTGTGCAACCTTGGGAGAGGCCAGCCTTTGGAGACACCATCTTTGATTAGCATGGGCAGGACACAGCAGCTGCAGGTCGTGGGGCTGGCAGCACCCTTTCTGCCTTCAGTTCCCTGGGGAGTCTCTTCAGGTCAAGGAAATCTTTGGTTCTAACCACTTCTCCGAGCCAGGACTGCTGGGTGGTCTAGGGGCAGGAGGGCAGAATGAGGGTGGGTCAGGGCAGGCCTCTGGTGCAACAAGGGGTGTGGGGTGGAAGACTTGGGATGGGGGGAGGTGGAATCGATGTGAGTGGGGTGGGGACGGGGAGGGCTGGCGCAAAAGGAGAGTTGAGGTCAGCGTTGGGAAAGTTTGTGGGGGGGGGGGGGTGGGGAGGGAGTAGGCGGGACCAGCAGATGCCAGAACGCTAAAAGGGTCCAGGGGACCCGGTAGGGGTCCATGACAGGGTGGAGAGGAGACTCCCTTCCCCCCAGATCCCGCTGTCCCAGGTGGCTAGCAGGAGGGGTACACCGCGAGTCACTGAGCTCCCCCTACATTTTGCGTCTGAGGCTCCAGAACATGTGGCCGACACACCCCTACTCCCAAAGGGCTGTCATTTGGAACGTATTTGCAGACACATGGCTTGTTTTTAAGTTAATGCTTTTTAATTCACTGTTTCCCAGTTGTCGTTTTTTATTGCAAAGGCGGATTCTGCCCGTGTGTGTTCCTTTGCGGGGGCGGGGGATGGGGGTAGCTTCGCGGGCAAAGATCCGATGAGAGAGAGGCAGAGAAAATGAGAGGCAGAGACAGAGGCAAAGGCACAGCGAGACACCGGGGAAACGGGGAAGCAGGTCAGAGAGGAAGAGAGAGACAGGCCGGAAGAGACTGTGCCCAGGAGCCTGGACAAGGGATGCCGTGCCCAGCAGCCTGGACAAGGGATGCCGTGCCCAGGAGCCTGGACAAGGGATGCCGTGCCCAGGAGCCTGGACAAGGGATGCCGTGCCCAGGAGCCTGGACAAGGGATGCCGTGCCCAGGAGCCTGGACAAGGGATGCCGTGCCCAGGAGCCTGGACAAGGGATGCCGTGCCCAGGGAGGGGAAGGCCAGGGGCCGCTCTAGCGGCGAGGGGCGGAGGGTGTGCTGAGAAACCCGGCTCCGGGGACCTAGGCTGACGCCCCCATCTCCGCCTAAGGCCCCTGGGGCTGAGCTTGCTTCCCCCTGGCTCTCTGGTTCCTTTCCGAGTGGAGGAGGGTGAACTGGCCCTTGGGAGAGGGCTGGAGGGACGCGGCGGGAACGGGCTGAGTACGCAGCACCCGGGTCGGCAAGGGCTGGGGTTCTGAGATCAGAGAGAAAAGAGGACCTGGGAGTCGGAGGCGATCTCCCTGGCCCCAGCCGACCCTCTGAGCTCTAGCGAGCCTGAATCCGGCTCTGGGGGTGGCGCCCCCCGCCTGCTGCGGCTCCCGGGGCCAGCGCCCTAACCTTTCAGAGCCTGGCCCTGCCACCTGTAGAAGGAAGGCGCGCTGGTGGCCCGTTCAAGCAGGCAGTGGCAGCACCGGGGGCCTTCTAGAAGGGACGAAACGGCTCAGGGGCCGGGGAAACTTGTTTGGCTTGACAACGCCTGGGCTGGGCGGTTACAGCAGCAATCCCGGGATTCTCGGCCCCGGGGGGTCCTGTTTACGCAGGACTCGCGGCAGACTGGAGGGAGTGGGGCGCTAGAGCTTCCTTCCTTAGCAGCTGAGAACCATTTCATCCCCACCACCGCTATCCTGAGACCCCCTCCTCTCCCCATCTGCGTCGGCTTCCCGCGAACCTTCCCCGGCGGCATCTTCAAACACACAGCGGCGGACACACAAAGACGCTCGCGAGCCAGCACTAGTGTAGGCACTCGGGCACACACAGATACACGACGCAAGGTCCCGGGGACTCGGATGGAGCCGCAGTGTCCCCGGCCCGGGCGGAGAGGGCTCGCGCGTAGGGGCAGCTGCTCCCGGGCCGCTCTCACACCGGGCGCGCGGCTCTCAAGCCGGGAGCTGGCGAGCTGAAAGCCCGGGATAATTAGCGCTAATTACATGTGTGCAAACAGCCGCGGCAGAGGGCGCGGGCTAGGCCGCGGGGCCGCCCCTCCCCCGGCCTGACCCTGGCAGTCCCACCGCAGTGGAGGGGCTCTGCTGGCGCAGCTCGAGCCGACCGCTAGGGGAGAGCGCGCAGGAGCACCCACGAGACCCGGGAATCGGGGTGCGCCGTCAGTGCCCAGAGCCACCGAGCCCCGACCACACACGCGGGCGCGCGTTGCGGCCCGGCAATCTCGGGATGGCGGGTTACAGTCGGGCCAGAGGCTGAGCCCAGAACTGGGGGCCGAACACCCGCTGCCCTTCGCTGCCCTTCAGCGGGGACCGGGCGGGGTGGGGCTGAGCATTCTGGCCCCTAGGCTTCTCCGACTGTTTTGGCCTCCGGAGCAACCCGGTGTCTGCGGAAGATTGGAAGCGACTCTCCAGCACCCCGCCGCCGAGGCCCGCTCTCCCAGGCCATGCCGGCTGGCGCCGAGGCCGCGGGACCTGGAAGGGTCGGAGTCTGGTGCTGGTGCCGGAAGGCCAGCCAGTCTCTGTCCGGATGAGCCACATGATCCCAGAAAGAGCAGCCTGAGCCTTAGTCTGCGCGCCCAAAAAATGAGAATGCAGAGACCATTCATACCTCGCTGGAGGGGCTTCAGATGCTGAGTACACGGGGGTGGGGGCGGGGAGAGCAGGAGAAAGGGCTTTACATGAATCCTAACGTGTGAATGTTTGCACTGAGAGCCAGACTTAGCCATCTCTTTTTATGGGCCTAGGTGCCTGCGGCGGGCTGGCTTGGCGTGGCGGCAGATAATTATATTCCTATAATTATAAATGAAGCTCAGAGAGGCCAAACGTCTCACAAGAGGTCACACAGCAGTAAGAGGCAGCTGGTTTTTCTGACTTCAAATTTCAAGTTCAGACTGCACAACTCTCCGCCATCCCTCCCGGACGCCCCTGGAACCCCACGCACCTCCAGGCCCTGAGCGAAGCCTGGAAGCTGCGGGGCGAAGCGGAGCGCGAGAGAGGTTGCGCTCTGCGGGTCGGGCAGCCGGGGCTCGCTGCAGGCCCATGGCGCCCTCTTGCGTTCGTGGCCGGAGGCGCAGGCGGCTGCTGGGCTGACCCGTGTCCCGCGGTCCTGCTGGACTTGGACGCGGCATCTGACTCCTCTCTCTCAATGATTGCGCAGGCGAGGATCGATTAGCTGCGGAGAGGGTGACCTGAGACCACACGAGGATGCATTTTGTATACCGTACGCTTTGTATGCTGTAAAGCACATGGGACACCCAGTCACAGCGTTTGAACACCACGGTAGTTTTCCACTCGCTTCCACCCCGTCCTTGATTTTTTACAGGAGTCCTGTAAGGCCAGCAGGGCAATAATTATTATTCCCACTATACAGATGGGGCAACCGAAGCAGGCCCAAGGCCACTCGCTGGCGAGTAGCGGAGCCAGCACCCAGACTGGATCTGCTTCCCCCCTCACGTGCACCCGGCTCCCAGGCTAGGGTCTGGCTCTCACCGAGGTTTAAGGAAGAGGGCTTTGGAGTCAGACAGACTCGGGTTCAAATTCTAGTCTAGAACAGGCTGTGAGGTCTCAGACAAACTACAGAACATTTTTGGGTCTCAGTTCTGAATCTGTAAAACCGGGAGGACCCCGCCTCTTAGGACTGTTGGGGGAGGGGTGAATTACGAACCAGGGCCAGGCGACTGGAGCACTGAGTCCAGCGCGGGGTACCAGCGCCATGGCTGCTTTAATCAGGGAGGATGGCATTTGGTGTGACTACTCCAGCTGGTGGTGGGTGGGCGGCAAACCGAGGATTACATACCTCCGTGGCTAACCAGAGAACCGAGAGCTCAGGGTTGGGGCTGCTGCTGGGACATGAGCCCAGCACTGTGTTGCCGGCTGCCCACAGTCCTGCAATTCAGCAACTTTTCTCCAGGGCCTTGGACAGGTTCTGGGAGGCCTCCTCCTCCTTACAGGTGGGGACACAGACCCCGAGATGAAAGCTGTAACCTTCCCCATCTGCAAGACCCGGAGTCTAGGGCTGTCTTCAGAGCCAACAAAAACCAGTGTGGGGAAGGTGGGGCTTCCTGAGATCTAGCTGGGGAGACAGGTGCCTGGCTGCAGGTGCAGGGAGTTGGTGCAGTTTGAGCCCAGTGGTTCTCAAACTGCTGGAGCATCAGAATCAACTAGAAGCCTTGCTAAAACACTTGCTAAGCCCCTTCCCCTAGGGTTCCGACACATTAGTTCTGGTGTGGGGCAGGAGAATCAGCAGTTCCCAGGTGATGCATGACACTTTGACAGTCACTGCTCTAACCCTTCAGAGAACTTCCTCTGAGGCTTCTCAGTTCACCAGCTCCACATTCACACTACCTCTGTCTGGGCTGCTCTTATTCTGGTCAGTTTCACAGAACATTTCTGGGCTGGCCCTCAGCATCAACAGAAGCAATGCGGCTGGGCCTCCAAGCCCCCTTCCTCTTGGTCCCTTCACACCTGTGGCTCAGAGGAGAACGACTTCTACAACTGCCAGATAGGACAGTCAGGCCAACTTTCTGGAGGAGAACTGAACTTGAAGATCTGCTGGAGGGGAGTTAGGGCCACAGCCTGGCCAGGGAGTGAAAGGTGAACACTGAGCCAAAGTCAGACCCTCCGATGGTTGCATGCATCTAGTCAGCAGGGACTTAGGGTCCTGGCTCTAATCCTTCTGGTGGAACACTCACAGCCCAGCGCTGGAAACAGGGGTGAAGGGGATGGCAATAAGCACTCAAATGAATGAACCGCTGCCAGCCAGGCAGGCCAGGCCCAGGTGGCAGAAAAGTCCTTCAGATGGTGGTTCAAACAGGAGTACGGCAGGGGGCCACAGTAGCTGCCCTTCCTGCCTTGGTTTCTCCATCTGAGGAATGCACGTCATGTGTTTGCTGTTTCCCTGACCTTCCCAAGCTGCCAGCAGGATAATATATGGAAATTGCTTTGACCTCCTGAGAAAAGAGGGTCTCCAGGAATAGAAAGTTCAGCTGCTAATCCCGTCCCCCCAGACTTCCCACTAATTCCGGCTTCCGATGTCAGCCTGGCAGGTTGAGTTTAGCAAAAGAAAGAACAACTTAGAGGGCTGATGGTTTTTCTAATGGCCCCAGTTCTCCAAACACACCCACACACAATACACATGCACACACAGCCTGGTCACAGACCTCCCCACATGCACAGCCTTCCCTACCCTCGCTCACACACGCACCTCCCGCGGAGCAGTCATAATTGTAGAGAATAATTAGAACTAACATTTGCACAGCGCCCTGCCATTAACAAAGCAGTCCCACCCAGCACTTTCATTTAATCCTCACAACCACCCGAGAGGCAGGGATTATTGCTATTATTAACTGAGGCTCAGCAAGGTTAAGTGACTTGCCTAAGGTCACTCAGCTAGTAGGTGACAGGCATGGATCCAACTTGGGTCTCCTGACTCCAAATGTTATTCTCTTGCTGCTGGCCCACGCTTCTTCATGCATTCACGCGCATTCATTTGTTTGCTCGTTTATTCATTCATTCATTCATTCATTTGTTCACTAACTCAACAAATATTTATTTTGCATTAGTCGTGGACGAGACTCTATGCTAAGTGCTAGCTGCTTTGCTGCACCTTTTCACCTATCCTCATAATGACCTGGTGCTTTTCCTGTCCTCATTTCGTAGTGGAAGAAATGGGGTTGAGTAACAACAACAAGTAAGTGACAGAGTTGAGATTGAGCCCACAGTGTGACTTTTCCAACCCCTCCTGTCTCAGGCAGGGGCTGGAAGAGCAAGTAGCCCTGCCCAGGCCCCATGGATCAGAGCTCCTAGCTCGTCCCTGTCACCCAGACATTTCAACTGAACAGGCCCAGAAAATCAAGGATAGGATTTTCTCCAAAATGCCATTGGCATCTCTGGGGACAGAGTCACATTTTCCTACTGATTACACAACACGGTAGCATTTACAATAGTCGCTCCATCCATCAATATCAGTCAGAGCCAGCAAGAAATGTCCCCCTTCCCCCAACCCTGTGGTGACCCAGACTGAGAGCAGAGGCAGGATGGAGGGAAGAGGGGACATGGCTCTGCCCTTCACAGAGCCCAGGGATGAAGGGGAGATGCGCCCCTTCGGGGGGAGCGTGGGAGTTGTCTGGCATTGACGCCTATGGACCTTGGAGTCACACAGACGTGGACTCTGATCCCGGCTTTGCACTCTCTAGCTCTGTGGCCTTGGGCAATTCAGTTACTTCTTCTCTAGAAGCCTCAGTTTTCTTATGTGCAAAATGGGTATAATGACCCCTCCTTCTGAGGCTTGTCTGTGCAAACTGAATAAGACCATGTTCTGAGCAGTAACTACTTGGAGGCTGGTTGACTGAGTAGAGAGATATGGTCTCAGACTCCTGTCTGGGCTGGTTATCCTGTCCTCTCTTGGAAGGGCGAGCACATTTTCCAAATGGAATTGTCTGGCACCTCCTCTATTCTCTGCCTCTAAAAAGAGTCTAACTGAAGGCAGACGATGGAGTGGGGTGATGTTTGTTGTGCACCTACCATACCAGGACTGGGTCAGGCATGCTCGGAGGTCTGAGTGCAGAGGCCTCTTCCCTTGATCCTGAGCCAGTGTGTCAGGTCCAGGAAAACCCAAGGAGCAGAGATGGGATAAGACTTCAAGGACTTGGGACAAGGGGCCCTTGTCACAAGGGCTCTGTGTGTGTGTGTGTGTGTGTGTGTGTTTCTGAACATGGGTTTCTGACATTTGGATTTCTTTCCCCATTTATTTAGTAAGCGTATATGTGCATTGAATAAATGTAATTGAGCACCTACCATGTGTCCTAACTGTTCAAAATGCTGGGGCTACAACCATGAACAATGAGGCAAAATTGCAAACCTCATAGAGGCTGGATGCTAGTTAAGGAGACAATGTTTATGTAAACAACAACCAAAAAATCAAATCCTAGCCCTGCTGTGTGACTTTGGGCAAGGCACTTAGCCTCTCTGAGCATGAGTGTCTCTCTTTGGGATGTTACCTAATGACTCCTGCCTTACAGAGCTACTCAGAGAGAATGTATGTAAACTGAAACTGCATTGCAAACTGGAAAGCTTTGTGCTTATATGCATTACTCTGCATGTAAACATGTGTGCTTGCCAGCACCCATTTTCCTTGGCTCAGTGAACACAGCACCTGTGGGACTCCGGAACTGGTCCCAAATTCCATAAAATCCACAACGCCTCCCACCAGAAATGTAGGGAGGGAACCATATGGCTCTGATATCCTGACTTTGGGTTTGGTTTTGCCCCAAGACAACACATCCTGCAAGTTTCTCTGCTTGTAACTTAAGTCCCAAGCCTCTTGCTCTAATAGCTTTCATGTTAAGGAGGGCAGAAAAGGTTGAGCTGAACATTGGAAATGCCCTAAGCCTGGAGAGAGGTCTGGCTTCAGTGAAGGGGACATGAGCCTGGCCCCAGGAAGTGGAGAGGAAACCCAATGAGGGTGGACTGACAGAGGTGCTACTATCATCAATAATGTCATTCTCCAAGTCCTCCCTTCCTGGCTCTGAGTGAGTAAAACACTCACACTCCACTGCTCTCAAAGGGCTTGACACCAGTGCCCAAGCACTGGCCTCACTGAGGCTCTCAACATAAATCACCTATCCTGATCCAACTCCTGCCAATGCTGCCTAACCCAGCTCAGTCCTGCTCACCTAAGTATAGCCCAAACTTTCCAACATAACCTAGTCCAACCCATCCAACACCTCTCTTAACCTAGCCTAGTCCAACCCAGGCAACCTCGTCCATTGCAACTCATCCCAACCCAACCTGTGTAGCTCAATGGTGGTAGAAACTGTAGACTGATTCATTCAGCCCCTTTCCCTCTCTCCTTCTAGTGTGCCTTTTTATCTCATAGGGGCTGAAAAGCTAAAAACTGTATTTCCCAGACTGCCCTAGAGTTAGAATGCAGATGTTATGTAGGTTTTACCGCATGCCATACATTCATGCAAGGCTTGAAGTCAGAAGTGTATTGAATGGGCAGAAAGGCAAGGAATGAGCCGTCCTTTCAAAACAATAACCATAGAAAAAACTCATGCAAAAGAAGAGAGAAGAGTGTGATGTACCTCTATCTGTATGACCCAGATTCAACAATTAGGAACATTTTTCCAATTTTGTGTTACCTGCCCAAATAATTTCCTCACCGTACTTTTTTTTATCTGGAGAGAAACCCTGTCAATGCTTTCACTGAAGTGTGCATTTAGCTAGTGTGGACATGCAGGTGAGCATGTTTCTTGAGTCAGAAGCCAAATTGGTGGCTTCCTGACTTGGCAGATGGTTTCCTAATGGTTGCAAAAGGAGCAGCTGCCTTGGTGGTCCATTCTGCAGCCTAACTTTGGGAGTTGGTCCTGAAGATGAAGCCTAGAATCTGTTTTCAGCTCTCCAAATATTTCTGTGAGCCATGAAATACTGTTAATACATTTATTTTTGCTTAAACTATTCAGAGTAGATTCTGTCTCTGAAACTAAAAGCTAATACATCCCCAACCAAATATATCCTCAGCTCAGTCTAACCCTGCTAAAAACCAACCCATCCTAAAATCATTCCAACCCACCCAAGCATGTTAAATCCAGCCTGATTCAAATTAGCCTAGCTCAGCCAAACCCAGCCCCAACCAAGCTATGCCTGACTCACCTCTTTCTACCTCAGCCCATCTAAACTCAATGCAATCCATCACATCTCAGCCTAGGTCAATTACCTTAATTTAAACAAGCCATTTAATCTGCACCTCAGCTTATATGACCCATCCAACTCATCTCAACTCAGTCTCTCCCAGCCCTAATCCCAACCTACCCAATGAATCTCAACCCAACCCATTCCATGGGAGTTGAGTGACACAGCCCATTTAATTTCACACGTATTTACTGAGTATCTTTTGGGGCCCCTGTGAGAGAACAAAGGGAACTTGAACTTCTTTACAGATGTAAGGCTGCATTCTTTTTTTTTATGCATTTCCTTTGTTCTTTTTTGCCTCCTTCTTTCCGATATCCCCCCCACTATAGACCCTGCCTCCTTGTTTACGTCCTTTCACCTTGGCTACCCAGTGTCCCCACAGTGCTTTCCAGGTGTTCAAGACCTCCAGTGGGAAGCCCCTCTCCTTCCCGGTCCTACCTGCCTGGAGAGTACCCCTAGAACCTCCACTCCTGCAAAGCTTATCTATTGTAGTAGTCAGAATTTCTAAAATGGGCTCCCAAAGATGCCCTTCCCTGATTCCTGAAACTTGTGAATATGATTAGACATCGCTCCTGTGATGATGTTATGTTATATGGTATAGTTGGCCTTAAGATAGGGAAGTTATCCTGAAGTATCTGGTGGTCCCAGTGGAATCAGATGAGCCCTTAAAAGCAGCAAGCTTTCTTTAGCCAACAGCAGAAAAGGAAGTCAGAAGAAGGAGATCTTGGAGATATTTGAAGTATGAGAATAACTTGCTGCATCATTGCTGGCTTTGAAAATGGAGAGGACCATGTGAGAAGGAAAATGAATGGCCTTAAGGAGCTGATGGCTAGCAAGGAACCAGGGACTTCAGTCTACAACTGCAAAGAACTGGATTTTGCCAACATCCTGATTGAGCTTGGAAGGGCATTTTTCCCAGAGCCTTCCCATAAGACCCCAGATGGCTAACACCTTGATTTTAGCCTGTGAGACCCAGGGCAGAAGACTCACATAAGCCCACCCGGATTTCTGGGCTACACAATTATACCATAGTAAATAGGTACTGCTATAAGTTGCTAAATTTATGGTAATTTGTTTCATAGCAATAGAAAACTAATATGCCTAGCCTGTGTTCACTCTCTCAGAATTATCTTGATTTTTTTTTTTTCCTAATCAACCTAAGAGATGAATCATCACAGAATAGGGAAAGAATACAGTATTGAACACAAATACACCTGGGTTCCAATCCTGGCTCAGTCACCTACTAGCCATGTGACTTCAGCCAAGTTACATAACCCTTCTAGGAAGAGCTTTATTCATCAATAAAATATGAGGATGATAACTTTCCTGGTCAGTTTGCTTGGAAAATTAAATATAATGCACATTGCATGTCTGACACATAGTAGGGGCTTAAATGTTTCTTTTACTTGTTTGGGATAGCAATAAGCTAATATTAAGTAGTCAGTTTAAAGATGTTAGAGTAAGTGCAGTTATTTTTTTCACTACCATCATTAATAGTCGGACAATTTTAATAGCACATCACTGACTTGACCTAGAGGGAGAGCTACTAGTGGAATTGAGGCCATGCTGATGAAGAGGGGTACTTGGTAGAGTGCCCAACATCACAGATCTCTAAGCCTATGTCAGAGTCTGGGTCTTGGATTAGTCACTGGACACACTATGAGACCAGGAGGAAGGAAATAAGCGGTGAAAATGACCCAAAGTTAAATTGAGAAATACATGCTGTACTCTGGAAATGAAATCACCTGATCTCCCTTTCTGGACCCAGGGAGCAGGTGACCCCAGCCACGGCTTCTTCTTTCAGGAACTGCAAAGCAGGCAGGACTGAGCTCATACTGCCACATCCTGCTCAATCTAGGAGGGTATCAGGAACCAAGCCATTTCCCTTTCTTCTCCCCAAGTCTAAACTTTACAAGTTATCAGAGAGAGCATAGAACAAGCAATCTTGAGTGTGTGGAGAAGGAAGACCTATTGAACTTTTCAGAGCTCTTCGGGGTTCAGCATTTTGTCCCTCTCCTTTTCCTCCTATCCTCATAGCCCCACTCCTCATCTACATGGACCCTTGGGGCCGTTGGATTTGGTGGTATCCTGTAAAGGTCTCCAGGCTTGTCAGAAAGCCTAGGTTCTGGTCCGTGGTGTGCAGAGCTTGTTTGCACCCACTGGCCAGAGCTGACCGTAAGTGCCTCTATTCAACTGCACTATCAAGTGATCTCACTTCAGTTTGAAATCTGCCATGGTGAGAACACACCATAGAAACTGGCAAAGACTGCAAATCAGGCTTTCTCTTCTCTAGAGAGCTGGTGTTAAATTTACCAGTAGACTGATGCTTCTAGCCTTGGCGGCCTGGGAAGAGGCAGATTCCTGCCCTTTTCTGGGCCTCAGTTCCCTCTTTAGTCAGTGCCTTAGCTACCCTCTAAGGGCCTTTAAAAAAAGCTCATTAGATACCAAAGAAAAGAGAGAAAGTGTGGATAACAAAATTATTGCTTTCATGGTAATACTTTCACAATAAAAATAGGGTTCACAATAGTCACATTTAGAAAGAGCTCTCTCTTTGCTAAATACCATGCTATGTATGTCATCTAAGGCCCTCCCTTGCCTTACTTAACCCCCCCTCACACCTGATTCAATCAGCTAGTGAGGTACGCAGGGCTGAAGATTTTTCCCCACTTGGCTCTGAAATTTGAGTGTCTGCATATGATTCTGGGCTCCACCACTTTCTCAGTTAGTTTGACTAAGTTATTTAATTTCTTTGTCTCTTGTTTCCTAACATGTAAAATGGAACAATAATAAAAGTTTCTACTTCTTCAGGTTGTTATGAGTATTAAGTGAGAAAACCCATGTAAAATGCTTGGATTAGTGTCAGTCACACAGTAAGGGCTAAAGGAATGTTGAGAAATGTCTTAACATTGTCTATCCCTGCATCTGTGGAGCCCACACAGGCCTGTTCCATGGTAGATGCCTAATAAATGTTTGTATTGGAAAAGAAGGGAGGCCAATAGACAAAAATGACAGAGAGAAATATTTGTATTAATAACTAAATGAATCTTTCATGTTTACTCACCTCGGTCTTTCCCATTTACTTTCACCAACTTATCTCATGACCGCCCTCATAGATGTTCTACAAAGAGTTGGAAATTCATTTACGTAGTCACTCAACAAATATTAATTGAGCCCCTCTGGTGCCAGGTCCTGGCTAGATGCTGAGGCTACCATTGGGAATGAGCTCTGGGTTTAGCTGGCGTTAGAATCGTGGAGTCCTTGGTCTTCTGTTGGGCAGACAGGCTCTGAGGGGCCACAAGCTTTGTGCTTGCAGGTACAAGGGGTGATGTGCTATGTTCCACTGCCACCTGCCACTCTGATCCCTGGGTTAGATGATCCTACATTTGAACCTTGGCTCTGCTATTTACAAGTGATGTCTCTTGTTCTTGGACAGGTGGTCCCCTCTTTTTTCTAAATCCCTCTTTCCTCTTAAGTCAAATGGATAAAAACATCCACCCTACTTCAAGGTTCAAACCTGTGTTTGAGGGGTAGAGCAGATGCTGGCATCTGGCACGGAAAAACACAATAAGTACATGCTTGCCCCTTCCTCTGGGCCACAGTCGGAGGTAGGCCCCCATTTTTCAGGGAAACAGAGGCCCAGGGAGGTGAAGAAACTTTCTTAAGCTCCCCGAACCTTGTGCATGTGGTGGGGAGCAGGATTCCCACCCACCTCTGCAGCCTGAGCTTTGCCACTGCATGAGTCCCCTGCCCATGTGGGAGGAAAGGCACTGGGGACCTTGGGCTATAGCAGGCCCAGGCGGGCCACAGGGGAGGGTGAGGGGTGTACAAGCCTGGCCCATGGACATGCAGAGAGCCCTCGCTAGGAGATTGGCTAGCCCCACACAAATAAACCCAGACATGGGGGCTGGGCCTGGGACTCACTGGGGACTGCTCCAGGGCAGGGCTGGAGTTTCACTTTTCACCCAGCTCAGATGGGGAGTGACAGGGCTGGGGGCTGCCTGACAGTTCAAAGAGGGTATGTGGCTCTGAGGTCGCAGTTCAGCAGAGAAGTCATTCCCCAGCCCCCTCAGCTGGGAAAAATGTGTTCAAGCTGTTCCCCCTCCCGGAGTGTTCTTGCCTCCCTCTCCCCTCCCCCTGTCCCTCCCACTGCACTGCTTGCAGGGGTTGGTGGGGGTGGTACTCCAGGACCCACTGGGCCACTCCTCCTGCAGGAGGTCTACGCTGAACATTCTTGCCCCCTCAACCTCTTTATTTCCTTCACTCTCATTTCACTGAGCACCTGCTATATGCCAGGCCCTGGGCCAGGCACAGGCGATGCTGAGATACATAAACTCTGTCTGCTGAAAGAGCTCATGAGGTGATGAGAGAAATAGACAAAAACAGATAATGTCAGTGCAACATGATAGGAGCTAAGATAATGGTAGTTTCCATTTATTGAGTGCTTGTTATGAACCACAGGTTTTATATGTAGTATATCATTTGCTCCTCACAAGAAATATAATCCCTGCACAGTAATTACTCCATTTGACAGCTGAGAAGACTGAGGCTTTGGAAGGCAGCCTGCTCATGTCACATGACAAGCTCCAAAGCCTTGCCCTTTCTACCATCTCCTCCTGCCCCAGGGGCTATGAGAAGTCTGGAGAACCTTGGGAAGGAGAGGTGGGTTGGGGATGCTTCCTGGAGGAGACTGTACCTGGGCAGCACCTTGGACTAGGCAGTGGCTAGCTGGCTTGGTGGGGAGATGGCTTTTCAGACAGAGAGAGGAGTTTGTATAAAGATCCCGGGAACTGAATGCCAGTCCTCTCTTGGGCACCATGCTTGGCTGTTCTGACTGCTTTCTCTGAAGTCTTTTCCTGGCTCATCCTCTCCTCCCAGGTGGTTAACTTCCATTCTGCTTCCTCTCCCACAGATTCTCTCTCCCTACATGACCTCATCCATGCCCTTGGCTTCAGCTACCATCTCTCTGCCAATGACATGAACATCTCTCTCCCATAAGAACCGTACATCCCACTGCTTACTTGACCCCTTCAGTTCAGTGTCTTAAAGGGACTTGAAATGCCAACATGCCCCAAAGAGAATGTCCATTCCAGGGCTCTTGTCTCTGGGCCTGGTAACAGCCTTCAGCCTGCAGCCTGTACCCAGGGCAGAGTCAGCCTGACACCTCCTCCTCCCTCACCTCCGCAGCTGAGCCCTCACCAAGGCCCATGGATCCTGTCTCCATCCACATTTCCCATCTCCACTTCTGCTGTCCTGTCTGAGCTACCATCCCCTGCCTAGATTATAGCAAAGCCTCCCCAAATGGGCTGTCCTCTCCACTTCTGTTCACAATGCAATCCATGCTCAACATCGTTGCCAGTGTGATCTCTTGAACACACCTTACATTCTGCTGCTTACATCCATGACTTGCTATTGCTTTTAGGATAAGAGTCCAGTTCCTTCTGGGGAACTGGGGAAGCCTCCAGGGACCTGTGTGATCTAGGCCTGCCAACTTCTTCAGGTTTATCTTTCGCCATGGAACCCACTGAACCATCACGTCACCATTGTGGACTCTGGTTATTTGAAATGTTCCCGGCTTCCTCCCACCCAGGGAAGTTCAAATGCACAGATTCCACTGCTAGGAATGCCCCTCCTGACTCCAGGCCGGCCCTAGTCAATTCCTCTGTGTAGTCACATCTTACATCCACTCCGACATTCACTCCTCACTCAGGAAACTTCTCCCGGCACTCACAGTAGGTCGCCCTTGCCTGTTGGTGTGCTTATTGTCCCCTGAGCTTTTCTATCATAGCACTTATTCACTTGTGTTTCATATTAGGTTAAAAATGACGCCGTTTCTCTCCCGCATTCGGCTGTGAGCTCCTCCAGGGCAGGCCTATGCCCAGGTCATCTCTTTGCCCCACAGTGCTCAGCACAGTGCCTAGCCAGCCCAGGCCCTCAGCCAGCCTCTGCTAAGGGAGCCCCCCAGGAGCTGGTGTGGTTTAGTGGCAGTGGCTGTTGTGCAGGCTGTGGCTGAGACTGGCCAGGGAAATGCTAAGCGGCATCTGAGAAAAGCATCGCATCTGCAGCTCACCCTTTATGTCTCAGCGCGTAGGCAAGCTCTGGCTTCACCTCTGGCTTGCTGTGTGACCTGGGGCAAGATCCTGTACCTCTCTTGGCTTTGAATTACTCAGGGGATTGGACCCATGACCTTGTGGCTCAGTCTAAGACTCCAAATGGATAAACCCTCTGATCCTGAAGAGGAGGTTGGGGTGTCAAGGGCCCATTTGCAGAAGTCTCTGGAGAGAGTAGAGTGGTCTGAAGCTGTGGAAGAGGAAGATTTCAGGCTCAGGGTCCATGGAGCTCTTTTTCCTGCTCCTACTGCCCATGAGGAGGCAGCCACAATAAGCCTCAGCCTCCCCCTGCCACTCCCTGTGACAGCTACCACTCACATCTGGGGAGCAGCCTGGCATCCCCAAGGTCACGTTAGGACAGGGAGCAACTCACATCTTGTGTTCATAAAAAGGTAGTGGCGGCAATGGATGGAGGCCTTGGCCCCCCAGAGAGGTGAGCACTGCCAGTGATGTGCCCCTACTCTTTATCTCAGGGACCTGGCTTGCCATCTTATTTTACAATGGGGTAAACGGAGGTCCCAAGCAGGGGCATTGTCCCCTAGGGCCACACAGCCAGGCACTGAATGGCAGAGCTGGTACTAAAGCTGGCCATCAGAAGTCATTGCTCAGGGATATGTTGGTTGGTAACCCGGGCCTGGCTGTACTAGGGGAAGGTGCACATTCACAACCCTGGGCAGGGAGCCAGGAGCTGGTGTGGTGTGGAAACCTGGGCTCTAGAGCCACTGACTCGGTGTTGTGACCTGGGAAAGTTGCCCTGTTTCTCTGGCCCCAAGGTCCTCACCTGCCTGATGGGAGAAGAGCAAAGGATCGGGCTGAAGTGGCACAGCATATGTTGGAGCGTGGATGGTGGCCCCTCAGCTCCCAGAGCTCCGAGACAGCATGGTGGGCCTGCGGGTGGCATGACCTTGCCAATGATAACCCTACAGGGCTCGGGGCCAGGCCCCTTCTCTCCGTGGGTCATTCATTTACCAAGGCAGAGGCACCGGGGAAGAGGACTGGGCAGGACCTTATCTTATCAGGACTGATCAAGGAAGGGGCTGCTAGGGGGCTGAGGGGAAGAGCGGCAGGAAGGAGGCCACTCCCCAGCTCTGGGGCCACCTGCTTCCCTGGCTCCTCAGAATCTTGAGTCAGGTCCTCCTGGGCATGACTGGTATTCTGGGCAGACAGTTATTTTGTGTAGGGCATTAGCACCTATGGCAACTCACTGTGACAAAATGTTCCCAAACATTCCCTAATGCCTCCTGGGGTGACATGCAAACCCCTCTGGGCCATCCTGTCATCCCTTCTGCTCAGAGCTCATGAGTGCACACCTGCCTCAGTGCACTGATTGGGGCCTAGGCCACAAGAAGGCCGTGGGGGAGAGTGAGGTACTCATCCCCCAGTGGGGAGACTGCCTGAGTCTCCTTCCCCCGACCCTGTCACGATCATGCTGATGGCTGCCATCTAGAACCTGGGCCCCCTCTGTAGCACACATTGCAGACAGCCAAGACCAAGGCGAGCAGCACACCACAACCTATCAGGAGTCTAATCCCTGTTCCGGTGCTAACTTGCTGAACAAGCTGAGGCAACTCTCTTCCCCTCTCTGAGCCTTTGTTTGCTCGGGTGTAACATGTGGGGGTAGGAGGAAGGATCTCTAAATAAACCAGAAGACATTCTCTTAGCGCACAGGTGGGTGCACTAAGGTGGGTGCACAGCATTGTCCTCACCCGCTTCCTGCCAAGGGTCTGCCATTTCAAGTTGCCCATCCCCAGAGCTGTCACCAGCAGCAGCAGCAGGGTGCAGTAGGCAGAGCATGGTTTGAATCCCAGTTCCTCCTGTTGCTGACTTTTATGGTTCTGGGCAAGTTGCTTCCCCTCTCTGAGTCTCAGTTTGCTCAATTGTAAAAAAAAAAAAAAAAAAAAAAAAAAAAAAAAGTGGAGAAAAGAATAGGTACGAGAATTAATGTGATACCTTTGCAGCGTTGGGCGCTTCAGGGGCATTTATTAAACACGCACTGTGGCTCCTGTCCTGGTGGGAGCTGGTCTAACGCGGTGGTACATGGTGTGGGGCTGCCTGTGCTGCAGTTTCCAACAGACAGCAAGGGGATTCCCAGCGAGGAATCGCTAAGACTTAACTCGGATTGCTGCAGCACCTGGGCACACACCACAGCCACACCTTGGGTGTAGCCACACCCATGTCCATGCACACATCCCAGATGTGCACTCACACAGCCTAGCCACCCACGAATACGCGTGTGAATGTGTCCTTGCCTGTCCAGGGCCAGGTGCCCTCTGACCTGCCTGTTTCAGGAGATGAGTCTGAGGCTGAAGCAGGGAAGTGACTTGCAAGAAGAGATAGGGCAATGGCAGAACCAGAATTCTGGCACACAGAGCTCTGGCTTCCCAGACTGGCTGGCTCCAGTGTTCCAGGTAGCCCACGCCAGATGTCCAGGTGCGAGGGTGCACGCCCAGGCACACTCTCACAAGGTTACACAGGCCGTGCATTCAAACGAGTGGCCCTGGAGCAAAAGCTAAGGCACAGCCACATTACCCTACCCATCCAGGACCCACCAGAGCCCAGGAGGGTAACCCTGAGGGAGACAGACCAGGGCACCGCACACTGGGTCCCAAGCACATCTACCCTGCGGTTCCCCTGGGCCAAGCCGAGTCCTCCCCAGCACAACAGCGCGGCCCCTCGGCCTCCGCTTAACCTGGGCGCGCGGGCTGGCTGGGCCGGGGCCATTATGCGGGCGCATGGCCGGCCGCGCCGGGGCGCAGAGCAAACTTAACCTTCATTTGGGAGCGCCCAGCGGCCGGAGCGCGCGGCGCAGCCATCGATCGCGGCTAATGGCCTCGTCTAAATGCGGAGCCGCTGCCTCCGCCCCCCGGGTCAGGGCGCCCCCGCCCTCGCCCCCCGCTCCGTGCAAAATGGTGTTTACCAAAGTCAATATTGGCCGCGGCGCCCGCCCGGGGCACCCGGGAGCCCCTCTGGCCTCCCCCAGCCCAAGGCTGGATCTGGGCCACCAGAGCCTCATCTTGGTGTCCCAACTAGCCCCGGCCCTGACAAGGAGTCTTTTGAGGGCTAGACACAGGCGGGTCTCGCCCAGGGTCTCCCAGGACCCGACCTGGAGTCTCAGGCCTCCTTCCTGTCTCGGCGCTGTACTCCCTGGGCAGCGCCTGCAGTGGGAAGAGAGCCTCGGCTTGACTCCTGACTCCATCTCTGTATAGATCTGGGCAGGTCCCTTCCCCTTTCTGAGCCCTCAGAGCTGTCATTTTTTTTAACGCCTTCCTCAAAGTGTTCTTGAAAGGATTGCATTAGAGATAATGCAGGCCAAGTGCCCAGCACAGAACCTGACATTCGGGGTCGTTTTGGGAGGGGCTACTCTGACATAAGGCAGAGGGGTGTCTGCCCCTGTCCTGTGTCACCCTTCCCTGTCTTCTGTCTGGTTGCCTCCTTCAGGGCACTGCTGAGCGGGCTGCTGCCAGCATCAGCCTAACGGAGACACAGCACCGGCCGTGGAAAATTCTTTATCTTAATCCTACCTCACTACTGAAGAGCCTGAGGCAAATCCTTGACCCCTTGGATGCTCTCGTCTGTGAGGGCAGCAATGAGAATTCCTGCTCTCCCGGCCGCTGGGCAGATGTGCCCTCGCAGATGAGTGGGTGTCTGAACTGGGGGCACTGAGGACCACACAGCTCCCAGGCAGGGCGGCGGTGTGAGAGGCCCGGAACGTGCTGATGCGTCGTCTCTGCCTTTCCAGCCTGCAGCCAGTGAGCCGTGTTGAAACGGCATCATATTAAGCTCATTTCGTTATGAGACCTCCACCCCGCTCTGGGTCGCCTTTCATTCTTGCATTGCGGATCTTTGGATTGATAAGAAAAACATGGTAATTGCAACTTCCCCTTACTCCCCCTTCATTCTCTGTTCACATCAGAGAAAGGAACTTTTAAATGAGAGCCAGAGAGAAGACTTGAGGGCTGGTCCCAGAGCTCCTTCAGCCACCCGGTTATGGTTACGGAGGGACTGGTAACCTGAGCCTGCCATCTGGTGGCCATGGCTGTGCTGACAGCCTTGCTCCTAGAATGCGGTCTCAGTCCTAGTCCCTACGAACTTAGGCTGATGTGTGACATCTGAGAGTCACAGAGTCCTAGAATCACAGGATGGTACTTACTTAGGATGGGAGAATATTCGATTCTTGAGATAATGCATTCATGGAATGTTAGAACAATAACAATACCTACCATTTCTTGATAGCTTTCTCTGTGTCAAAGTATTAAGAAAGTGCCTTGTGGGAGCTGTTTCATTTAAGTCTCTCTCCATCATCATCACATGGCGACGACATTTATCCCCATTGTATAGGTGAGAAAACTGAGAATCTCATTAAGTAATTTGTTCAAAATCACATTATGATAAGCAGTGGGTTGAAATGTGAACCCAGGTCTCCTGACTCCAGACCCAGGCTGTTAACCACCATACTTTACTATAGAACCTTAAGATAGTACAATCTGAAACTGCCAAATTTTAATATTATAGGATCGTCGGGTATGAGAATCTTAGAATTGGAGAATCTTAAGATTTTGGAATCATAAAATTCTGGGAGGAGTGCGTCTTAGACTTGTGGACTCAAGAACCATGGACAGTTAGGGCTGAGACGGTCTTTAGGGGCCCCTGGTTTTGCACATGAGGTCAGACAGGAAAGGCGCCTGGTTGGATGGTACAGCGCAGGGTGGGAAGTCTGGGCTTCCTGTCTCCTGACCTAGAGTTCTTTCCACTGTGGGTTTCTCAATCAAGGCTTTTCCAATTATGCTCTTTTATAGCCACTGCAATAAAGCTGTGGACTTTTGCTCCAGAACAGCACATAAAATATCCCATTATTTGCCTCTTAACCTGAGCTTCTGTTTTACATTTTAAGTCTAAAGTGTAAGCCTCATAAAAGGTAATCATCTAAGGCCTGTTCAAAGAGAAGCCATAAATTGGCCATTTAGTCCAATCAGTGTTTATTGTGCTCCTACAGGGTACCCAACCAGTACTAGCGTGTGTTTTGTGGAGAGGAAGGGGGAGCATAAACCTCAGTCCCGACCGTAAGCTGCTTAACTCTCCTTTGGGGAGGAGTGCAGAGATACAGTGTCAACCCGAGACAGAAATATCACAGGAGGTGTCACTCCATAGTTAGGTACAAGACAGAATGGGGGACACGGGAGAGGCCAGTGTGGGCTGTGGAAGAGTGAGAGCAGAGGGGGGCTTTTTTGGCTACTAATTATTAAGTAATGACTATGCCCTAGACCCTGGGCTAAGTCTATGAGGTACATTATCACACAGAATCTCGTAATAATTTTATGAGGTCGTATGGGCAAACCGAGGCTCAGCGTGGTTAAGTGGTTTACCCATAGTCACATAGTAAATTCTGGAGCTGGGATTTGGACCTAGGTCTATTTGACTTCAAAGCCTTTGCTTTTAACCGCTGTGTCACACTGCTTTGGAGCTGAGCCTTAAATGACCACAGTGGTTTATGCATGGAGGCCATGTGGGGTATGTGGATGTGCAAGGCTGGGAGGCAGGCAGAAGGTAAGCTCAGCTAGAAAATAGCACCTCTCCCTGCTGGCTCACCCTGCTCACTCTGGTCTTATTCTGCCCTTCAAAGTCTCTGAGTTGAACAAGAAAACAGGTCTTCTCATAGTACTGGTAACCCAGAATTCAGCTCCACCGTTAGGCTGTCTTGGGCTGGGCCGGGGCCACGCTGCTTTAGGCAGCCCAGGCTCCCTGGAAGCCATCTCTCAGGGAAATATCCCAACCCAGTTCCAAACCTCCTCACTAGAGGAGACTCCCTGCTATCTCCCCTCTCTCCCACCAACTCCCAAATCTTCCCAAAACCCATAAAAGCCCAGGTTTGTGACTCAAAACTATTACACAAATTAAGATTATTATATTATTATTATTTTCCTTTTTAAACTTCATTCCTGTTGCCTGTCAAATTTCTATAGCAGTACAACTCTTAATGAAATAATGTTTTCCCAGCACTTTGAGATGATAGCTAACACCTGCAGAAAACACAACATTAAATTTAGCAATAGATACTGGGTAGACAGCTTGAGAGCCATGCCCTCCAAACATCCCTTGTTGCACAACTGTGGCTAAATGGGTTTTCACCCATTGCTTATCATGATTGGTGACTCACTTCTAGTCATCATTCTCTCCAGTGTGAGACCAGACCAACAAACTGGGAGGTCCATTCCGGCACTGAGGGATGATCAAAATCTAACTATGGGGTGATTAATCAGCCATGCTTTCAGAGAAAGATCTTAATTAAAAGGAGAAAATGTGAAAGTTGTCAAAATCAAAAGAAAGCCACATGCTAAAAATTCTCACAAATGGAATCAGGGGAGGCCATGAAGGAAGGGTTGTCATGTACAAATACCTGATAACAGGAGCTATCACAAAAGACTGTGTAAAAACCACAACCTTGAACAAAGGTGATCATACTCTAACACACACACACACACACACACACACACACACACACACAAATACTTGTATGAGGCCCAGTAACTGCCTGTCCAACCTTGGACTGGCAACACCCTTGTTATTGATCCTTGTAGCCAAAGACAATTACCTCAAAACAATTAAGTAATCCTCCTCATTTCTTTCTTTCAAAACCTTTGTCTTTCTTTACCTACCTGATAAGCACATAGTTGACTTTGGCACACATATTCCCATTAAAGTGCCCATTTCCAAATAAATATAATTTTCCTTTAGAGAGCTGATATGGTTAGGCTGTGTCCCCACCCAAATCTCATCTTGAATTTTACCTCCCATAATTCCCACTTGTTGTGGGAGGGAACAGTGGGAGATAATTAAATCACAGGGATGGTTTAGCCCATACTGCTCTCATGGTGGTGAATAAGTCTCACGAGATCTGATGGTTTTATAAGGGAAAACCCCTTTCACTTGGCTCTCATTTCTCTCTTGTCTGTTGCCATTTAAGGCACGCCTTTCGTCTTCCACCATGATTGTGAGGCCTCCCCAGCCACGTGGAACTGCGAGTCCATTAAACGTCTTTTTCTTTATAAGTTACCCAGCCTAAGGTATGTCTTTATCAGCAGCATTAACATGGACTAATACAAGAGCCCTTTAGGCTGACACCTTAAATGTGGTCTGGTCTGTGACTGCTTTGACCAATATAGTGTAACAGAAGTGACTATACTAATTTTGGGCCTGCCTTTAAAAGGACAGGCTGTTGTCATTTTCATATCTGGGAACCTTGGCCATGTGAGAAGTCTTCTGACCATTCTCCTGGAGAGACGATATGGAGAGGCCCTGAGACTTCATAGACAGGGCCCAGCTGAGTTCAGCACTCTAGCTATGCCCACCAAGATACTAGACTTCTGAGTACATCTGTCTTGTATCCCAAGCCCAGTTGCTAGCTGAAAACTACTGAGTGTTCCCAGCTGACACTCTGTGAAGCAGAAGAACTACCCTGCCAAGCCCTGCCTGAACTCTTGACCTGTGAAATCAAGGGATATAATAAAAAATTTACCGAGTTTTGGGATAGTTGGTACACAAAAGTAGATAACTGAAACAATGACCAAGTGGTGTCTGGGCTTGGAGAGAAAGACTCACTACCACTGGTATTTAATAAAAAATATTTTTAAAAGATATTATTAAACATCAAATAATAATTAGAAACAAAGCAATATTTAAATATTTTAATATGCTATAAACTTAAATAAGCACATTGTTTTACATAGTTTAAATTGCAATTATACATTTTGCAATATATACTTTTGACTCTTTCAAACTCAGGAAGAAAACACATTAAACATATACAAAACAGAATTATTATAACTTATGACTATGTTGCCATTTATACCTGTTGGTTTCTTTTTTTTTTTTTTTTTTTTTTTGAGATGAAGTCTTGCTCTGTCGCCCAGGCTGGAGTGCACAGGTGCCATCTCGGTTCACTGCAATCTCCGCTTCCCGGGTTCACGCCATTCTCCTGCCTCAGCCTCCTGAGTAGCTGGGACTACAGGTGCCCGCCACCACGCCCAGCTAATTTTTTTGTATTTTTAGTAGAGACGGGGTTTCACCATGTTAGCCAGGATGGTCTCGATCTCCTGACCTCGTGATCCGCCCACCTCAGCCTCCCAAAGTGCTGGGATTACAGGCGTGAGCCACCACGCCCGGCTATACTTATTCTTAAAGCATCAGTTCCATGGGTTAATTTATTTCTTTGTTATTTCTATAATGTTATATCTTCTTAGCTTTTCATATATTTATTTTGATACCTACCTAGGGTGCAACAACTTTCTAGGTTGAAGCAAAAAGTAATAATAACCCAGGATACGATGTGGGTTACCTATTCAATTCTTAATTTGACATGGAAACTGATTACTTTTTCCAAGGGTTTTGAAGAGCCATTGGGTCAACAGGCTGGGCTGCCATTTTTTTTTTTTTTCTTGGCTTAATCTTCACTTGTTACATCAGTGAAATTTGTAAGTCTGGGTCTTTTACACAGTCTTCCGTTTTATTGCAACCTGGTGTCTCTCTCCAAAATTTTATACATTGCAAGTCTCACTTGGCCAATGTTACATAACCCATTGTCCTGTCATTGTGACATATGGATCTGGTCTGTGAGCATTATTTAAGACTGCTAGATACCTTTTATTACCTTGTAATTAGTAGGGTCATCTAGAGGTTTCACAGGAGATGAGAGATTGGGTCTGCGTGTTTTTCTCCTCCCCAAGACATTCAGCTAATCCATCACTGTGAAACACCTGGCAAAATGTTCCATCTACTTGGTTACTGGGTCCACATGCCTGCCAGGGCTGGCTCACCAAGCTCATCTTCCATCTGATTGTCAGTGAGGCCAGCAGTGCCACCTTGTCCTTTTGGTTGTCTTACCGTTTCCATGACTTCTTAGCTTACTCATGGGTCCCCGTGATTTTTCTTTCCTGTTTCTATAGCTAGAAACAGATACATGGTAATAAGTTATAAAGAAATACAATGAATAGCAAAAAATAAAAGATCCATATGTAACCATACCTCAACTTATTGGAATAATAAAAACAAATAGATCTTATTATTTTACCTTTTAATTACAACCACCTTTTTGTATAACTTATATGAACTTTTTTAGTGTCATGAATTCATGGCTTTTCATTAACTTATCTTGTTCTAATCAACTATATTTCATCCTCTTCTCCTCATTTCCTTCCCTCTTTTTGCTGTTCAGATGATCACTTTGCCAGTGGAAAGCGCTTTCATCTGCCCCCTCCCCTCTTTTAATGCTACACTGATATCCTTGAAAGCAATCTTATTTTCCGCCAACAGCAGGATGCTTGATAGCCATCCTTACTTTCCATTTTTTCTCCAAGGCATAGAACCACCTACCCTCTAAAAGATCCCAATTCCTTTTAGTGGGGAATAGTGTTAGAGCCCAGGATCTGAATACGATGTGGGTGTGTGCAGTCTCGGTGCCCAGGATCTGGGATCTGAATACGATGTGGGTGTGTGCAGTCTCGGTGCCCGGGATCTGAATACGATGTGGGTGTGTGCAGTCTTGGTGCCCAGGATATGGGATCTGAATACGATGTGGGTGTGTGCAGTCTCGGTGCTGTGACTCCAGCTCTTCTGTTTGGGTCTCATGTCATGCTGCCCCATGGGACCAAACACAATTGTACTTCAGACTCATGGTGCTCTGCTAGAGGCTGTTCTTTCCACCACTGGCCTTGGGAAGCAACAGAAGCTGTTCTTCCCACCACCACTCTGGCCTAACGTTCCCTTAATTTCTCATAGAAGAGTGGAGATTGTTCATATCTTTTGATGGGAAGGTTCAGGGAAAATGGAGGGGGCATTCTGTAGAGGATAACATAATCTCTACTATTGGGGGTTTCTCTTAGAGCCCTAGAGCCCAAGTCCATTCTAAAGTCAGTTTCAAAGCATTGCCTGCTTACCTCCCTACATGTCTCTGCAGAAGAGAGGCTGGAGCACCCCCCCACATCCCTCATCCTAGCCAGGAATTCACTGAGGATGTGTATGTTACAAGTTTGGCCCAACCACCACAAGGCCCAATGAGAAGTTTTCTCTCATTTCCACTGTCAGGATCGATGGCTGGCCTAGATGGTTGACAGTAGGGATGTCTACTTCCTTACCCATATTTGTAAGAATGAAGCCTTGTCCTAAGTGTCCCAAGACAATTACATCGGAAAGCAACAATCGAACATCAGTCAGCACACTTCCCAAAGCCTGAGTCATTTAGGCTTAAGTAACCTGTGGAGGACATCATAACCGTGGTCAGCTAGACCCAGCCAGCTAACCCAGCCCAGTTAATTATTACCATTGGTCCTTCAGGTATCATGTCTGGACATATCTCCAGACTCTCAGCTTAGACTGTCTGGAGAACTACTATTAAATAAGAACACACACACACACACACACAGACACACACAATCACACACAATGAAGTCTAACTCATATAGAGCAAAGAAATAGTTTTTCTATTTTTGTGTGTTTTTTTAAAGGACAATAAAACCTACAGAAACACAGCCCTCATCACAACAACAAGATCAAATATCCACTTCAAGCTACTTAAATGTTCCCCAAAAAGAAACTGGAGGGTATTTGCTTTATAAGATATTACTAAATGGCCAGTTCATGTATTTTCCCAAAATGAATAGATATTCTGCCCCCAAAGACTGAAATCACATGTAAATTTTTGTTTTTCTAAAAAACTTTATTTTAAAAATTTATTTTAAATTCATATGACCCTAACTATAGAAGTTACAAAAGGATGTACAGTGAAAAGTCTTTTGCCACCCCTGTCTCCAGCCTTTCAGCCATCCTCTCTCCTGACTCCCACTTCTGGAGGACCCAGTGTCTCTTTCCAGAGATATTTTTATTCATTTGTAAATGAATGTGTGTATATGGTCACCCCATCCTGCTCCTTTTTAAGAAACAAATGGAAGCATACAAAAAATTAGTGGGGCATGATGGCAGGTGCCTGTAATCCCAGCTACTCAGGAGGTAGAGGCAGGAGAATCACTTGAACCCAGGAGGCAGAGGTTGCAGTGAGCAGAGATTGTGCCACTGCACTCCAGCCTGGGCAACAGAGCGAGACTCCATCTCAAAAACAAAGAAACAAACAAACAAACAACAAATGGGAGCATACTGTTCACTGTGTTCTTCTCCATCTCACTTTTTGCACCTAACAATGTATTTTGGAGAACATTCCTTAGCAACTCACTAAGATCATTCTTATTCTTCTCCATGGTTGCAAAGAATGGAATTGATGAGTATACCTCAATATATTTAAATGTCCCCTATTAATTAACAATTAGTTTGTTTCTAATTCTTTACTATTACAAACAATGCTACAAATAACAATTTTTGTACTAACATCACTTTGCAGGTGCATAATTATGTCAGCAGGATAAATTCCTAGAAATAGGGAGTTGCTGGTACACAGAGTACATACATATGTACTTTAATTGCCATTCAAGGGAGCAGAACTAGTTTACACTCTCCAGCAATGTGATGTTGGCTTCAACATATCCTTGCCAACATAGTATATTATTGGATTTCTTTTATCACGGCCAGTCTGGTAGGTGTAAAAGAGATCTTAGTGAAGTCTTAATTTGCATTTCTCGTATTTTAATTGTGAACATCTTTCCACACACTTAAGAGTTGTATTTCCTTCTCTCTGAATTGTGTGCTTTATATCCTTTACTTATTTTCAGAGGTAGGGGTGAAGTGTTGATCTTTTTAATCAATTTTCAGAGCTTACATTTTAAAGGAAATTTACTTTTGCCTGTGATATGAGTTAAAAGTATTTTTCTCAGTTCATTATTTGTCCTTCAACTTTCTTATAAATCATTTTTACATATTTACTTTTCCATATGAACTTTATTTAATTTGTATTATTTTAGATTCAATGGGTACATGTTTCATATGAATGTTAGAGTTTGTGAAGTTCCAAAAGAAAATTTTTTTTTTTGAGACGGAGACTCACTCTGTCGCCCAGGCTGGAGTGCAGTGGTGCTATCTCCGCTCACTGCAGCCTCTGCCCTTCACCCCCCACCCCTCTGGGGTTCAAGCAATTCTGGTGTCTCAGCTTCCTGAGTAGCTGGGGTTACAGGTGGCTGCCACTGCACCCAGCTAATTTTTGTATTTTTAGTAGAGACAGGGTTTCACCATTTTGGCCAGGCTGGTTTCGAACTCCTAAGCTCAAGCAATCCTCCCACCTTGGCCTCCCAAAGTGCTGGGATTACAGGTGTGAGCCATAGCACCCAGCCAAGTTCGAAAAAAAAATCTGTTGATAATTTTATTGAGTGTTTTTGCCATGAATAAAATTTATAGTTTTTTTTATAGTCAAACATTAGCTTTTTAAAAATTTGAGACTTCTTGATTTTGTCATATTTAGAAAGGTCATCCTTGTTCTGAAATTATAAAATCATTCTCTCATGCTCCTTTGAACTTTTATTGTTTTACATTCAAATCTTTGATTCATTTGAAATTTATCCTGAAGTAAGGTGTAAGGTTAAACTCAAATTTACTTTGTCCCAGAAGACTACCTAGTTGTTGCCATACCATTTATTAAATAACGCATCTTTTCCCTACTGATATGAAATGCCACCTTCACAATACACTAAATTCCAGTCTGTATCTTCATCTTTTTCTGGACTTTTCATTCTGTTCTGTTGATCTGTCCGTGTGCCAGTACCACATTGTTTTAATCAGCGTGGCTTTGTAAATGTTGTTTTAACTATAGGGCTAGCCATCCCTTATTACGCTTCCTTTTTAGACTTTTACAGAATATTATTGCACACATTTTGCCATATAAACTTTAGAATTGACTATTCAGTTAAAAAAATATTGTTGATCCTTTCATCAAGATTACATTAAATTTTATATTAACTTAGGGATAACTGGCATCTTTATGACGTTGTGTCTTCCCATTCAGGAACATGGGCTAGCCTTTCCCTTTGTTCGAGTATGTTTTCATGTCTCTTGGGAATGTCTTTAGGATTTCTAGTTGAGTTTATTCCTAGATATTTTATCGTTATTGTTGCTATTATAAGTTTTTCCTCCATTACACTATATCTTCGAATTGAATGTTATTTGTATATATTAGAGCTATTTATTTTGTATTCAACTGAATTCCTGAGCCCTCTTAATCTTTCTGTAGATACTTTCTCAGGTTTTCTCTTCTTCATTTCATTTTTTTACACCTCGATTTTGTTCGTCTTGTCTTACTGCATT